>NC_000001.11:40462925-40765956 GCF_000001405.40 Homo sapiens
AGCCTTTAGCCAAAGTTCATCTCTTATTCCGCATCAGAGAATTCATACTGGTGAGAAACCCTATGAATGTAAGGAGTGTGGGAAAACCTTCAGACATCCTTCATCGCTTACTCAACATGTTAGAATTCATACCGGGGAAAAGCCCTATGAATGTAGGGTATGTGAGAAAGCCTTCAGCCAGAGCATTGGACTGATCCAGCATTTGAGAACTCATGTTAGAGAGAAACCTTTTACATGCAAAGACTGTGGAAAAGCGTTTTTCCAGATTAGACACCTTAGGCAACATGAGATTATTCATACTGGTGTGAAACCCTATATTTGTAATGTATGTAGTAAAACCTTCAGCCATAGTACATACCTAACTCAACACCAGAGAACTCATACTGGAGAAAGACCATATAAATGTAAGGAATGTGGGAAAGCCTTTAGCCAGAGAATACATCTTTCTATCCATCAGAGAGTCCATACTGGAGTAAAACCTTATGAATGCAGTCATTGTGGGAAAGCCTTTAGGCATGATTCATCCTTTGCTAAACATCAGAGAATTCATACTGGAGAAAAACCTTATGATTGTAATGAGTGTGGAAAAGCCTTCAGCTGTAGTTCATCCCTTATTAGACACTGCAAAACACATTTAAGAAATACCTTCAGCAATGTTGTGTGAAATATACTAAACATCAAAGAATCTATGTTGGAGCACAAGATTCTAAATCAGTGGTTCCCTGATCCCTCAAAAATCCATTTGTTTTTGGATTTCCAAAAACGAACATTAAAAAAAAATGGTTTGGCACAATGTTCCCAACTCTTAATTTTGCCATATTAAAAACACAACACCTATTATCAGCATTGTTTCAGAAAAGAAAGGACATTTTAATATTTTTAAATGTAGGAACAGTTCCCCCCTCCATTTTTTTTTTTTTTTGTTTTTTGAGATGGAGTCGCTCTGTCACCTGAGCTGGAGTGCAGTGGCGTGATCTCAGCTCACAGCAACCTCCACCTCCCAGGCTCAAGCAATTCTCCTGCCTTAGCCTCCTGAGTAACTGGGATTACAGGTGCCTGCCACCACACCCAGCTAATTTTTGTATTTTTAGTAGAGACAGGGTTTCACCATGGTGGCCAGGCTGGTCTCGAACCATTCAGGTGATCCGCCCATCTCGGCCTCCCAAAGTGCTGGGATTACAGGTGTGAGCCACCGTGCCTGCCCCTCCCCCACCCCCGACCCAGACCCTTTTTTAAAAAACAGTTTCACTCTTGCCCAGGCTGGAGTGCAGTGATGTCATAGTTCACTGCAGCCTCAAACTCCTGGGCTCAAGCAGTCTTCCTGCCTCAGCTTCCCAAGTAGCTGGGCCTACAGATGTGCACCACCATGTCTGGCTAATTTATTATTATTATTATTATTATTATTATTATTATCATTATTATTATTGTAGAGACAGTCTCACTATGTTGCTGGACTGGTCTCAAACTCCTGGCTCCAAGCAGTTCTCCCACCTCAGTCTCCCAGTATGCTGCGATTACAGACATGAGCCACCGTGTCTGGCCAGGAACAGCCTGTTATATTACGTCAGCTTTATGACAGACTCCCACATTTATCTTTACTTTTCCCAGTTCACTATGTGCCAGTGAAATTTCATGGCGTGTTAGTGATCTGTGGATTAACTTTTGAGAAACACTCTTTTAAGTATCCCTTTAATAAATCAGAATAAAATATAGTACAGCCTTTTACTCTAGCCCTTTATATGGCTAGAAGAGGTAGAAATTAAAATGTTGCTTCTCATTTCTAGAAGAAAAAATGTTAAAGGGAGTTTTCTAGCATTGATAGATAACTTACTGTACACGAGATGCTTATTTATATTTTATGGTTTTATATAGAGCAAGAATTGGCAAACTTTCTGTAAAGGGCCAGATAGTAAATACGTTAGGTGTTGTGGGCCATGTGGTCCCTGTCACACCTATTCAACTTCCCCATTTTAGTACAAAACAGCCAGAGACAATATATAAACTACAGTATCTGAACCTTGGCACTACCAATATTTTGGACCGGATAATACTTTGCTATAGGAAGCTGCCCAGTGCATCCTGGGATGTTTAGGGGAATCCTTGGCTTCTACCCACAAGATGCCAGCATTCAATGCTGATAGCTGCCCCTCCCCCAGTTGTGACAGTCAAAAATGTCTCCAGACATGGCCAGGTGTACCTAGAGGCCAAAATTGTCCCTGGTTGAGACCCACTGATGAATGTGTGCAATAGTGGTTCCCATAAACTGCATTTAAAAAACAGCTGTTAGGTTTCGTTTGGCTCAAGGGCTGTCATTTTTCACTCCTCCCCCCATAGAGTATGTAAAATGATTAGAAATGACAACAGACTATCATTTAGTATCAGATTAGTGTGTGTATATGCCATAAATTATTTCCTTAGCAATTCCTTTAGTATTTTTGTTGCAATAATTCTTTAAACGCTACATTTGTAATGCTGTCTTGGAGCCTAGGAATTATTTTTGGAGATATTTATGCAGACTTCCCTCTATAATGATCGGTTTTTTATTATGGTTAATCCATAAATATTTTGAGATGTATCTCTAAAAAACGAGCACTCTTTGAAAACATAACCACAATGCCATTATTATACCTACAAAAATTAACCACAATTCCTTAAAACATAATGATGCCTTTTTGAAGAGAGATATATTGAGACTTCATTCTGGGGAGAAACCTTTCAGATAACTTTATTTACCTTTTCCTTTGCCAAGCATACAACATTAGATTTGAAATATGCTTTGTATCAAGTGGAAGTGTCTCTTAAGATAGCCCCTAGAACAACACATCAAGAGGCCCACCAAAGAGGACCAGAGAAAGGTGACTGAAGGAGCCATACTCAGGCAGGGAAATACGGAGAGAAAGCAGAGGAATTGGCTCCTAATGCTTCACTGTACTTAATGAAATAGATACTCCATCCTTACAGACATAATTGGAAGTAAGTCAAGTTCAACTTCTTTGTTTTATATGGAGATAGAACAGTTTCAATCACGTGAGTATTATAAGTGTGAATTATCTAAAGTAAAGCTATAAATCCAGAATATATACCAGTATCTCTAGAATTTTTCATATTACTACATTTACTTAAAAAAAAAGCTGGCCTCTAACTCTTAAGTCCTGTATGACTGATGGGCAGAAAAAGAGTGAGGTATACACTGTTTCTTAAAATTGTTCTACCATGTTTCTATGGTCTTAGATTTCCCAAGAATTTGAATTTCTCCAATTGCTTATTTCCCTGAAAGACATGACTATGACTTTTCTCTGTAGTTCCTGCCTCAGTGATCTCATACAGTCTTTGGCTTAAAATACCGTCTCTGTTTAACAGCTGCCAGATTCACATCTCCAGCCCAGACCTCTCCCGAACTCCAGCCTTGTTCTAACCTTTGGGCCGTTTCACTAGCTGTTGCAGATGCCCTATACCCTTACCTTCTCATCTTTGCTCAATTGTTGCCTTCTTACTGAAGCCTATCCTGTCCATACTATTTAATACTGCAGCTGTCTACCTTCCAGATCGAGAAATCCCATACCCCTTTCACCTGCTCTATGTTTTTCATATCACCTATCACCCTAGATACTTCACATATTTGTGTTTATTGTTTACTGTTGTTTCCCCTGGCTATAATGTAAGCTCCATGTGGGCAGGGGCCTTTGTTTTTTTCACTGATATATCACAAGTGCCTAAAACAGTGCCTGACACGCAGAAGGGACTCAGTAAATATGTATTGAATGGTTTTGATTTGAACTGAATTGAACTATGTATCCATGATGCAAGTAAAGAAATGTAATCCATATACTTTCCTACCTACATTTTATATGTGAGGAAATATTTTTTGTTTCCTTTTTCTTTTCTGTGCAAGTGGACCAATATTTGAGAATCGTATACCTTTGAGAATCATAGCTGATATACTTTAAGATAAAAGGGTATTTCTGTGTTAATTTGGTTTGGTTGTTTTTGTTTGTTTGTTGAGACAAAGTCTCACTATGTTGCTCAGGCTGGAGTGCAGCGTCATGATCATGGCTCACTGCGGCCTCAACTTTCTGGGCTCAAGCGATCCTCCCACCTCAACCCCCTGAGTAGCTGAGACTACAGGCACATACCACCACACCTGGCTAATTTTTGTATTTTTTGTAGGACGGGGTTTTGCCATGTTTCCCAGGCTGGTCTCAAACTCCTGAGCTCAGGCAATCACCTGCCTCAGCCTCCAAAAGTGCTGGAATTACAAGCATGAGCCACTGTGCCCAGCCTAATTTGTTTAAAATGCATTTAAATGTGGCTGATTAACAACATGAGTTTATCTTTATTTCATGAACCTGAGTGCATAAGCAAACTGGAGGGTATAAAAGACAATAGAGGAGAATATAGAAGCAGACATGAGATGTCAAGTTTTTGGTGGTGAGAAAATAGAAGAGTGGTGACTGACTTAGCAGAGCCTGCAGAAAAGTATACTGGCACAAGGATGTTCCTGGGAAGACAGAGGCCTTGGAGACAGTGGGCATTATGGAAGAAAGAGGGCTGAAAATGGGGATTCATTGAAATTCTAATGTCAGATCCTTAGACCCCCTCACCTACCCATACAGCTGGCTGTTACGCACACATTCCTCCCTCATGCCTTTCTTCATCCCATTACCCTTTCCTCATCCCAAAGGAGACTAGAGGTTTATTCTCTGGTGAAGGACCGGTCTCCCAATGTGCTGGGATTACAGACATGAGCCACCATGTCCGGCCAGGAGCAGCCCTGTATATTATATCAGCTTTATGACAAATTCCCAAATTTGTCCTTACTTTTCTCACTTCACTATGTGCCAGTAAAAATTTCATGTCATGTTAGTGATTTGTGGATTGACTTTGGTGTCCTTGATTCCAGAGTTGTTCTAGAATCAGGGACACCAGACAGTAGAGACTGGGGTAAAAATATGGCTGAAATGGGGACTAATGTAAGGCTGCATATTGAACTGTGGGGCCCTCAGCACTCTTTTCTAATGAAAACCAAGTTTTCATCCCTTCAACCATCTTCCGTCCAACCCCAGCAGGAGATTGGAGGAATCCTCTGGGGAAACTAGTTGGCAGGCTGGGCGTGGTGGCTCATGCCTGTAATCCTAGCACTTTGGGAGGCCAAAGCTGGTAGATCTCCTGAGCTCAGAAGTTCAAGACCAGCGTGAGCAACATGGTAAAATCCCATCTCTACCAAAAATACGAAAATTTAGCCAGGCATGGTGGCATGCACCTGTGGTCCCAGCTACTCAGGAGGCCGAGGGGGGAGGATCGCTTGAGCCTGGAAGGCAGAGGTTGCAGTGAACCAAGATTGCTCTACTGCACTCCAACCTAGGTGACAGAGTGAGACTCCATCTCAAAAAAAAAAAGAAAGAAAGAAAAAGAGAGAAGAAAGAGAAAGAAAAAAAGAAAGAAGGAAAGAGAAAAAGAGAAAGAGAGAAAGAAAGGAAAGAAAGAAGAAAAAGAAACTGGATGGCTCCAAAGAAAAGGTACTGACATTTGTGGATACTTCAGTGAAACATAGAGGTCAATTTACTGTATTAGTCCACTTTCACACTGCTATAAAGAAATACCAAAGACTGGGTAATTTATAAAGGAAAGAGGTTTAATTGACTCACAGTCCCACATGGCTGGAGAGGTCTCAGGAAACTTACAATCACGGCAGAAGGAGAAGGAGAAGCAAATCCTTCACGAAGTGGCAGGAGAGAGAAAAGTGAAGGAGGAACTTCCGAACACATAAAACCATCAGATCTCGTGAGAACTTACTATCACAAGAACACCATGGGGGAAATTACCCCGTGATCCAATCACCTTTCTCCCTTGACTCATGGGGATTACAAATTGAGATGAGATTTGGGTGGGGACACAGAGCCAAACCATATCGATGGCCTAAACAGCCTGCACGTAAAGACCAAGCTTCCAGTCTCCATAAAGAGAAGAGAAAATGAATGGTAGGAAATTCATACATATACACAAGACAGTTTTTCAGAATCAAAGGACACAAATATTCAGATTAAAAGGGTCATCTGTCTGCCCAGCACACTCATTACCAGTAGCTAACATTTATCATTGATTTACAATGTGCCAGACACTGTTATAAGTGCTTTATACATTTCAACTAATTTAATTCTCAAAATCTTCTGAAGTGAATGCTAATATTATTCCCATTTCACAGATGAGGAGATAGAGACATATAGAAGTTAAGCAGGTAAGGACACCCAGGTAGTAAATGGCAGATCTGGGATTTGAATCCAGGCAATCTGCTTTTCAAAAGAACCCACATCAAGGAACATAATGATGAAGAATTAAATACACAGAGCAAAAGAAAACACCCTAAAGCCTCCTGGGGCAAGATGATAGGTCATTTGCCTTTACGGGAAGCAGAAAAAACTTTAGACTTCTCACAGCAATAATTGAGCAATGTCTTCAAAATGTTGAGAAAATGGGCAGGGCACAGCAACTCACGCCTGTAATCCCAACACTGGGAGGCTGAGGCAGGAAGATCACTTGAGGCCAGGAGTTTGAGACCAGCCTGGGAAAACACATTGAGACCCTATCTCTACAAAAAATAGGAAAATTGGCTGGGTGTGGTTGCATGTGCCTGTCCTCCTAGCTGCTCTGGAAGCTGAGGCAGGAGGATGGCTTGATCCCAGGCATTTGAGGCTGCAGTGAACCATGGTCACACCACTGCACTCTAGCCTGGGCAACAGAGTGAAACCCTGTGTCTTAAAAAAAAAAAAAAAAAAAAGATTTCTTGAGAAAAATGACTTTCAGCCTAGGGTTCTATGCCCAGCCAACTACCAATCAAATGTGAGGGCAAAATAAAAACATTTGATATGCCAGGTGTCAAAATTTGCCTTCTCTGCACCCTTTCTTAGCAAGCTGGAGGAGGATGTGCTCTATCAAGACAAGGGAGTAAACATGAAAAAGAGGCAGTCAAAGGATCTAGAGAGCAAGTGCTTCCAACCAGGAGGGCAGAAAATAGACTCCATTTTTAGACTCATGAAGTGAGATAATTAATACCTAGTATCTGGGATTCATGTAAAAACACTCCTAAGATAGACACTTATTTTAATTTCCTTCCAGTTTTATTTGTGTGTGTCATTCCATTTTTACATTTAAAAATATTTTACTTATCACTTCATACAGAATTTTTTTTTTCGTTTTCAAATTCTAGAGTATCTTTGTGTTTTATTTTCTTAGAATATTTTTCTGACTTTTCTGGATGTTAGCATAACTGATAAGGTTATTTCCTACATTTTGAGTTAGTGTTTTTACATCCAATGCAATTAAAGATCTAAACATTTCTTTTCTTTCCTTATTTTGAGACGGAGTTTCGCTCTTGTCACCTAGGCTGGAGTGCAACGGCGTGATCTCGGCTCACCGCAACGTCTGCCTCTCGGGCTCAAACAATTCTCATGCTTCAGCCTCCCAAGTAGCTGGGATTACAGGCACCCACTATTACACCTGGATAATTTTTGTATTTTTAGTAGGGACGGGGTTTCACCATGTTGGCCAGGCTGGTCTCGAACTCCTGACCTCTGGTGATCTGCCCACCTCAGCCTCCCAAAGTGCTGGGATTACAGGCGTGAGCCACCTCACCCAGCCTAAACATTTCTGCTTTGCAAATTTCTAATCAATTATCCAAAGACCCTGCATTTTATGTCATCCCTTCTTAATTGATTGTGTATGTCAACACACTCTATATACATCTACATATATGACCTTATTCAGAACTACATCATCCCTACAAAGTGGGATGGAATTGTTTTTCACTCAATATTAAATTGTTCCCAGATCTTAAGCATTCATAGCAGAGTGATAAAGAGCTTGAGCTCAAGAATCGTTAAAAATTACATTCAAATCCCAGCTTGATCACACCCTACCTTTGTGATCTTAGTCAAATTACTTAATTTTTCTTAGTCTTATTTTTCCATTTGTAAAGAGGCATTTGTAATAGGCACTACACAACAGGTTTATTATACCAGCCATATTCAACGACTCAAAAATAAAAGCTAATGTTGTATTTTGTGTTTTTTACTTGTTATAAAAAAGTAAATGCTCGTTTATGAAAGCACAGAGATAGGTAAAGAAAACAAACATGACAGAACCTAGATGTTAGCAATGTTAAAACTTTGAGGCAAAAAGACAAATACTGTATGATTCTACTTATATGAGGTATCTAGGGTAGTCACACTAGTAGAGACAGAAAGTAGAATGGTGGCTGAGGGAAAAGGAAAAAGAAGAATTGTTGTTTAATGGGTATAGAGCTTCATATTTGCAAGATGAAATTCTAGAGATGTTTCACAATAATGTGAATACACTGAACACTACTAAACTGTACACTTAAAAATGATTAAGATGGGCCAGGCACAGTGGCTCACACCTGTAATCCCAACACTTTGGGAGGCCTAGGGGAGTGCATCAACTGAGGTCAGGAGTTCAAGACCAGCCTGGCCAACATGGCGAAACCCTGTCTCTACTAAAAGTACAAAAAAAATTAGCCAGGCGTGGTGGTGGGTGCCTGTAATCCCAGCTACTCAGGAGGCTGAGGCAGGACAATTGCTTGAATCTGGGAGGCAGAAGTTTCAGTGAACCGAGATCGCTCCACTGCACTCCAACCTGGGCAACAAGAGCAAGACTCCATCTCAAAAAGAAAAAAAAAATGATTACGATGGTAAATTTTATGGTATGTGGTTTTCATCACAATAAAAAATTTGGAGTATTTCTTTCCAGCAGACACATATTAGTACCCAGTTATGAAAATTTTTTCAAACTCACGTGTGCTAATGCCTGTAGGGAAAAGAAAGAGAGATCAGACTGTTACTGTGTCTATGTAGAAAGGAAAGACATAAGAGACTCCATTTTGAAAAAGACCTGTACTTTGCACAATTGCTTTGCTGAGATGTTAATTTGTAGCTTTGCCCCAGCCACTTTGACCCAACCTGGAGTTCACAAAAACATGTGTTGTATGAAATCAAGGTTTAAGGGATCCAGGGCTGTGTAGGACGTGCCTTGTTAACAAGATGTTTACGAGCAGTATACTTGGTAAAAGTCATTGCCATTCTCTAGTCTCAATAAACCAGGGGCACAATGCACTGCGGAAAGCCGCAGGGACCTCTGCCCTTGAAAGCGGGGTATTGTCCAAGGTTTCTCCCCATGTGATAGTCTGAACTATGGCCTCGTGGGATGAGAAAGACCTGACTGTCCCCCAGCCCAACACCCATAAAGAGTCTGTGCTGAGGTGGATTAGTAAAAGAGGAAAGCCTCTTGCAGTTGAGATAGAGGAAGGCCACTGTCTCCTACCTGCCCCTGGGAACTGAATGTCTCGGTATAAAACCCGATTGTACATTTGTTCAATTCTGAGATGAGAGAAAAACCGTCCTGTGGTGGGAGGCAAGACATGTTTACAGCAATGCTGCCTTGTTTTTCTTTACTCCACTGAGATGTTTGGGTGGAGAGAAACATAAATCTGGCTTACGTGCACGTCCAGTCATAGTACCTTCCCTTGAACTTAATTATGACATAGATTCTATTGCTCACATGTTTGTTGCTGACCTTCTCCTTATTATCACCCTGCCCTCCTACTACATTCCTTTTTGCTGAAATAATGAAGATAATAATCAATAAAAACTGAGGGAACTCAGAGACCGGTGCCGGTGCAGTTCCTTGGTATACTGAGCGCCGGTCCCCTGGGCCCACTGTTGTTTCTCTATACTTTGTCTCTGTCTTATTTCTTTTCTCATTCTCTCATCCCACCTGACTAGAAATACCCACAGGTGTAGAGGGGCAGGCCACCCCTTCAATGCCATATCATCTCTTCACCGACCTTTCCCAATCACGTGCTCCTTTCCCTACCCAGCTTTTGGTCATGATTTTGCAAACACCCTCAACTCCAAGTATGTATGTTGCTAAGACTCAAATTTATATTTCCAGCCCCAAATTCTGTCTGCACTTGAGACTCCTAGTGCATACTTCATTCTTGGATATGTATTAGGCATCTCAAATTTAATAGGTCCATTTCTGAACCTGCTCTATGCCCTATATTTCCTGCCTCAGTAAATGGGAACACTCAGTTGCCCAAGCAGAAATTCCCAGAATCATCCTTGACTCCTCTTTCTTTAACGCTCTTCATTCAACCCATCAGAAAATTCTGTGAGTTGAATCTTCAAAATATATCTTTTCTCATCATCTCCACTGCTACCACTTAGTCCAATTCACCATTCTCTCACTTGGCTTCCTGAACACTTGCATCCCCCACAGTTTATTATCCTCCAGATAGCAGCCAAATGACTGTATTAAAACATAAATCAGATTATGCTGTTTCTCAGTTCTAAAGTCTTCAAAGGCTTCCCATTTCTCTCAGAATAGATCCAAGTTCATACCATGGTTTGCCTCAAGCCATCCTGGATTCCTTGCCAGTCCATGCATATGCCCACACATGCTTTCACCTCGGGGACTTTTTCTTCTGCTAAGATGCTTGCTTTCTCCAGGTATCAATAGGGTCCACTTCCTGACTTCTTTTAGGTCTCTGTTCAAATTGCATCTTATCAGAGGGATGTTCCTTGATTACCCTCTATAAAATAGCTCCCCACTTCTTATAGATATTCACTTTTGGATGGATTATATTTTATTATGCTTTTCCCCCTCTTTGCTAATCTGAAGTTGCATGCTCTGCTTCTGTTCTTTTAGTTCTGAAAGATACAACATACGTTCTTTAAAAACTTTATTAAATTACAATATTAATACAGAAAATTACACATATATATATAGAGAGAACTATCTTGATGAATCTTCAAAATTAAACATACCTGTGTAACCACCTCGTGGATTAAGAACAGAAATTATAGCATTCCAGAAGCCACCGGAGCCCCCCAACTTCCAGTCACTACCCTAAAAAGGGTTACTTCTAACACCATAGATTAATTTCACCTGCTTTTGTACTTTTAAATAATGGAATCACACTGTGTGTATTCTTCTATGTCAGGCTTCTTCTGCTCAAAACTATGTTTGTGAGCTTCATTAATATTGTGTGTAGTTGTTTATTTTCATTGCTGTGTATACTTGATTATGTGAATATACCGATATTTATTTACCCATTCTACTGCTGACAGGCTGCTATGAACATTCTAGTATATGTCTTTTAGGGAACATATTTATGCATTTCTGTTGAGTATATACCCAGGGGCAGGATTGCTGGGTCATATTATTCAGCTTCAGTAGATACTGCCAAATACTTTTCCAAAACAGTTGTATGTACCAATGTATAGTCTCACTAGCAGTATCTGAAAAATCTAGTTCTTAATTTTAATCTATGTTAATGTATCATTTTTTCTTTATGTTTAGTACTTTCTATAGCATGTAATAAATCTGTGCCTATATTAAGGTTGTAAAAACATTCTCTGATTTTCTTCTAAAAAGTTTTATTATTTTATATTTAGATCTGCAATCCATTTGGAATATTTTTGTATATGTTGTAAACCAGGAGTTAATATGAATATCCAATTGATCCAGCACCAATGTATTAAAAACACCTTCCTTTCCCCACCCCTGTCATATGCAAGGTGGTGGTCTATGTGTATGTCTGCATCTGGACTCTATTCCCTTCATTGCTCAGTTGATCTATTCTTACACCAATAGCTACCTCATTGTCTTAGTTACTATAATTTTATATTTGGTCTTCATATTCAGTAATATGCCCTTCCAGCTAAAAATACGTATAAAAATTCCAGCCAAAAAATGGCTGGGCCTAGTGGCTCACACCTGTAATCCCAGCACTTTGGGAGCCCAAGGCAGGCAGATCACTTGAGACCAGGAGTCTGAGACCAGCCTGGCCAACATGACAAAACCCTTCTCTACTAAAAACACAAAAATTAGCTGGGCATGGTGTCACTCACCTGTAATTTCAGCTACTCAGGAGGCTGAGGCATGAGAATCGCTTGAACACAGGAGGCGGAGGTTGCAGTGAGCTGAGATGGCACCACTGCACTCCATCCTGGGCAACAGAGAGAGAATCTGTCTCAAAAAAAAAAAAAAATACACACACACACACACACACACACACACACACACATACATATACTCAATATGCTATATCTATTTTTTAAACCTCATGGATTATTGTGGATTATTGAGATTTTTAGTCTATTATTTATGTTCATTTAGATTTAGTCATGTTTTTTACTTTGTTCTGTTTTTACTGCACCAGGCAAGTGGACCCCAGTTTGGTTCTATAACAATTTGTAGTTTTACTATAATGCGTGGATTTCTTCTACTAGGTGTAGATTTCTTTGACTAGATAAATAAAAGGGTTTCTTTTATTTATCCCACTAGAGAGTTATATGGCATCTTATATCTGTGACCTGGTTCCTTTCATAGGTACTAAAAATATTCAGCCCTTATTTCTTCAAATACTGTCTCTGCCCTAGCTTTATCTCTCGTTAAACTTAGTTCGATCCTCTTACTGTATTCTCTATCTCTCTTACTCTGTCTTCTGTAGGGTACATTTTTTGTTTCTCAATGCTTTATTCTAGATAATTTCTTGTGACCTACCTTCCTTTCAATTTATTCTACATTCAGCAGTGTCTAATCTGCCATTAACTGAGTTCTTAATTTAGTTACTGTATTTCTCAATCATAGAAGAGAAGTCTATTTACTTCTTTTTTTAAATCTGCTCTATCACTTTGTATAGTTTTTAGGTACCTGCCAAAATTGTCCAAGTTATCTTTTTTATTTCTTCAGGCAAAGAAAATATGATTTTATTTTACTTTTTTTCCTAAAAACTCTAATAGGTAAGCAAGAAAATATACATATGTTTTAAGCCAGGGTCTTGCTCTGTCACCCAGGCTGAAGGGCAGTGGTATGATCGTGACTTACTGCAGCATCAACCTGCTGGGCTCAAGCGATCCTCCCATCTCAGCCTCTTGAAGAGCTGGGACTTCAGGGCTGTGCCACCATACCTGGCTAATTTTTGATATTTTGTAGAGACAGGGTTTTGCCATGTTGCCCAGGCTGGTCTTGAACTCCCGAGCTCAAGCAATCCACCTGCCTTGGCCTCCCAAAGTGCTGGGATTATAGACATAAACCACTGTGTCCAGCCCAAGAAAATATTATTTTGCGGTTTGCATCAAATAATTCTAAAAGCAGTTGTTTCTGCAGGTCTATTTCCAATGTTTGTGTTTCTGCTGGTTCTCACTAAGAATCTAGTTTCTTTGTGTACCTGGTTATCTTTAATTCTGTATTTGACATTGTCTATGAAAACTTATGTGTAGGAAAAATGTCGGCCCTACAATTATAAGGCTTTCCTCCACCTATTTGCTTTTGCCAAGCATCTGGTGACACCATAGTCAGAGACAGTCTTAAACCAAGATAATGTCTGAGACAGGCAATTTGATGCAGTCTGTAAATTCCTTTTAAGCTGTTCCATTTTCAATTCATCCTCACCCTGAGGCTGTTGCCCTTTGGGGTCCCAGTTATTGTAAGGAGGGTCTTCTTCTTCTTCTTCTTTTTTTTTTTTTTTTGAGATGGAGTTTTGCTCTTGTCGCTCAGGCATGGAGAAACCCCATCTCTACTAAAAATACAAAATTACAGGCATGGTGATGCGTGCCTGTAATCCCAGCTACTCTGGAGGCTGAGGCAGGAGAATCACTTGAACCCGGGAGGCAGAGGTTGCGGTGAGCCAACATCGCGCCACTGCACTCCAGCTTGGGCAACAAGAGCGAAACTCCGTCTCAAAAACAAATTTATATATTATATATATATGTATATATATATACACATACACACACACACACACACACACGTATTCCAGAATTTTATTTTTAAATTTTATTGTTGTTTTCTACAGTGGGTTGATACAAATATCCTAGCCCATCATCTCCCCACCCTGCTTTCCTTTTCTTCATGGTCCTCACAATCGCCTGGGGTATTATCTATTTATTTTTCTATTTGTTATTGTCAATTAATTTCAATGTAATTAAGTTCCAAGAAAGCAGGAACTGCGTTTTGTTAACTGCTGTATACGCAGGGCCAATAAGAATGTGGGGGTAGATCTTACACACTCAGAATAGATAACTGAATGAATGAATGAATGAATGAGTGAATGAATGAATGACAGGGAAGGCGCTTCACCGGAAAGGCTGAAGGAGGTCTCCCAAGGACCGCTGTGAGGAAACGGGGGGCGGCGTGGGTGGGTGGCCGCTACCCACGGTTCCGGACGGCCCTCGGGGGCGCGCTCGGGCGGCTTCCAGCTTCCGGGTTCGAGGGCGCGCGCTGCTTCCCGGGAGAGGGCGGGCTCCGTGGCAGCCCCCTGTGGGCGGAGCCGGCGGCCGGGGCTCACAACCCGCCGGAAGACGCGCGGGTTGTGGCAGCTGCAGCGGGACCGCGTGGGGTGGGCCCCGGGACCGCCAGGGCTGCAGCGAGAGCGGCCGGCGGTGCAAGCGGCCGGGAGGGCGCGGCCGGAGGCAGAGGCCAGGCGAGACACCCGGCTGCGGCCTAAGAGGCCAGGCTGGGTGGGCTTGGCTGCAGCCGCCAGCCCCGTGTTAAAGCGGCAGCCAGGGAGGTGTATCCTCCCCGGGGTCTGCAAGACGCCGGCTCAGGGCATCCCTCCCATTCCGGCCCTCAAAGCCTCGCTCCTGGGGGCGCTGCTGGGAAAGCCCACCCGCCTGGGCGGGCCCTTGATGGGAATGTGGAGCAGACCCTCGTCCACTCCGGAGGCCGAGGGTCCTCCGGGCTTCCGAAGGAAGCCGACCTCAACGCTGGACGCTTCTTGGAGAATGATTGCGTTGAGTGGAGATGTGGTCTGTCTATAAAAGGCCGGGAGGGAACAATATCTGTTACCACTCAGTCCGTCTCTAAAGAGACACTCTTTACCGCTGAAAACCTCAAGAGTGAGCACTCCCACGCCCCCGTCTCTGGTCCTACCTGGGTCCAAGGCCGATGTGGTGAGTAGGAGTCTGTGTGCAGTCTTTGAGTCCGAGGGTGGCATGTCTGGGAGCACTGTGAGGGTGGGGCATCTTCGATATGAAGCTTCTCAGCCATTAACTGTTTCCCGAGTAAGATTCGAAAATTCGTGCACTTTGGTAACAAGACTTTTTATGTATTCAGGGGTGGGATATTTCTCACAAGCTCCAATTCCTAGAACACACGCAGCTCCTGTCTCTGCATATAGTCACACACACACACACACACACACACACGCCTATAAGTCACATACCCATCCTTCTCCAACAAACTTCAAAAAGTTGGGCCAGCTCCCTTCCCACGTAGCTCCGACTGTTCTTGGAGTGCCGTATACTTTGGACCTGGTCACGGTCAAAGCACCTGCTCAGATTCTAGGGTTTGGTTGAGATGATGGATTTGAGTTGTTTCCAAATTTGCCTATTACTATTCTGCAGTAGTCCTCATTATACTAAATTTACACCATTTGAAGACATACCCTCTTCCCCAATTTTAACATTTCTGAAACCAAGATGCATCTTCCCAGTGTGGTTCCAAGGAACTTGCCAGCTGCTGGGCATCTGCGTGGGTGGTGACGTGGCTGTCACTGCTTGTTCATGCCAAAATGCAGCTATGTCATTATTCTGTCAGTTGAGATATTTTGAACTTTAAATTCAGATTTAATGGTTTCTAAAAATAACTTTAAAAATTAATACTATGATTCAGCAATATGATAACAGGTTTATAACAATGTTCATTAAGGGTTTACTGTATGCCTAGCATTGTCTCAACCAACATTACAACTCTATAGAATACAATTATTATCTCCATTTTATAGATTAAGAAACTGAAGCTGAGAGTTGAAGTGTCATAGAGCTTTTAAGTGCAAGTGTCAGGTTTCTAAGCCAGGCTGTCTGATTTCAAAGCCTGCCCTCTTAAACCCCGTCTGTGTCCAGGCAGAAGATGCATGCAGCTTACAAGGAGGGAAGATGAGGCATGGTCTGTGCATGTTTGTACATCTTTGCATGTTTGTGTATGTATGTATAGAACTGGAGATAGAGCCACGTCCAGGAACATGTATTATATTTATTCCTGCATGGATATTTTTCTTTTGGGTATTTTGCAGTTTTAAATATATTTCTGCAGATTCTGGAGTTCTGGAGACAAGTGCTTCTGGATCCCTCTTCCCTTCCCTTTTGCTCCTCTAAAGAGTATGGAGACATGAACTCAAACCTAACTAACTGGCTGCCTCCCAAAGAAAGTGCTTGATTTAAAGGGGAGTTTGTTTTCCAGAATTGTTAAAGTCACATCAGTCTCTAGGAACCCCCAGGTCCTGGTGCTGCAGGGACACACCAGAGTCCTGAGGGCAGGTGATTGGAATCTGAGCAACACCCCACAACTGTGAAGCGTCTCATCAAGAGCTTCTGGCAATTTCCTCACCAGAAGTGGACAAGTCCAGTAAGGCAGGCATCATGCCACAGCAGCTCCTGATCACCCTGCCTACCGAGGCCAGCACCTGGGTGAAGCTGCAACATCCAAAGAAGGCCGTGGAGGGGGCGCCCCTGTGGGAGGATGTGACTAAAATGTTTGAAGGAGAAGGTGAGAATGGACTGATGGAGGGGGAAGAAGGGGATCTCATTTGTGTGTGAAAAGATAGGTACACACTTCATTGAAGTGGAGAGAAGGAGGGAGAGAAGGTCTCTGGGGGTTCATTCTTGTGGTTTTTGGGAAGGGGACAGCTGTGAGGGAAAATCTTGGGGTCCAGCATGGACTCCTTGTGACACGTGCTTGCAGCTGCTCTCATCTCCCATCTTCAAATACTACATGTAGCAGGAAGACAGAATACAAGGTGTTCCCCACCAGTGGTGCCTGAGTGTGGGAATGTGATTCACAGACAGGTCTAAGATTTCTGCCCTCCTTAAGTCCTCTAAGGGTTTTCCTGCACAGGTTCCAGTCATTTTAGCCCCAACCCAATATTTATCACAAGTATCAGTTTTTTCTTTTCATCTGCTGAGAGGCAGGAATGACATGCCAGATTACTCTCATGTTACCTTGAACTGTGGGAGAGATGCCCAACAATCACACCTTATTTAGTGGTCTGGTTAGGAGTAAATAGAAGGATGGAGGAAGTCATGTGTCTCATGTGGTGTTTTAATTCATACCTTTAATGCTTTACACTCAGCCAGTATTTATTGTTCTAGCTGTGTCAGGCAGGGACTTTGGCTAAACATCTTAAAAGATGGAAAAATGAATAATTATCTCTAATTCTGATTACCAATGGATTGAGATAGGCATACACCTCAATCAAAATAATAGAAAGCAGCCTAAGAAAAGTTATTTTGGAACACAAGCGACGGAAAACTTTGTTCTGGTTGTGATTTTTTTTTTTTTTTGGTGATGGAGTCTCGCTGTGTCGCCCAGGCTGGAGTGCAGTGGTGCAATCTCAGCTCACTGCAACTCCTGCCTCCCAGGTTCAAGCGATTCTCCTGCCTCAGCCTCCTGAGCAGCTGGGACTACAGGTGCCTGCCACCACGCCTGGCTAATTTTTGCATTGCTTTTTACATATTTGATAGCAGTTTTTTTTTTATTGGTTACAAAACCTAAGCCCATATACAGAATTAGGAACACAGTTAGATGCCTCTTTTGAAAGAACATTTTAGTCTTTTTAAACTGAGTTAAAAAAAAAAAACCATGCAATTTTCAAACACTGTTTTGAAAACTTAAAAGTGCAGCAATATACTTAGTTTCCTTTATCTACAAAATGGTGCAATTCCACTTCAAAACTGGTAAGGTCACAACAAATTGAATCAAGGAAATGCATACAAATGTCTGCACTACTTGATGCTAATGTTTATTTGAATGTTAGTTTGTACTTTCAAACATGAGAGGAAATAGGAATCATCACAGTAGAGGCCCAATTTTAATCATAATGTGTGCAAATTTAAATTAAAATTAAAAGGTAGTCAGTTAAGGAAAGTCCAGAAGAAACTAAACTGGAAGGAGTACAATTCACAATATCAAGAAGATTTGGACTTCAAGGGTTTCATCGAAGTTTGTGACCTTAATTAGCTTTTACGTTGTTACAGTTTTTATATTTTTAGTAGAGCTGGGGTTTCACCATAATGGCCAGGCTGGTCTCGAACTCCTGACCTCGTGATCCACCTGCCTCGGCCTCCCAAAGTTCTGAGATTACAGGCATGAGCCACTGCGCCCGGCCTGGTTGTATGTATTTAAGAAATTTTCACAGAGCAGGTAGCATTGATTTGGGCCTTGAAGAATGTCTTAGGTTTTTTGTGTAGATTTGGGGAAAGGATACAAAAGTGGGTGCCTTGAAGAAAATGGGGCATCTTTAGTCTGACTGAGAATCTTTAGTCTGAAAGACTAATAATGTGGTGGGTGGGTGGGTGTGTCCCAGGTATAAAGTAGCAGTACCCATTGTTGAGAAAATATGCTTTGGGCAGATTGTAGAGTGCCTTGAAGTCCATGGTGAAGTGTTTGGATTTTTCCTTCTTGTCAGTGGGGAACCTTTGAGGATTTTTGAACAAAGGAGTGGCCTGTTAGAGCTGTGCTTTTGGACCAGTATTGACCATTGGTAGAGTTTTTTGGAGGGGGGAGTGGGATTTAAAGGATTCTCCATTTAAATACTTTGTTCTCTCATACATAGTTTTTGATCACTGGGAAACATTAATGCCCAAAGCGACTTGCAGCAGGTCCTCCTCACTAAGGAGGCTTCAGGCTGCTCTTGAGTCACTCTCAGTGTCCCTCTTTGTGAACCTTTTTGGGGGAGGAGCCACATTGAGTGGGTCTGCAGGCAATTTCTTTATTTGGGAGATTTGGGGAGATGCAAAGCTCATGGCTCTTTTCCTTCCCCAGCTCTGCTGTCTCAGGATGCTGAGGACGTAAAGACCCAGAGAGAAAGTTTAGAGGATGAAGTGACCCCTGGACTCCCGACAGCAGAATCCCAGGTGAGTAGGGATTCATCTCATTTTCTTGACATTGCTTCTCCTGTTTTTAGGGTATATAACCTGTCTTTTTTGCAGAGGTGGGAGTGGTGGTGAGGTAGGGTATTAAGACTAACAAATTCAACCTAAGGAGCTCAATGCAAGTTGTCCTTTTACAGAAAATTGGGCTCCAGTGGTGGCAATTCCCCTACTTATAGGGGTCTCCCTCCATGTCACTCTTGTTTCTCACCAACATCTGAATCTAGTATGATGCTACTTTCTATAAAGAAAGTGAAATGAGAGATATAATTCTAGCCCCTAAAAACCAACCGATACCACATGAGATCTAAGAGAAATCTCAATGAAATACTCAAAATCAAAATGTGTAAGAAGGTTCTTTCTTAGTGATGTACATGAATTACTGTGAACTTTGAGAGGTGACCCTTAGTGTAATATTGAAAACAGAGGTCAAACCAGAACCAAAGGAGAAGTGAGTAGAAAAGAAATAGGCCACACAGTGCACACATCAGACGGGCTGGCCAGAAAAGCTAGAGTAGCCACTGAGAGCAGCTACAACAGCATGTCACAAATGGGATAGTCAGTACTGCCTATCGGAAACAGAGATGAAATGGAAGGAAAATTGTAGAATAAATGTGAAAGAAAGACTTAAAAGAGGAGATCTTATTGGAGGACAGAAGGGTTTGAAGTGAAATGAACTGGAGTGCTGAAATTAGATGGTATAACATTTGTCTAGTTGCTCAGTGATCTGGGGCAATTACTTTAGCTTTTGTTTTTTTTTGAGACAGTTTCAAGTTTAAAGTAAAAAGATGAAAAAAGCTATACCGTACAAACAATAATTAAAAGAACATTGGAGGCATATATTATATCACGCAAAGTGGACTTCTGGAAAAGGAGTATTCCTAGGCAAAAAGGGACATTTCATAATAATAAGAGGGTCAACAATTCTAAGTGTTTATACATGTGATGACAGAACTTCAAAATAAAGCAAAATTGACAGAACTAAAGAGAGATATAGACAAAATCACAGTAATTAGAAACTTTAACACTTCTTTCTCAGTAATTGATGTAACCAGTAGACAAAAACTCATCAAGGATACAGAAGATTTGAACAACACTATCAACCAATTTAACCTAATTAACACTTACGGAACACTACGTCTAACAACTACAGAACATATATTCTTTTTAAAAATAGAGATCTCATTTTTAAATGAGATCTGCGGGTGGGGTGGAATAAACTGGTGGATCAACTGGGGGTGGAGTGGAATACCGTTTAAAAAGGGGCATGAAGGAACGTTCTGAGATGGTGGAAATGTTCTCTATCTTGATTACATTATGTTACATATGTCAAAATCAAACCATACACCTTTTTTAATTTTTTTTTTTTTTTTTTTTAGAGACTGAGTCTCACTTTGTAGCTCAGGCTGCAGTGCAGTGGTACAATCATAACTCATTGCAACCTCAAACTCTTGGGCTCAAGCAGTTCTCCTGCCTAAGCCTCCCAAGTAGCTAGGACTACAGGAACATGCCACCATACTTTGCCAATTAAAAAAATGACAGAAAAAATAGGGTCTTACTATGTTGTCCAACTGGTCTCAAACTCTTCAGCTCAAACAATCCTTCTGCCTCGGCCTCCCAAAGTGCTGGGATTACAGACGAGCCACTGCACCCAGCCCAAACTGTACACTTTCTTAGTGTATTTTCCTGTATGTAAATTGTACTTCAGTTTAAAAAAATTTAATCCTTTAAACCCATCAGTTTATGATAAATGTAGGAAGTGAAAAATTCCAGATAAGTAGAATGTAGCGATAACTCTTCAGACTATTATCGTTACTTCTTCCATATTACTAGAAATAAAGCTGCAATATATTCCAATCCTAGATGGCAGATATTAGCATTTGACCTTCTTATTTGAGGACACTGAGATTGTAAAAAGCTTAAGTGGCCGGGCATGGTGGCTCATGCCTGTGGTCCCAGCACTTTGGGAGCCAGAGGCAGAAAGATCACCTGAGGTCAGGAGTTCAAGACCAGCCTGTCCAACATCGAGAAACCCCGTCTCTACTACAAATACAATATTAGCTGGACGTGGTGGTGTGTGCCTGTAATCCCAGCTACTCTGGCGGCTGAGGCAGGAGAATCACTTGAACCCGGGAGGCGGAGGTTGCATGAGCCGAGATTGCGCCATTGCACTCTAGCCTGGGCAACAAGAGCAAAACTCCGTCTCAAAAAAAATAAATAAATAAAATAAATAAAACAATCAGTATGGTTGGGTCTAAGTGTATACTTTTGTTTGCTATTTGTCCTATCTAGCCTTTGTTTATTTGTTTCTCTTTTCCTGCCTTCTTTTTGTTTGGTTTTGTTTTTTAAAGACAGAGTCTCCCTCTGTCACCCAGGCTGGACTGCAGTGGTGCGATCTCAGCTCACTACAACCTCCACCTCCTGGGTTCAAGCGATTCTCCAGCCTCAGCCTCCCGAGTAGCTGAGATTACAGGTGCCTGCCACCACACCTGGCTAATTTTGTATTTTTAGTAGAGATGGGGTTTCACCATGTTGGCTAGGCTGGTCTCAAGCTCTTAACCTCAAGTTACCTGCCCACCTCAGCCTCCGAAAGTGCTGGGATTACAGGTGTGAGCCACCGTGCCCAGCCTTTTTCTGCCTTCTTTTGCATTGAATCATTTTTCCAGTATTCCATTTGATGTCCTCTAATGACTTTTAAGCTACAGTTCTTTGATTTTTTTTTTTTAATTGAGACAGAGTCTTGCTCTGTTGCCCAGGCTGGAGTGCAGTGGTGCAATCTTGGCTCATTGCAACCTCTACGTCCTGGGTTCAAGCAATTCTGCCTTAGCCTCCTGAGTAGCTGGGACTACAGGCGCGTGCCACCACACCCGGCTAATTTTTTTTTTGTATTTTTAGCAGAGACGAGGTTTTACTGTGTTAGCCAGGATGGTCTTGATCTCCTGACCTCGTGATCCGCCCGCCTCTCCCTCCCAAAGGGCTGAGATTACAGGCATGAGCCACTGCGCCTGGCCTGCTTTTTTTTTTTTTTTTTTTTTTTTTTGATATGGAGTTTCACTCTTGTTGCCCAGGCTGGAGTGCAGTGGCATGATCTCGGCTCACTGCAACCTCTGCCTTCCAGGTTCAAGCGATTCTCCTGCCTCAGCCTCTCGAGTAGCTGGGATTACAGGCTCCCACCACCATGCCTGGCTAATTTTTGTATTTTTAGTAGAGACTGGGTTTTGCCATGGTGGCCGGGCTGGTCTCGAAATCCTGACCTCAGGTGATCCACCCACCTTGGCCTCCCAAAGTGCTGGGATTACAGGCGTGAACCACTGAGTCTGGCCAGTTCTTTATTTTTAGTGGTTGCCCTAACAACCACTAAAAACAATCATATTATATGTGAGGCCATATAATATTAATTCAAAGTAACTGTGGAATGTTACAAATGTATTTAACATTACACATGTTACAAAAGTAACATTCCACAGTTACTTTGAATTAATGTTTTATGGCTTCACATATCATATGAAAGACTTACGTTATATTTTCATATACTCCTTCCCACTCTTAGTGTGTTGTCAATATACATTTTGTTTTACATGTAAAAACACCACAGTATATTGTTCTTAATTTTGCTTTTAATAGTAAACTGTCTTATAACAAATTATGAAAATGGAAAAAAACATGTCTTTCTTATTTGCCCTCATATTTATCCATTTAGGCACTCTTCCTTTTTCCCTTTCATTCCAGGTTTCTATCTTGCATCATTTCCCTTCAGCTTAAAGAACTTTGTTTAGCATTTCTTATAATGTGGGTGTTCTGGTGACAAATTCTCACTTTTATTGATCTAAACATTTCTTTATATTATCTTCCTATTTGAGGATCTTATTGGATAAAGAATTCTAGGTTGACTGCTTTTTCTTTAAGTAGTTTAAAAATGTTCCATTATCTTTTAGATTGTATTATCTGTGATGAGAAGGCAGGTGTTATTCTTTTTATGTGATGTATCTGTTTTATATCAACTTTTATCTGATGTGCATAGGTGTGATTTGTTGTTGTTGTTGTTGTTTTTTGAGACGGAGTCTTGCTCTGTCACCCAGGCAGGAGTGCAGTGGCATGATCTTGGCCCACTGCAACCTCCACCTCCTGGGTTCAAGCAATCCTCTCACATCAGCCTCTCAAGTAGCTAGGATAACAGATGTAAACTACCACACCCGCCTTATTTTATTTTATTTTATTTTTTATTTTGTGTATTTTTAGTAGAGATGGGGTTTCACCATGTTGGCCAGGCTGGTCTCAAACTCCTGACCTCAAGTGATCTGCCACCATAGCCTCCCAAAGTGCTGGGATTACAGGCATGAGCCACTGTGCCTTGCTGTGATTTTTGAGTTTATCCTTTTTGGGGTTTGCTGAGCTTCTTGGATCTGTGGGTTGATTTTTTTTCCTATTAGTTTGGAAAATCTTCAGCCATTATTTTTCAAATATTTTTTCTACCTATTCCCTCTTCTGAGATTGCTCTTTCTCCCTCCCTGCTTCCCTTCCTCCCTTCCTCCCTCCTTTCCTCCCTCCCTCCCTTCCTTCCTTCCTTCCCTTCCTCCCTCCCTCCATCCCTCCCTCCCTCCTTTCTTCCTCCCTCCCTCCCTCCCTCCCACCACTACCTCTCAGGCTTAAGTGATCCTCCTGCCTCAGCCTCCTGAGCAGCTGGGGCTACAAGTGTGCGCCACCATGCCTGGCTAATTTTTGTATTTTTTTTTGTAGAGACAGGGTCTTCCTATGTTGCCTAGGCTGGTCTCAAACTCTTGAGCTCAAGCAGTCCTCCTGCCTTGGCCTTCCAAAGTGCTAGGATTACAGGCAGGAGCCATCCCACCTAGCCCTGAGATTCTAATTACATGTATAATAGACCACTTGATATTATCCCACAGATTTTTTTCTCTTGGTACTCTAGTTTGAATAATATTTATTGACCCATCTTAAGTTTCACTGATCTTATCTCATCATGGTCTAATCTACTTTAAGCCCATCCAATGAATTTTTAGATATTGTCTTTTTCACTTGTAGAATTTTCATTTACAGTTGATTTTTTTTTTTTTTTTTTAAGATGGAGTCTTGCTCTGTCACCAGGCTGGAGTGCAGTGGCGAGATCTCGGCTCACTGCAACCTCCGCCTCCCGGGTTCAAGTGATTCTTCTGCCTCAGCCTTCCGAGTAGCTGGGACTACAGGCATGCACCACCATGCCCAGCTAATTTTTGTATTTTTAGTAGAGACAGGGTTTCACCATGTTGGCCAGGATGGTCTTGATATCTTGACCTCATGATCCGCCCGCATCAGCCTCCCAAAGTGCTGGGATTACAGGCATGAGCCACTGCGCCCGGCCTACAGTTGATTCTTGAGCAGCGCAGGTTTGAACTGTGCAGGTCCACTTCTATATAGACTTTTTTCAATAAATATATTGAAACATTTTTTGGAGATTTGTGACAATTTGAAAAAACTTGCAGATGGACCATGTAGCCTAGGAGTATCAAAAAAATTAAGAAAAAGTTAGGTATGTTATGAATACATAAAATATATGTAGGTACTAGTCTATTTTATCATTTACTACCATAAGAGATACACGTATCTATTATAAAAAGTTAAAAATTTTCAAAGCTTATGTGCACAGACTATTCATGGTGCCATTCTCAGTTGAGAGAAATGTAAACAAATGTAAAGATGCAGTATTAAATCACTACTGCATAAAATAAACTATAGTACACCTAGTGTATTAGTATGATAATTTTATAGCTATCTCCTGTGGCTATTGTAGTGCGCTCAGGTGTTTCAAGTATTTACTTAAAATTCAGTGTGATGCTAAGCATCTCTGCATTAGCACTTCATCTCTCCGGTAAATTGCATATCACAGTAAAAAGTGATCTCTCAGGCCGGGCGCGGTGGCTCACGCCTGTAATCCCAGCACTTCAGGAGGCTGAGGTGGGCGAATCACCTGAGGCCAGGAGTTCGAGACCAGTCTGACCAACATGGTGAAACCCGGTCTCTACTAAAAATACAAAAATTAGCTGGGCGTGGTGGCGTGCGCCTGTAATACCAGCTACCTGGGAGGCTGAGGCAGGAGAATCACTTGAACCCGGGAGGTGGCAGTGAGCTGAGCTCGCACCACTGCACTCCAGCCTGGACAACAGGGTGAGACTCTGTCTCAAAAAAAAAAAAAAAAAAGTGATCTCTAAGCCGGGCACGGTGTCTCATGCCTGTAATGCGAACACTTTGAGGGGCCAAGGCAGGAGTGCATGTGTATATACATACATACATGTGTGTGTTTTGTATGTATACACACACACACACACACATAGTTTATTCATGTGTTTTGATTTGTTCTATTTCCAAACCCTTTCGTCTCTCTGGTGGTTAAGGTGAGGGGCTCCTCCTAGAGCTGTGGCTGAGCTCTGGCTATCATGCAGCTTTAATTTGATTGAGTATACTTCTGATTAGCCCATGCCACAATTGCTGAGGGCTTTTCTTTTTATCTTTTTGGCATTTGAGCTTAGGAAGGGATTAGACTACAGTTCCAGACAGTTTTGTTCATTTTTGCATTAAACTCCAGCAGGGCCTCAGAATTCAAGTTCAGTAAGAATGCACAGGTCTTTGTGACAATAAGTGCGTGAGGTGGTGGGGGAACCCCTATCCCACCCTGTTCCTCATCTCCACCTCTCTTGATTTCATTTCTTTCCACTCTCTCATCAACCAGCCTACCTCCAGCCATGCTGTTCACTTTCCTGTTCCTCAAGCCAAGGACACTGTCACCTTAGGTCCTTTGCACCTGCCCAGGATGCTCTTCTCTCAGATTTCCATGTGGTTCTTCCCTTTACTGAATTTATGTCTCCGGTCAAACATCACCCTTTTAGAGAGTCTTCCCCAACCACTTTACATAAAAGATCATCCTACCCTCACTGTGGTTCTCCCAATGTCTCTTATCCTGCTTAATTTTTTTCTAAGGTATGTATCACCATCTGTCTTTCTATATATTACATTATTTATAGTAATCTCCAGATTAGAGATCCAGACAGACTACAGTTCCAGACAGTTTTGTTGATCAGATTTGGAGATCAGAGGATCTCCAAACAGATCCAGAGAAGGCTCCTGATAAAAGTAAGTTTAGAATCTCTCAGAATTTAGAATACTGTCAGAACTCCTTGGAACTTAACAGAGGTGGTCTCCGGCTAAAAATGAATGTATTTGATGTTCTAGGAATTGTTGACTTTCAAGGACATATCTATTGACTTCACCCAGGAAGAGTGGGGGCAGCTGGCTCCTGCTCACCAGAATCTATACCGAGAGGTGATGCTGGAGAACTACAGCAACTTGGTGTCAGTGGGTAAGACTTGGCTATCCATGCATCCAGAAACCCACCCATTACAGGAGAGTCATTATTTTAAATTATTGATGTGTAGATTCCTTGAGGCTTGATTTGGGTTCTGTATTAAAGATGTCTTATTCCCTTTGAAAACCAAGTGAGGGCATATCCAATTTGACTTTCTTGGGGAACAACTTTACTACACATAGTTAGGATAGAAAGACCCACCCCTTTCCACTTGTGGAGACCCTGAATACCAGAAGACTCAAAATTCTGAGGATGGTTCTTAGACATCAGCATAAACATTCACACTGTTTTTTTTACTACATAAGCAGGATATCAACTTTCCAAACCTAGTGTGATATCCCAGTTAGAGAAAGGAGAAGAGCCATGGATGGCAGAGAAAGAAGGCCCAGGAGATCCCAGTTCAGGTGAGACCAAGTGTGTTAGTCTGTTTTTGTGTTGCTATAAAGGAATACCTGAAACTTCATAATTTATAAAGAAAAGAAGTTTAATTGGCTAATGATTCTGCAGGCTGTACAGGAAGCATGGCACTGGCATCTGCTCCTGGTGAGGGCCTCAGGAAACTTACAATCATGGTGAAAGGCATATCACATGGTGGGAGCTGGAGCATGAGAGTGAAGGAGGAGGTGCCAGGCTCTTTTTCTTTTTCTTTTTTTTTTTTTTTTTTTTTTGAGACAGAGTCTCGCACTGTCGCCAGGCTGGAGTGCAGTGGCGCAATCTTGGCTCACTGCAACCTCCGCCTCTGGAGTTCAAGCGATTCTCCTGCCTCAGCCTCCCGAGTAGCTGGGACTACAGTTATGCGCCACCACGCTCAGCTAATTTTTGTATTTTTAGTAGAGACAGGGTTTCACCATGTTGGCCAGGATGGTCTTGATCTCGACCTTGTGATCTGCCCACCTCGGCCTTCCAAGGTGCTGGGATTTCAGGTGTGAGCCACTGCGCCAGGCTGGTGCCAGGCTTTTTAAACAACCAGATCTCATGTGAACTCAGAGTGAGAACTCATTACCATGGGGAGGACACTCATTCATGAGTGATCCACCCCCATGACCCAACACTTCCCACCAGGCCCCACCTGCAACACTGGGGATCACATTTCAACATGAGATTTGGAGGGGATAAATATTCAAACCAAATCACCAAGGCAGATGGAATTTTAATATGTAGGTCAGAGTGCTCAAAGCCTCGGCTGTGGGGAGGGCTCAGACCACTGGACAGAGCCTCCACTAAACTAATATCACCCGTCCCTTCCTTACCCCTTTCCTTCACTGAGCCCTTGCAAAAGTCCCCTGGAGTTGGAGGAAAGAGCAGTCTTGTCCTCATTAAGGTTGAGCTGGATTTTCCCTTTCTCCAGTATCCTAAGGGCTGCCAATCTAAAGCTTTCTCTAAGCAGTCAAATGTATGTGGTATTTTCACAGAAAACCAATCTCTTTCCAAGACTCCCATTGCATTCTACAAATCTTTAATTTTCCTGCACTCCATTTTTACTTCTTGCCAATGTTCATTTTACAATTCCAGCTTCGATTCTCATTCTCTTTTTAACTTATGTATCTTTTTTGTAACAGCTACTTATGAAAACTCCTGTAAGAGAAATTACCAAAGGATTCCTTCTCAACCAAATGTCGGGGTCCCTAACAATCTCCTCAAACTTTGCTTTTTATTCTGAAATATTTTAGACACTCAGAAAGGCATAGAAAACATTATAACACATTTCTGTGTAGCTTCCACCTAGACTAAGAAATGAAACACAGTTGAAGCTCCACTGTCCCCCTTACACCTTTTGAAATAAGCACTCTGCATTGAAATATTATTCCCATGTCTTCGTGCTTTTATTACATGTATAATGTAGTAAAAGCAGTCTATATATCAGTGTATACATACTAAACAATATATAGCATTGTTTTGCATGTTCTCTTTCTTTAAATAAATGGTATATATACTTCTTCCTTTTGCTTTTCTCATTCAACACTGGTGATATTCCTCAGTATGTTATTCTAGTTCATTCAATCCATTGAGTTAATAAACCACAATGTTCTTATTCATTTTCCTGTTGATAGACATTTACATTGTTTCCAAATTTGGGAGTTACAAAGATGCTACAGCAAACCTTTGTGTACATAACTTCTTGTATACATAATGCAAGTGTTTCTCTAAGATAGCTGGTAGAAGCAAAATTGTTGGGTTGTAGAATATATGCACTTTCATTTTGCTAGGTATTACCAATTTGCTCTTCAAAGCAGTTACACCAGGTTATTCTCCCATTAACAGGGTTTGAGAGTTTCCATAACTCAGCATCTTTGTCAACATTTGTTATTGTCAAACTTTAAGATTTTTGTAAATTCACTGGGTTATGGTATCTTGTTTCTTTCATTTTCCTGATTACCAGTGAAAGGAAGTATATTTCTCATGTTCATTGACCATCCATCCATCTCTTCTTCTGTCCTTACTCTAATGCCAGGCTCTTCTGTTAATTACCTGTTTATATCCCTTGCCAATGTTTCTATAATCTTTTTTTCTTATTGATTGGTAGAAAAAAATGTGTGTGTGTATGTGTGTGTGTGTGTGTGTGTGTATATATATATATATTCATTCTAGTATAATTATACATATATTCATTCTAGATAATAATCCTTGATAGCTTTATGTTTTGCAAATGTTTACTCTAGGTCAGTGGCCCATCTTTGACTTTTCAAAATTAGTGTCTTTTGTTAGACGTGAGTTTCTAAATTTAATGTTACTGAATTTATCAGGATTTTCTTTATTGTTTGTGCTTTTTAAGAAACCCTTTTATGCCTTATTATTCTTTTTTGTAAACTTTTTAAATTGTTTTTAGAGACTGGGTCTTGCTATGTTGCCCAAGCTGGCCTCGAATTCCTGGGCTCAAGTGATTCTTCTGCCTCAGCTACCTCACCTACTAAAGAGGCTGAGGCAGGACTACAGGTGCATGCTGCTGTGCCCTGCTATCCTCCATTTTATCATATATGTGGATCATACATATATGTTTTTACATATTCCTGTATTTTCAAAGTTTTGCTTTCCACATTTAGGTTTAATTCATCTGGAATTTATTTTATATAAATAAATTTGTATGTATGAGGTGGAAATCTGATTAACTTTTTCCACATGGATAATCAGTCCAGGAATAGTTAATGCTGCTCTGTCACCTGTCAAGTTTCTTTATATGTTTGGGTCTGTTTCTGTTTTGTATATTCTTTTTCTGTCGTGTTTCTCTCTTTATGTTGTTTTATTCTTTTGTTTTTCTGTCCTTACTCTAATGCCAGGCTGTCTTAAAAACTGTATCTCATAATGAGACTTAATATGTGGTAGAGGTAGTTCACCCACCTTGTTCTTTAAAGTTGTTCTGGTTATTCTTGGATCCTTGTTGTTCTATTTGAATTATATAATCAGAGCATCAAATCACACCCACAAATACTCTGCTGGCATTTTGATTGGAATAGAATTGAATTTCTAGATCAATTTTGGGGGAGTTAACATTGTTATGCTATTGAATCCTTCCAGGAATATGATATAGCACTCCATTTATTGATATTTCCTAATTTTTTTCAGTAACATTTCAGGATTTTCTCCTGTACATATTGTACATTTTTTGTTAGATTGATTCTGAAAATCTTATATTTTGTTGCTACTGTAGATGGTATTTTTTTTCCTTTTCTTTTCCCTGAGCCTCAGTCGTGAACAGGTATATTTTTAAAGAAAGATTATGTTGCTGGCCAGGTGCGGTGGCTCATGCCTATAATCCCAGCATTTTGGGATGCTGAGGCGGGCAGATCACCTGAGGTCAGGAGTTCGAGACCAGCCTGACCAACATGGTGAAACTCCATCTGTACTAAAAATACAAAATTAGCCAGGTGTGGCGGTGCATGCCTGTAATCCCAGCTACTCGGGAGGCTGAGGCAGGAGAATCGCTTGAACCCGGGAGGTGGAGGTTGCAGTGAGCCAAGATCACGCCGTTGCACTCCAGCCTGGGCAACAAGAGTGAAACTCTGTCTCAAAAAAAAAAAAAAAAAATTATGTTGCTAGTAAGTAATAACAAAATTGATTTTGAATATTGACCTTTTATACAGCCACCTTGTTTTACTCTTATTAATTCCAATCACTCTTTGTATATTTTCCTGGGTTTTCTCTTCCTCAACTTACAATAATGAAAATAATAATAAAAGCTACCATGAATGTTCTTTCCCAGCCTCTGGATGAAATCTCAAAGAGTTCCATTGATGATCCCGTTCCTTTAAATAACAAGAACAGTCTTGACTTTAGTAAAATGCCTATTTAGTTCAGTGCAATAATAAAAACTCCCAACTTCATTCAAAACTAAACCCTCTCTTCTTCCCCACTAGCTTGACACTCCCTCATGCTCGGATACTGAATTAGGGAGGGATGCATAAATGGCTTCTTTTCTTTTCCCCCATCATCTTCTTTTCCTCCTCCGCTATTCAAGACCAGAATCAGGGACCTGCAGAGCATAGATATTATTAGACATTATTATTGCCTGTTGTCATTTAGAATTTGACATTTTGAATTGCTAATGATCCATCTGTGTTGGCTAAAAAAAATCTTATAAGAAATTAAACCTTTCAGGAATACATAAAGACCTGTCAGTTGAAATATTAGTAATGGTGCAACAAATTTATCAAGTAAAAATCTTAAAGGTTAAAGGGTATTTTCCTAGAACCTAGCAGCAGTAACAGCATAGCAATCTGGGTTTCTTACAAGTCTCCTTTGTATAAGTAATACTTCCATGAACATATTAATAACTATAGAAAGAGAAATATATATATATACACACACACAAGTTTCAATAAAAGACAGCATAATGTTCTTGTGTGTATTCTTAGTTCAAACTGTATTTTCTGAACGAATGTCTCCTGCTGCTGCCAGAGTGGGGAGGGAAACATCTTCCTTTTATCTTTCTGAGATTGTTTTCCAAAAGTAGTTGTCAATTAAAAATACTTATATTCTTAAGTCATAGCTCTGAAATTTTATTACTTAGTATTATTAGAGCAGGACTAAAAGATTCAAAATTTTTTTTTTTTTTTTTTTTTTTTTTTTTTGAGACGGAGTCTCGCTCTGTCGCCCAGGCTGGAGTGCAGTGGCGGGATCTCGGCTCACTGCAAGCTCCGCCTCCCGGGTTCACGCCATTCTCCTGCCTCAGCCTCCCGAGTAGCTGGGACTACAGGCGCCCGCCACTACGCCCGGCTAATTTTTTGTATTTTTAGTAGAGACGGGGTTTCACCGTTTTAGCCGGGATGGTCTCGATCTCCTGACCTCGTGATCCGCCCGCCTCGGCCTCCCAAAGTGCTGGGATTACAGGCGTGAGCCACCGCGCCCGGCCCAAATATTTATATGATATTTATAAATATTTGATATATTTATAAATATTTTATATATAAAATATACATTATATATAAAATATATATTTATTTATATTTATATATTTATAAATATTTGGTATATAAAATATACATTATATATATATAAATATATATCAAATATATATATATATATAAAATGACACTTTTAACCTGTTCACTGTTTCTTAATTTCCTTTCCCATTACCTCTCCAAGCAGCATAATCATATTTAAATATAGTCAAAATCTCATGCACTTATCCATATTGTTGTCTAAATCTCTGTTCCATAACCACTACAGTAATTGGTTTTTAAAGCTTTTTTTCATTTCTTTCAGACTTGAAGAGTAAAATAGAAACCATTGAGTCAACTGCAAAGAGTACCATTTCACAGGAGCGCTTATATCATGGCATTATGATGGAAAGTTTCATGAGGGATGATATAATTTATTCCACGTTGAGAAAAGTCTCCACATATGATGATGTCTTAGAAAGGCACCAGGAAACTTGTATGAGAGATGTGAGACAAGCCATCTTGACCCATAAGAAGAGAGTCCAAGAAACTAACAAATTTGGGGAAAATATCATTGTGCATTCAAATGTTATTATTGAACAGAGGCACCATAAATATGATACACCTACAAAGCGGAACACATACAAATTAGATTTGATTAATCATCCAACAAGTTACATAAGAACAAAAACCTATGAATGTAATATATGTGAAAAAATCTTCAAACAACCTATTCACCTTACTGAACATATGAGAATTCATACTGGTGAGAAACCTTTCAGATGTAAGGAATGTGGAAGGGCCTTTAGTCAAAGTGCATCCCTCAGTACACACCAGAGAATCCATACTGGTGAGAAACCCTTTGAATGTGAGGAATGTGGGAAAGCCTTCAGACATCGCTCATCACTTAATCAGCATCATAGAACTCACACTGGGGAGAAACCCTATGTATGTGATAAATGTCAGAAAGCTTTCAGCCAGAACATTAGCTTGGTTCAACATTTGAGGACTCATTCTGGAGAGAAACCTTTTACTTGCAATGAATGTGGGAAAACCTTTAGACAGATTAGACACCTTAGTGAACATATAAGAATTCATACCGGGGAGAAGCCCTATGCATGCACTGCATGTTGTAAAACCTTTAGTCATAGAGCGTATCTAACACATCACCAGAGAATCCATACTGGGGAGAGACCCTACAAATGTAAAGAATGTGGAAAAGCCTTTAGGCAGAGGATACACCTTAGCAACCATAAAACTGTTCATACAGGAGTGAAAGCATATGAATGCAACCGCTGTGGAAAAGCCTATAGGCATGATTCATCCTTTAAAAAACATCAGAGACATCACACTGGAGAAAAACCTTACGAATGTAACGAATGTGGAAAAGCCTTCAGCTATAACTCTTCACTTAGTCGACATCATGAAATACACAGGAGGAACGCCTTCCGAAATAAGGTGTAAAAACAGATATTTGACTTGAGAACAAAAGCCAAGTGTAAATTGGTGATTTAGAGTGCTTTAAAATTTCAGGACTCAGATATGAGGAATTGATGTAATGATGCCAACTTTTAATTTTTCCCATTGTAAATAAACATTACATTGACAGGTATTGACTACTAACACCTCTAAAAAGTACTTAAGATTAAAATCTGGTCCTTAAAATTAAATGAATTCAGCATTATGAAAAATTCATAACAGTTTTTTTCTGATTTCATGGTGGATTAATAAATTATTCTTCATGGGTATTCATGATTTGCAGACCAGCATTTGGGAACTATAGCTTAAAATATCACCAACCGTATTTTTTAAATTAAAATTTTATTTTTTTGGCCAGGCATAGTGGCTTGTGCCTGTAATTGGGAGGTCAAGGAAGGAGGATCACTTGCCAGAAGTCAAGACCAGCCTGGACAACATAGCAAGACCCATCTCTGCAAAAAAGTTTTTAAAAAATTAGCCAGGCATGGTAGCATGCGCCTGTAGTCCTAGCTGTGCAGAAGGCTGAAGCAGAAGGATCACCTGAGCCCAGGAGTTCAAGGTTGCAATGAGCTGTGATCACCACTGCATTTCAGGTGGGCAGCTATAGAAAAGAATAAGTAGGCACTTTATATAGTGAAGAGGAATGACATCTATGATATATTGTTTGGTTTTTGTTTTTGAGACAGGGTCTCACTCTGTTGCTCAGGCTGGAGTGCAGTTGGTATGATCATGGTTCACTGCAGCCTCAATCTCCCAGGCTCAAGCAAACCTCCACCTCAGCCTCCCAAGTAGCTGGGACCACAGGTGAGTGCCACCATCACACCTAGCTAATCTTTAATTTTTTTTCTAGAGACAGAGTATCACTATATCGCGCAAGCTGGTCTCAAACTCCTGGGCTCAAGCAGTCCTTCTGTCTTGGACTCCCAAAGTGCTGGGATTACAGGCATGAGCCAAGGCAACCGGCCTATATTATCATGTAATAAAAGTAACATGCAGGCTGCGCGCAGTGGCTCACGCCTGTAATCCCAGGCGTCTCTACAAAAAAGAATAAAATAATGTATTTTTTAATGGGGAAAGCTTTCACATGGTGTAAAGTCCAGAAAGTGGAAACAATTATATGCAGTGAAAAGCCGCCTTCCTGTATTTCCCACCATAGATTTCTATATAGAGGCAACCATTTTTAATAATTTTTTGTGCATCCATTCAGCTTTTTAAAATTTATATCCAAGAGAATACAAATATACGGTTTTCCTTTGTCTTTTTGTTGTTGTTTGTGTTTGTTTTGAGACGGAGTCTCACTCTATTGTCCAGGCTGGAGTGTGGTGGCGGGATCTCAGCTCACTGCAGCCTCCGCCTCCAGAGTTCAAGTAATTCTCCTTCCTCAGCTTCCCGAGTAGCTGGGATTATAGGCACCCACCACCATGCCTAGCTAATTTTTGTATTTTTAGTAGAGACGGGGTGTCACCATGCTGGCCAGACTGGTCTTGAACTCCTGACCTCAGGCAATCCGCCCACCTCGGCCTCCCAAAGTGCTAGGATTACAGGTGTTGAGTTAACCACGCCTGGCCTCCTTTGTCTTTTTAAGCAGAAATGGCCACCTCCTATACAAACACATCTGCATGTTCTTTCTGAGACAGAGTCTCACTCTGTCACCCAGGCTGGAGTGCAGTGGCGCAATCTCGGATCACTGCAACCTCCACCTTCCAGGTTCAAGCGATTCTCCTACCTGAGCCTCCTGAGTAGCTGGGATTACAGGTGCGTACCATCACACCCAGCTGATATTTGTATTTTTAGTAGAGATGGGGTTTCACCATGTTGGCCAAGCTGGTCTCAAACTCCTGACCTCAGGTGATCCACCCACCTCGGCCTCCCAAAGTGCTGGGATTACAGGCGTGAGCCACTGCGCGCAGCCTGCATGTTACTTTTATTACATGATAATATAGGCCGGTTGCCTTGGCTCATGCCTGTAATCCCAGCACTTTGGGAGTCCAAGACAGAAGGACTGCTTGAGCCCAGGAGTTTGAGACCAGCTTGCGCGATATAGTGATACTCTGTCTCTAGAAAAAAAATTAAAGATTAGCTAGGTGTGATGGTGGCACTCACCTGTGGTCCCAGCTACTTGGGAGGCTGAGGTGGAGGTTTGCTTGAGCCTGGGAGATTGAGGCTGCAGTGAACCATGATCATACCAACTGCACTCCAGCCTGAGCAACAGAGTGAGACCCTGTCTCAAAAACAAAAACCAAACAATATATCATAGATGTCATTCCTCTTCACTATATAAAGTGCCTACTTATTCTTTTCTATAGCTGCATAGTATTCCATGGTATAAATGTACTCTAACACTTCACTATGGATGGATTTTGTTTCAGTCTTTTGTTTATACAGTGTTCAGTGAATAGTCTTACACATTTTTGTTTCACACACATGTAAGTATGTAGGGTAAATTCCTAGAACTGGAATTTCTATGTTAGAGAGTATGTGTGGGGGGTTTTTTGTTTGTTTTTTGGTTTTGTTTTTTTTTTTTTTTTTGAAACATAGTCTCCCAGGCTGGAGTGCAATGGCACAATCTCGGCTCACTGCAACCTCTGCCTCTTGGGCTCAAGTGGTTCTCCTGCCTCAGCCTCCTGAGTAGCTGAGATTACAGGCATGTGCCACCATGCCCAGCTAACTTTTGTATTTTAGTAGAGACAAGGTTTTGTCATGTTGGCCAGGCTGGTCTTGAACTCCTGGCCTCCAACAATCCACCTGCCCCAGCCTCCCAAAGTACTGGGATTACAGGTGTGAGCCCCTGCACCCGGCCGAGAGTATATGTGTTTTTATTATGGATATTGGCAAATGGACCTTCATAGAGGTTTGGACGTATTTATTTTCCCACCGGCAAGATATGTAACTGTAGGAGCCATATCTGATGCTGAAGCATCTCCTACACCTGGATCAACAGACCTGTCTGCCATCTGAGGGGCATCAGCTTGTTTCAATAACATGGCCTAGAAGGACCAGCTGAGCTGCACCCCCTAGAAACAGTGACCACTTCCCAAACCTGGAGCCAGAGAGGAATCTGCATCTTCTTGATTGGTAGCCAAGTTCACCAAAGTCTCAGCTCGAGGAGACACCTTTCCACCAACTGCTTCAGTCTCTGACTTATGAGGCTGGAACTATTTGATGGATGAGAGTCTTTTTAAGGAAACGGGTTCTTTTAGATTATAAAAGATAAAAGGATCGGTCTCTTTAAAAGGACTCATTGCTGTGAATATAATCTTGGCTGCAATCCTCCTGATTGGAATGGAAGAGGACTGATGATTGAGGCAAGGTATTTAGGATGGCAGGGTCTACCATGACTGATAGTCTGAACATACATAGCATTTTACAGGATGCTTGTGTTAGTGAGTTATAGTTAACACATGGAAGGAGACAGCAGGAGACACAACTTTCTAATAAAAATGAATGAGCATTAATTAAAATTGCTTATGATGTGGTGAAAGCTAAATAGCAAAGCCAGCACCACAGTGATTTTGTTTTTTTTGTTTGTTTGTTTTTGAGACGGAGTCTCTCTCTGTCGCCCAGGCTGGAGTGCAGTGGCGCGGTCTCGGCTCACTGCAAGCTCCGCCTCCTGGGTTCACGCCATTCTCCTGCCTCAGCCTCCCGAGTAGCTGGGACCACAGGTGCCCGCCACCACGCCCAGCTAGTTTTTTGTATTTTTAGTAGAGACGGGGTTTCACCGTGTTAGCCAAGATGGTCTTGATCTCCTGACCTGGTGATCTGCCCGCCTCAGCCTCCCGAAGTGCTGGGATTACAGGTGTGAGCCGCCGCGCCTGGCCAGTGATTTTGAACATTTTATTTTTCAATCTGATAACATTCTATGAAAGTTTTAGTGATTCTGTGTTAATGGATTTCCCGTCAGGTCCCTCCCCACAGCCGCTACTTCAGTTACAATCCAAAGCCTGGCACTTAAGATCATCATTAGGTGTAGTCCTACCTTATAGCTTCAACTTCCATTTACTTTTCTCCTTCCCATATGCGCTCTGACCAAAGTCAGTATGTTAGGATTCTTTAGGTTGCAAATAACTAGAAATCAACTGGGGCTACTTGAAGCCTCAAAGAAGGATGATGTTATTAGAAGGATATTGGGGTATCTCATGGAATTCAGGGGCTGTGATACATGCTAACAGTGGACTAGGACCAGGTCTTGAAGGACTTTGGGAAACCCAAATCGTTTTTTCCTCTCCATTTTTCACCTCTGTTTCTGTCTTCATTCTGGCCCTGCCTTTTTAAACACCTGACTGCAAGTCATGGTTACTGTCAGTTCCATATTTTACATATATTCAGTTTCCATCACCCAGACAAAAGCTGTCTTCTCTTTCTCATTTCCAGTGCAAAATTCTTAGGGTAAGGATTCTTATTGGCCCAGCTAGGTCAGGTGCCAACCCTTAAATCAACTGTAGGCAGAGATGTCAGCTTTTATGGGAACCATATGGATGGAGTAGTGGCTGGAAGGGCAGGAGAGCAGTTCCCAGAGGAAGGGTTTAGTGTTTATAGAGTTCCAAATCTTAACCATTCTTCAATGCCAGCTCATGGGATCAGGATTTTAGCACTGAGAAAGGTTTAGGAACTCACCTAATCTAAACCCATAAATGGAGAATAACCATCTTCAATTACTCATATCCTATAACTGAGACACATTTTTTAGCACATTTATTCCAAATTTTTCATCGTAGCTTTCCATATACCTGCTTTTAATTGGCCGAATATAGCCACACTTTGCCATTTTTAAGACGTTTACTTCTTAGGTTTACTACTGCTCCAGGGAGCCTTATGTTATGCTTCAGAGCCTACCCACTGACTTGGCTTGTTATCGGTGCCTGTTTGTTTATTCTGTTTACCTCATAGGCACTAATCCCTCCCTTTGCTGATCACAGAAATGTCTTTCTCTAGGGGTGTCAGTAGGCATAGTCTCTTGTCTAGCTAGACATTTTGTCTGATTTTTTTTAAGTGTCGCTCTGTCCCCTAAACTGGAGTGCAAGTGGCGTGATCTCGGCTCACTGCAACCTCTGCCTCCCAGGTTCTAGCAATTCTCATGCCTCAGCCTCCCGAGTAGCTGGGATTACAGGCATGCACCACCATGTCTGGCTAATTTTTTTGTATTTTATAGTAGAGATGGGGTTTCACCATGGTGACCAGGCCAGTTTCAAACTCCTGACCTCAAGTGATCTGCCCACCTCGGCCTCCCAAAGTGCTGGGATTACAGCTGTGAGCCACTGCACCTGGCCTGTCTGATTTATTTTATTGACATCCCAACACTTCTTTTTTAAACGCTAATTTTATTTGTATTTTTTATTTTAAAGACTGGGCATTGCTCTGTTACCTAGACTGGAGTGCAGTGGCCCAATCATAGCTCACTGCAGCCTTGAACTGGGTTCAAACGATCCTCCCACCTCAGCCTCCCAAGTAGTTAAGACTATAGCTTCACATCACCATGCCCAGCTAATTTTTAACATTTTCTGTAGATATAGGGGCTCACTTTGTTGCCCAGGCTAGTGTCAAACTCCTGGCCTCAAGTGATCCTCCCACCTCAGCTTCCCAAAGTGCTGGGATTACAGGCATGAGCCATCACGCCCAGCCCCAACACTTCTTACTCTGTATCTCTATCTTAGAAATCTCTCCTGAGCTCCAGATCATTGTATTCAACGTCCAGCTGGATATCTCCACTTGGATATCCCATAGTCACCTCAAAGTCAATATGTCCAAAACTCAACTCATCATCTTTTCAATAAAATCTGTATTCCGTAATCCAGGAAGTGGTACTACCTCTACCCAATTCTCCAGCTTAAACTTCTTCCTCTCATCCATTACCTCCCCCGATCAGTCACCAAGTCCTGTATATTCTCCTCAGTCTATCTTTTTCTCTCCATTCCCATTACCAATGTGTTAATCAGGTTCTTAGCACTTTCTAACTGCTTAAAAGATACCAAACTGGTGTTTCTATTTGTAGTTTGGATTAATCTCTCTAGCCTCCCCACTGCTTCTAGAGTAATCATTCTAAAACATATGTCTAATCAAACCACATCATTGCTTAAAATCCCTCAATGATTTCTCATTACTTTAAGATAAAGGTAAGCCTGAGCAATATAGTGAGAACTTCTCTCTACGAAAATTTAAAAATTAGGCCAGGTGTGGTGGCTCATGCCTATAATCCCAGCACTGTGGGAGGCTGAGGCAGGTGGATCACCTGAGGTCAGGAGTTTGAGACCAGCCTGGCCAACATGGTGAAACCCCATCTCTACTAAAAATATAAAAAGTAGCTAGGCGTACTGGCGCATGCCTGTAATCCCAGCTACTCAGGAGGCTGAGGCAGGAGAATCGCTTTAACCGAGAGGTGGAGGTTGCAGTGAGCTGAGATCGTGCCACTGCACTCCAGCCTAGGGGACAGAGCAAGATTTCGTCTCAAAAAAAAAAAATTTTTTTTTTCAATTAGCTGGGCATGGTGGTGCATGCCTCTAGTCCCAGCTACGAGGGAGGCTGAGGTGGGAGGACTGCTTGAGCCCAGGAGGCAGAGGCTGCAGTGAGCCAAGATTGCACCACTGTACTGCAGCCTGGGTGACACAGCAAGACCCTGTCTAAGAAAAAAAAAAAAAGGTAAATTTCTTAGTACAGACCACTTGGTATAGAGCATCTCCTATTTGTCTAGAAGTGGCTCCCAAATTTCCACCCAAGCATATTTTGCTTCAGCTATAAAGATCTTATGGTTCCCTAAATATTCCATGCTATTTCATGGTTTCTGGTCCTCAATGGTGCAATTTCCTCTTCTGTCCAACTTCTCTTTTTTTTCTTTTTTCTTTTTTTTTCTTTTTTTTGAGACGGAGTCTCACTCTGTCACCCAGGCTGGAGTGCAGTAGCACCATCTCGGCTCACTGCAACCTCTGCCTCCTGGGTTCAAGCGATTCTACTGTCTCAACCTCCCGAGTAGCTGAGATTACAGGTGCTGCCACCGTGCCTGGCTAATTTTTTTATTTTTAGTAGAGACTGGGTTTCGCCATGTTGGCCAGGCTGGTCTCAAACTCAACCTCAGGTGATCCTCCTTCCTTGGCCTCCCAAAGTGCTGGGATTACAGGTGTGAGCCACCGTGCCCAGCCCAACTTCTTTATTTAGTTAGCTCCTACTCATCCTCCCAGATTTAGTTTGCATCATACAAGGAAATGACATGTGATACACCTCACAAAATTTATACCTTTCTTGGATGAGCCCTTGAATTCTTGGCTGGATTGACTAAATAAAGAGATAAGCCTTATCCTATAGGATTTGAGACCAGAAAGTGACAACGTGGGGTTTAAATTTTATAAAATTACTGTGAAATCAGTTTGGGAGAACCACGTCTCAACATGAGGCAATAGCCCAGTGCAATAACTTACCACTTCAATTTGCTTTACATTGTTACTTGCTCCACGTCCCTCTTTTCTTTTCTTATCCTTGCTACCACGTGCTTAACACCTTCCAAATTAAAAAAAAAAAAAAAAAAAAAGGACTCTAATCCTTGCCTCAGGCTCTGTTTTCTAGAAGACTCTGGCTAAGACAGGCATAGAGTTTAACCCCAGTTTACCAATCAGGAACAATTTCTGAACTTATGTTTCAGCTATTAGGGAAACAGACTTCCTTTTTTCCCACAATGGACACAAATCTGAAAGGCTTTCATGGTCCTGGAAGCTACTAGCAGTGGAAGAGGAGGGAGGCTGCCGGATATGGAGCAAACACAGGAGAAACAGATCCAAGAAATGGAAAGAGAAAACCCCTTGACTCAAGGGTTCATAATGTACCATATCCGAAGCTGCCTTCTTTTAGCAGAAGCATGCCCCAGTCGTTCATCCTTAGCTCATTCTCACCCCCCACAACTTCCTGGCCTAGGGCTACCTCCTCCTGCTTTCTCCGACTAAAAATGCCCCTTTCAATTGCCAGAAATTGGAGTTTGACTCAAGAGAGAGGCTGATTCTCATATAAGGAATAGAAGATTCTCAAATACTGAATATTGTCAATGGAGTTCTCTTGAGCATGTAAAGAGTATGCCGATTATTGCCCCTATACCTGTGAGGAACACAATTTGAGCAAGATAAATTCTCTTCCTTTAAGGCTCTGATACTCCAGAGCAGCACTGTACAACAGAAATATAATGTAAGCCACAACACAAATGCAAACATATGTAATTTTAAATTTTCTAGCAGCTACATTAATACAACAAAAAACAGCAAGTAAAATTAATTTTTTTTTAAAGACAGAGTCACTCTGTTGCCCAGGCTGGAGTGCAGTAGTGCAGTCTTGGTTCACTGCAACCTCTGCCTCCTGGGTTCAAGAGATTCTCATGCCTCAGCCTCCTGAGTAGCTGGGACTACAGGCACATGCCACTATGCCTGGCTAATTTCTGTATTTGTAGTAGAGATGGGGTTTTGCCATGTTGGCCAGGCTGGTCTTGAAATCCTGACCTCAGGTGATTCACCCACCTTGGCCTCCCATAGTGCTGGAATTACAGGCATGAGCCACCACACCCAGCTTAATTTTAAGATGTTTTATTTAACTCAGTTTTATTAGTCTGTTCTCATGCTGCTAATAAAGACATACCCAAGACTGGGTAATTTATAAAGGAAAGAGGTTTAATGGCCTCACCATTGCACATGGCTGGAGAGGCCTCACAATCATGGCGGGAGGCGAAGGAAGAGCAGGCATGTCTTACATGGCAGCAGGCAAGAAGCTTGTGTAGGGGAACTCCCCTTTATAAAACCATCAGATATTGTGAGACTTATTCACTATCACGGGAACAGCACAGGAAAAACTCGTCCCCATGATTCAATTGCCTACCACTGGGTCCCTCCCATGACACATGGGGATTATTAAAATTCAAGGTGAGATTTGGGTGGAAAACACAGAGCCAAACCATATCACCAATATATCCAAAACATTATCATCTCAACATTTAATCAATGTAAACATTATTAGTGAGTTATTTAACCTTTTTTTTGTACTCAGCTTCAAAGTGCTTGTAAATGTTATAATTATAGCACATTTCATTTTGGACTAGCCACATTTCAAGTGTTCAAGAGCCACATATGACTAGTGGCTACTGTATTGGACAGTGCAGCTCTGGGAGTAATCACATAAAGACTTACTCCGATATATGGTAGACTGTAGTCAGTACAATGTTAGGGGTACAGTCCTGTGCTCCAAAACACCAAGGAGGGAAGAATGGACACAGAGGAAAATGGGCCATTTGTGTCTAACAGTATTTTGATGGTTACAGACCTGGAGATGGAAGAACCAAATCAGTGACTTTTGCATACAGGTGGGCCTTAAGGACTCAGACTTCCTAGGATAGCCTTTTGGGGAAAAGGGCATTCTTTTCTCAGTTTTGAGACCCACAGTCTTTAGGCTGAAAGTTTTGGGGAATATATGGTACTATGTTTTTGATATTTATTTTCCCCACAAATTCCATGACTGTTTCTAAATCTCTTCTGCTTCACTCTACCCAGTGTCATTGCCCCTCAAACCCCATTTGAGGAGTGGTCCATGTGTGAAGGGGTTGGGGAGGGGTTTTCCTGGCATTCAGTTTACATCTCAAGTAAGAAAGGTTATGTTGGGGAAGAGGCAGAAAGTTTTTGTAGCCTCAATCCAGAAATGCCTTCTCATATCTCAATGGATTAAAAAGCATTTCCTCAATGATATGGTTTGGTTGTCTCCCAACCCAAATCTCATCTTGAAGTGTAGCTCCCATAATTCCCACATATCATGGAAGAGGTACCTGGTAGGAGGTAATTGAATCGTGGGGGCAGGTCTTTCCCATGCTGTTCTCGTGATAGTGAATAAGTCTCACAAGATCTGATGGTTTTGTTTTGTTTCGTTTTTGTTTTTGAGATGGAATTTCACTCTTGTTGCCCAGGCTGGAGTGCAGTGGCGCGATCTCAGCTCACCACAACCTCCGCCTCCCAGGTTCAAGTGATTCTCCTGCCTCAGCCTCCCGAATAGCTGGGATTACAGGCGTCTGCCACCATGCTTGGCTAATTTTTTGTATTTTTAGTAGAGATAGGGTTTCACCATGTTGGCCAGGCTGGTCTTGAACTCCTGACCTTAGGTGATCCACCAGCCATGGCCTCCCAAAGTGCTGGGATTACGGGCATAAGGCACCACACCCAGCTGACCTGATGGTTTTATAAAGGTGTGTTCCCCTGCACATGTTCTCTCTTGCCTGCCACCATGTAAGAGGTGACTTTGCTCCTCCTTCACCTTCCTCCATGATTGTGAGGCCTCCCCCGCCATGTGGAGCCGTGAGTCAATTAAATCTCTTTCCTTTATAAATTACCCAATCTCAGGTATGTCTTTATTAGCAGCATGAGAACAGACTATTTAATACACTTAAATTCCATTTTTTTTTTTTTTTTTTTTTGAGACAAGAGTCTCAGTCAGCCACCCAGGCTGGAGTGCAGTGGCATGATCTCGGCTCACTGCAACCACCATCTCCCGGTTTCAAGCGATTCTCCCATCTCAGCCTCCCGAGTAGCTAGGATTACAGGCACCTGCCATCATGCCCGGCTAATTTTTGTATTTTAGTAGAGACAGGGTTTCACCATGTTGGCCAGGCTGGTCTTGAACTCCTGACTTCAGGTGATCCGCCCGCCTCGGCCTCCCAAAGTGCTAGGATTACAGGCGAGAGCCACCGTACCTGGCCTCAACTTACATATTTCTAAGAAAAAGAACATTTTCCTACATAACCACAAAATCATTATGACACTCAGGAGACCTATAATTGATTGATAATATTATCTAAAACACAAGTCACTTCAAAATTTTCCCAACTGACGCACCAGAGTAGCTGGGACTACAGGCACGTATCACCACCCCCAGCTAATTTTTGTATTTTTTGTAGAGACGTGTTTTCACCATGTTACCCCAGCTGGTTTCTGAACTGAGCTCAAGGGATCCACCCACTTCGGCCTCCCAGAGTTCTAGGATTACAGGTGTGTGAGCCACTGCACTCAGCCTGTAGTTGTCTTAATTTAATGTTTCTCTTTCTTTCTTTTCTTTTCTTTCTTTCTCTTTCTTTCTTTTTCTTTCCTTTTTTCTCTTTCTTTTTTTCCTTTTTTTTTTTGAGACAGAGTCTCACTTTATCACCCAGGCTGGAGTGCAGTGGCCTGTTGTCGGCTCACTGCAAACTCCGCCTCCCAGGTTCAAGTGATTCTCCTGCCTCAGCCTCCCAAGTAGCTGAGATTACAGGCACCTGCCACCACACTTGGCTAATTTTTTGTATTTTTACTAGAAACGGGGTTTCACTATGTTGGCCAGGCTGGTCTCAACTCCTGACCTCAAGTGATCCGCCTACCTGGGCCTCCCAAAGTGTTGGTATTACAGGCATGAGCCACCATGCCTGGCCAATTTAATGTTTTTCTATTTTTGTTTTAAAATATTTACCTATTCTGAAGTCCAAAGATATTTTCCTATATTATATTCTGAAGACTTTATAGTTTAGGATTTCACATTTAGGTCTTAATCCAGCTACAATTGATTTTTGTGATGAAATGAGAGATAGAGGTCCTGTTTTCTGTTTTGTTTTTTTTTTTGAGACGGAGTCTCCCTCTGTTGCCCAGGCTGAAGTGCAGTGGTGTGATCTCCGCTCACTGCAACCTCCGCCTCCCGGTTCAAGCGATTCTCCTGCTTCAGCCTCCTGAATAGCTGGGACTACAGGTGTGTGCCACCACACCCAGCTAATTTTTGTACTTTTTAGTAGAGACAGGGTTTCACCATGTTGGCCAGGATGGTCTCGATCTCTTAACCTCGTGATCCGCCCACCTCAGCCTCCCAAAGTGCTGGGATTACAGGCGTGAGCCACCGTGCCCGGCCTTCATATTGTCATAGAACCTTCACTGAATAGACCATCTTTTCTCCATGGCTGTATGATGCCACCTTTGTCATAAATCCAGTTTTCAAGTATGCGTGATAAACCGTAAAGAAAAGCAAAGAGTCAAGTATCTGCTTTTGGTAAAATAAATAAATAAATAAATATAAATAAGAAAAGCAAAGTGTTATAAAAGTCGGGCTAGTGGTTTTCTCAGGAAGTGTATCTGTGAAGAACCTGACACTATTCTTTTTTCGCTCTAATGACTTGGCTGTTCATAATTATACTTATCTTTGGTTTATATTTCAGAATAAAATTGTGTTATATTTATCAATAAAAGGTTAGTTAAAAGTAAGCAAACAGAAAAAAAAAAAGAAATATTGATGAGGGGAGCGCCAGCATCTCTCAAAAGTGAGTTCGTGGTTTTGCTCTCAATGGAAAAGCCGGCGGGAGGTGCTAAGGTGGGGATGCTGAATCCACGGATGGCCAAGCGGAGACGCGGCACTTCACCGGGGGCAGCGAGGGGCCCAGACCTTGCTCGGATTGTCCCGGTGGTAACTGGGAGACCTCGCCAGTGAGGGAAGTTACAGATCAGCTGCGCCCGGAATTAAACGACCCACAGACAACGGCGCAAACAGAGGGACTGACCTGCTTTAGTGAGCTCCCAAAACCTGCTCTCGCATAAGCACACCCTCCTCCGCTCACAGAGACGGATTTCTGCCCCAGCCGCAGCCTCGCGAGGTAGGCGGCGCCGCGAGGGCCTCTGGGAAGGCGGTCCGTGGGCAGCCGCGGGGCACTCTGGGACTGGGCTCTGGGCGGCTTTTTTGCGAGTGGCGGGCCGACTGTGTAGTCCGCTCCGGCAGCGCGCTCTGCCCGGCTTCCTCAGTCTCCTCGCCGGGAGCGTCCGGGAGCAGCTCCGAGGCCGCGGCGAAACCAGGTGGAGTCCGAGGTTCGGAGGAGTATCAGAGGTTAGGGGAAGGCCGGAGAATGGGCTGGGAGGCTGCGTTTCGGAGCTTAGGGTTCTGTCCCTGCGATCGCCGCGTCTCCCTCCCTTGGTGGGCGCGGCTCCCGGGAAGCGGCTCGTCTCGTCTCCCCTCACAGGCCGGGTTCCCGTTCTGGACCTTCGCCCTCGGAACACAGTGCTGTTGGCCGGGACTCCTTCCCGAGGTGGACGGCTCCCTGTTCTTATTCCTGGCTCTGCCAGAACTGTAGGAAGTGCTCAGTACACTTTAGGGCATGCATGGCACTCCCTGGGAGACAGTGCTTTAGGGCCAGAGGAAAGATCTTCCCTGAAGGCAAACGCCCGCGGAGCCCACAAGTCCGGGCCGCACTGAACAAGTCAGGATGTTGCCATCGGCAATTCTGCAGAAGGCAGTAACCCATCTGAGAGAAAGAGCCGCTGTCATAAGGTCTCTTGCTTGAGCTGCTGGGTTGAGAATGGAGCTGGAAGAGGGAACTGATCTCGGAGCTCCTTGGGGATCTTGGTTATGTCTGACCCTTTTACTTTCAGGGAGCAGGGATTGGATCAAGTCATTGCATCTAGAGTACGGGGGAACGAAGAAATCATGGAGAGAGTTTGCCCCAGGAGAGAGGCGAGCGTTATGTAACCTAGGATCTGGGGTGGGTAACAGTCTGTGCAGTGTCAATGTGAGAGGAGAAAACACCCAACGTGAGGGAATGGTCAGGTAAGAAAGGACCAGAAGTTCCGGTTCTACCATAGCAAGGACCTAAGTTGCTAATTTAGGTTCTTTAATGCAGACCTGGTCTTTCAGAACTTCTTTCTCTTCCCTAGCCTTGTCATTTCAGCATTCTGGCCTTCCCTATGAGGAGGAAGATCAACGAAGTCACAGGTGAATAGGAGTTTCTCTTCTAAAGTTTCATCTCCTTTGTCAGGGGGAATCGATACACTCTCTCATCTCTTCCTTGGGGAAAAAGAAGGAGATCTATCTTCATCGAGTGCTAATATGCGTACTATATGTTATCACTCAATGGTCGGATATCTCAGTAGGGTTAGTAGGTATTTTAAAAATGTGTCAGTAACTTCAGGAAAACTAGAACCTTGTCCAAGCTTACTCAAAAGGCAAGTAGCATACTACTAAATGCTACCGAACTACTCAGGATTAGGTTTAGAATCCATATCTGTAGGACTCCCAGACTCTTGGCATTATGCTGTTTCCCAGCATCCCATTCACTTACTACCTAACAATTTTGCCATACCTGTGTACTACCTGTATTATTCTATGTTTTTACTTACTTTTTTTTTTTATAAAAATCAAACTTGTCCTAAGAAACAATATCTGTGAAATTAGCCATTTGATGGCTGCTCCAATAACAGTATAGTTATTCTAAGGTGTATCTAAAAATGTTGGTCCATGTGCTATGTAAAATCGTCTCGTGTCAGACATACAAACTACAATTTGGGACACAATGCACTGCATTATGCTCTCTTCTGGATTCTTTTCTGCGTAGGAAAGTCCCAGACACATCTGAGCATCAGTCATCCATCCCTAGTGTACTGTTTTATTCTTATAGATGAATACTTTCACAGAGAATGCCCTGCTTTGTATCTTCTCCAAAAGACATTTCACTTCCCTGTTTAGAACTACCTGTTCTCAATGTTGTATGTAAAACAAGTAGGAACTCCATACATTTCAGGAGCTTCCTCTCTCTTTGGGGAGTTAATGTGTACACAGGAAATAGTCTAACTCTATGCTGTTCAGTAGAGCTTTCTGTGATCAGGGAATGTTCTGTATCTGTGCCTTATCTGTATCCACCAGCCAGATGTAGCTACTGAGCACTTAATATATGGCTAGTGCAACTGAGATGTGAATTTTATTTTATTTTAATTAAATTTAAGTAGCCACATATGGCTAGTGGCTACTAATGGCTACCATATTGGACAGCCAGGTCTAGATATTTGAAATAAAATATTTTAAGGTTATTGATTTGGACTTGGAGTTCCCCCTCACCCTCACAAATACCTCATAGCATATGTGTTATAAATGCCCTTTAGGGCTGGGTGCGGTGGCTCACGCCTGTAATCACAGCACTTTGGGAGGCCGAGGCGGGTGCATCACGAGGTCAGGAGATCGAGACCATCCTGGCTAACACGATGAAACCCCGTCTCTACTAAAAAATACAAAAATTAGCTGGGCGCGGTGGCGGGTGCCTGTAGTCCCAGCTACTCGGGAGGCTGAGGCAGGAGAATGGCGTGAACCCGGGAGGCAGAGCTTGCAGTGAGCTGAGATCCCGCCACTGCACTCCAGCCTGGGTGAAAGAGTGAGACTCTGTCTCAAAAAATAAAATAAAAGAAAAGAAAAAATAAATGCCCTTTAACTTTAGTTTCTTGGTGAAGGGTAAATATTCTTTCCAATTTTCAGAGACTTCATAGTTGAAATAAAGTTTCTTGAAATTATTTAAAGCACATTGACAGTTTATAACACTTGTGTAAATGCACAGCTTCTGTATTTTGTTACTATTGAAATATCCTGTAAAGCAATAATGTTGTAGGATACTCTATAAGCAAAAGTCTTACTATTGTATTATTTTTATTCATTGCAGATAACTTTTCTTCTAGCTATCTATGTTTTCTTTCATTAGTGACATTTAGACTATTTAAAAATCAGTTAAACACAACCACAACTGATATTAATGACGTTTTCAGGGCATCACTTCTTACGCTTTGACATAGGAGTTGGTGCATTCACCTTATTTCACTGCTTATTAGAATAGCAAGAAGGGGACATTTGGTTCATAGCTATCTCTATCAGCTAAAATTCTATGTCAAATTATTTATTTTCCTGGCACTCAAAGTCAAACACTAATGGACTGGTTGTATCTTGTTTTGCTTACTCTCTATGCAGGTTAGATATGTGGGGTTAGAAGGAAGGCTTAAAAAGAGTATCTTCATAAGATAATTTGCCTAGTTTCTTTTTTCTTTTTTCTTTTTTTTTTTTGAGACGGAGTCTCGCTCTGTTGCCCAGGCTGGAGCACAGTGGTGGGATCTCAGCTCACTGCACGCTCCGCCTCCTGGGTTCACGCCATTCTCCTGCCTCAGCCTCCCAAGTAGCTCGGACTACAGGCACCCACCACCAAGCCCGGCTAATTTTTTGTACTTTTAGTAGAGACAGGTTTCACCGTGTTAGTCAGGATGGTCTCGATCTCCTGACCTCATGATCCGCCCGCCTTGGCCTCCCAAAGTGCTGGGATTACAGGCGTGAACCACTGCGCTTGGCCGCCCAGTTTCTTAAGATTAAAAAATACTTGAAAGACAAAACAATCAAACATAATGTGTGGTCTTTGTTTCCTGGATTAAAGAAAAGCTATCTAGGACATTTTGAGGACAGTTGGGGAAATTTATATATGAACTGGAATGTTAAGGAATTACTAATTTTGTCAGATGTGATAATGTAGTTATGAGGAGAATGTCATTTGGAAGACAGTATTGTGGTTATGAAGAAGAATGCCATTTGGAAATTATGCTGAAACATTTAGATTTTAAAGTTTTATGCTATCTGTAATTTACTTTAAAATAGTTCAGCCAAAACAAAAAAGTACACACACAAGAAGTAAATACAGCAAAATGTCAACAGTTGTTCATCTACATGGTGTGGACATGGGTGTTTGTTGTTTTATTCTTTCTACTTCTCTGTATGTTTGAAAATTTTCTTTTTCTTTTGAGATGGAGTCTTCACTCTGTCACCCAGGCTGGAGTGCAGTGGTGTTATCTCAGCTCACTGCAACCTCCACTTCCTAGGTTCAAGCGATTTTCCTGCCTCAGCCTCCCGAGTAGCTAGGATTACAGGTGCCCGCCACCACACCCGGCTAATTTTTTGTATTTTTAGTTTCACCATGAGGTGTATTTTTAGTTTCACCATGCTGGCCAGGCTGGTCTCAAACTCCCGACCCCAGGTGATCCACCTGCCTCGGCCTCCCAAAGTGCCGAGATTACAGGCTTTAGCCACTGTACCCGGCCTTGAAAATCTTTATAGTAAAAAGTTGAAAGAAAAAAGGAGTACAGTACCCATCCCCATCCCACAGTAGGGTAGTGAGATATTGGATGTAAAACACGTGGCTCAGTGTCTGGCACACAAAAAATAACCGCACAATAAATATTCTCTATTATAGCAGTAAATTTTGAGTTTTTAATAATGCTGTAATAGGCAGATTTTTTTCCCATTATAAGCTAGTTTCTTGTGGAGGGAGAAAATAAACTTAATGGGAAACTCCAGTTTAGTGACAGACACCAATTTCTATAATATTAAGAGGATAATTTATGAAGTCAAGCTACTAATTTCCATGTGTCGCTGTAACATCCTCTTATTATTTCATGCATTAATTTGTGTTAGACTATATTTATTTGTATCTATATATAGTTGATCTTTGAATTTTGCCATACTAGGTTCCTTGAACTGCATTTAAAAACAGTTATTGCAGAGCTCCTTTTTCTCAAGGAACAGTTTGTAGTTGAGATTCATTTTGCTCGTCAAGGACTTTGTATAAAGGAAATTGTAGAAAGTGGCCCATGGTAAACTTCTCAAACATTGTTCCTACATTTACAAAGATGTATATTCACTTAAAATAATGAAATACTCTTTCAAGTCAATAGAATTTTGAAGCAGAAAAGGCAAACCTCAAATCTCCTTTTTTTTTTTTTTTCTTTTTCTTGAGACAGAGTCTTGCTCTGTCACCCAGGCTGGAGTGCAGTGGTGCAGTCTCGGCTCACTGCAACTTCCATCTCCCTGTTCAAGCAATTCTGCTGCCTCAGCCTCCTGAGTAGCTGGGAATACAGGTGTGTGCCACCATACCTGGCTAATTTTTGTATTTTTAGTAGAGATGGGGTTTCACCATGTTAGCCAGGCTGGTCTTGAACTCCTGACCTCAAGTGATCTGCCCACCTCAGCCTCCCAAAGTGCTGCGATTACAGGTGTGAGCCACCCGCCCCGCCTCAAAGCTCTTTTTAAATCTGAAGAAACTGAGGCCAAGAAAGGTGATTTGCTTAAAGTCACACACAGTATGTTAGTGGAAGATCCAGGAATAAAACTATTTTTCCACTTAAAAAATTCTGCAGTGGCTCATGCCTGTAATCCCAGCACTTTGGGAGGCTAAAGTGGGTGGATCATGAGGTCAGGAGATCGAGACCATCCTGGCTAACACAGTGAAAGCCCGTCTCTACTAAAAATACAAAAAATTAGCCAGGCGTGGTGGCGGGCGCCTGTAGTCCCAGCTACTCGGGAGGCTGAGGCAGGAGAATGGCATGAACCCGGGAGGCAGAGCTTGCAGTGAGCCGAGATCGCGCAACTGCACTCCAGCCTGGGTGAAAGAGCGAGACTCCGTCTCAAAAAAAAAAAAAAATTCTGCCAAGAGATATATATGGATATATATAAGGAGCCCTATAGCAATACATACCTGGACTATAACTCAAGGCATTACTAATTGGTCATAAATAAACTGGCTTTTTAAAAGAATGTAAATAAATAATTTGTCATAATTTTGTTTTTATCTCACTGAAATTTGAAAGTGCTTTTGAGAACGTTTTTATTTGAACAATGCATTTCTTTAACATGTTATGCAGGGCCCTTCTAGCCCAATCCAGAGCTGTACCATGGCAGAGACAAGAGAAGAGGAGACAGTGTCAGCAGAAGCCTCAGGGTTCTCAGACTTGAGTGACTCAGAGTTCCTGGAGTTTCTGGACCTAGAAGATGCCCAAGAGTCAAAGGCTTTAGTTAACATGCCTGGCCCATCTTCTGAATCCCTTGGGAAGGATGACAAACCCATAAGCTTACAAAACTGGAAAAGAGGATTGGATATATTATCACCCATGGAGAGATTCCACCTTAAATATTTATATGTCACTGACCTGGCTACTCAGAACTGGTGTGAACTGCAAACAGCATATGGGAAGGAGCTTCCTGGTTTCTTGGCACCTGAGAAGGCAGCTGTGTTGGACACTGGTGCCAGCATACACCTAGCTAGAGAACTAGAACTTCATGATCTTGTGACTGTCCCAGTCACCACTAAAGAAGATGCTTGGGCAATTAAGTTTCTGAACATACTTTTGCTGATTCCTACCCTGCAGTCAGAAGGGCACATCAGAGAGTTTCCAGTGTTTGGGGAAGGGGAGGGTGTACTTCTTGTTGGAGTGATTGATGAGCTGCACTATACAGCCAAGGGGGAACTGGAGCTGGCGGAACTCAAGACACGCAGGCGCCCTATGCTCCCTCTGGAAGCTCAGAAGAAGAAAGACTGTTTTCAAGTCAGCCTATACAAATATATCTTTGATGCCATGGTACAAGGAAAAGTGACCCCTGCTAGCCTAATCCACCACACAAAGTTGTGTCTAGAAAAGCCACTGGGGCCATCAGTGCTGAGGCATGCCCAGCAGGGAGGCTTCTCTGTGAAGTCTTTGGGTGACCTCATGGAACTTGTCTTCTTGTCTCTAACACTGTCAGACCTCCCAGTTATTGATATCTTGAAGATTGAGTATATCCACCAAGAGACTGCCACTGTGCTGGGTACTGAGATTGTAGCCTTCAAAGAGAAGGAGGTGAGAGCCAAGGTGCAGCATTATATGGCCTACTGGATGGGCCACCGAGAGCCCCAGGGAGTTGACGTGGAGGAGGCTTGGAAGTGCCGGACGTGTACCTATGCAGACATTTGTGAGTGGAGAAAGGGCAGTGGAGTGCTCAGCTCTACACTGGCGCCCCAAGTCAAAAAAGCCAAATGAATAGAAGGTATGCTTTCAAGAATGTTGATCCTTCCTGCTCCTGTTGTACCTAAGCAAAAGAGGACCAGTCTCTGAGCTTGGCTTTTATGGAGAGTGTTCTTATTTTGGTTCTTTTTTTTATTTCCACAACCTCTAACCACATTCAGTCCAGGACCAAGGCTCAGGGATGAGTGGGAGAGATGGGTTATACTGTCCCTGGAGCTTCATCATGATTGCCTGAGAAGACAGATGCTCATCATGGCTGGAATGAAGGTATCCTTCAGTAAACTTTGCTTTCCTAAGAAAATTCTTCAGTTTCTGATAAGTCATCCCTATTTTTATCTTGATCAAGGCTTTCTACAGTTACATAATAAAATGAAATGCTGTCCAGGACAGTTGAACTGATGGTTTTTTCATAACTGCAGTCCTTCAAAGATGACCACCATATATAGTTGTGTACGTGTTATTCCAAGCCTTTAAATATATACATAAACATATTTTGGAATCAGAATGAGCAGACCAAAACATAAACAATAAATATTCTCAAAGAGACAAGGGAAGATGAAGTAGAAACAGGAAGTCATAAATATTAGATACGAAAAACATAATACATGGCTGGGTGCGGTGGCACATGCCTGTAATCCCAGCACTTTGGGAAGCTGAGATGGGTGGATCACCTGAGCTCAGGAGTTCAAGAGCAACCTGACCAATACGGTGAAAGCCCGTCTCTACTAAAAATACAAAAATTAGCCTGGGGTGGTGGCGTGCGCCTGTAGTCCCAGCTACTTGGGAGGCTGAGAGAGGAGAATAGCTTGAACCTGAGAGGCAGAGGTTACAGTGAGCTGAGATCATGCCACTGCACTCCAGCCTGGGCAACAGAGTGAGACTCTGTCTTAAAAAAAAAAAAAAAAGAAAAATAATACATGAAGTAACATGTAACATTCACATATTGCAATCCAGCAGTAGCACTCCTGGGTATATGCTGGAAGAAACCTACATGTGCAATAGAAAATGTGAACATGAATATACTTTGTAGCACTTTCACAATAGCAGAAGCCTAGAAGCTACCCAGGTGCCCATCAGCAGAAGAGTGGAAAATGTACAGTAGCCAAAACAAATGAGCTACAGTGACATAAAACAATATGCATGAATATTAGCAGCACAACATTTGGTGAAAAAAGTCCTGAAAATTACATACAGCATGATACCCTTTTTATAAGGTGAAAAATAACATTTAAAGGAAAATGTAAAGGTAGTGGAGAGGAATCCCAAGCCATCTTAGAAGGCAGTGGAGCTCTTAACTACAAACATCATCAAAGCAGCTAGAGGAAGGATGATACGGACGTCACCTGGAAGATAAGGACTTGCTTGTGACACTACTGGAGAATTTGCAGAAGTCAATGCATGGGGAGGGCAATTGGCAGGGGTAGAGTTTCTGTATTAACTGGAACATTAAGAGCCAACAGAACATGGTGAATGTTGTTAGTATGATTCCATGTTATACATGAGCTGGTAAATCCTGGACATCTGTAGGAGATAAGGTAGGTTGTCTCTGGAGGCCCTTCTTCACATACTCTTCTTATGGACCCTGGAATCTTATGATGACTCTTCACTGAGTGACTCTTATGGCCAGGCACTGTGCTAAGCACATTATAATTAAATCTGTATCCATTATCTCCAGTGAGGGAACTGAGGCCTAGAAGGGTTATATAATTTTCTCAGCTGGGTGTGGTAGCTCACACCTGTAATCTTAGTACTTTGGGAGGGGAAGGTAGGAAGATCACTTGAGGACAGGAGTTCAAGACCAGCCTGGGCAACATAGCAAGACCCCATCTCAAAAAAAAAAAAAAGCCAGGCATGGTGGTGCATCCCTGTAGTCCTAGCTACTTGGCAGGCTGAGGCAGGAGGATCACTTGAACCCAAGAATTCAAGGTTACAGTGAGCTATGATCATGCAACTGCAAAAAAAAAAAAAAGTTTCCAGGGTTCCACTGTTTGAAAGTGGTAGACTCCAGGCTAGATATGTCTGACGGCAGTGCTTATGCTCTCAATCATTATGCTATTAAAGTTTTCTTGTTGAACATCCTGGACTGTATGTTATTATAGGCCCTAGTAAGTTTAGAGTTAAATGAACCTAAATTCACTGGACCTATGGGATAAATGGTATTAAGCTAATAGTCTTCAAGAAAAGAACTTGCTCAAGTTCTATAGCATCATCTTAGTTATACTAGAAGTTTTAAGAACAGGAAAAAGGGCTGGGCGTGGTGGCTCACCTGTAATCGCAGCACTTTGGGAGGCTGAGGTGGGCGAATCACCTGAGGTCAGGAGTTGAAGACCAGCCTGGCCAACATGGTGAAACCCTATCTCTACTAAAAACACAAAAATTAGCTGGGTATGGTGGTACACACTTGTAATCCAAGCTACTCGGGAGGCTGAGGCAGGAGAATCGCTTGAACCCAGAAGGCAGAGGTTGCAGTGAGCCGAGATCACACCACTGCACTCCAGCCTGGGCGACAGAGTAAAACTCTGTCTAAAAAAAAAAAAAAAAATTTGCCGGGCGCGGTGGCTCACGCCTGTAATCCCAGCACTTTGGGAGGCCGAGGCGGGCGGATCACCAGGTCAGGAGATTGAGACCATCCTGGCTAACACGGTGAAACCCCAACTCTACTAAAAATACAAAAAATTAGCCGGGCGAGGTTGAGGCGTCTGTAGACCCAGCTGCTCGGGAGGCTGAGGCAGGAGAATGGCGTGAACCTGGGAGGTGGAGCTTGCAGTGAGCCGAGATGGCACCACTGCACTCCAGCCTAGGCGACAGAGCAAGACTCCATATCAAAAAAAAAAAAAAAATTTGTTTTCAGATACTGACATTATTGAGAATTCAGTAATTCCTTGAGATTTCAAATCCTTATTTTAAGTTAACATCTTCTGGTTATAACCTTAGGGTTTCTCATAAGTTGAGACATCTTTACTTGGGACCACCCCAGGATCACTGCTTATGAATGTTTGTGCCCCCTCAAATTAGTATGTTAAAATCCAAACCCTCAGTATGGTAGTATTAAGAGGTGGGCCTTTGGGAGGTGATTAGGTAATGCAGGGACAGCTCCCATGAATGGGATTGGTGCCCTTATAAAAGAGTTCCAAGGGAGCTCTTCAGTCTTTCCATCATGTGAGGACACAGTGAGAAGGCGCCTCCAAAACTATGAGAAATAAATTTTTGTTGTTTATAAGCCGCTCAGTTTGTGGTATTTTGTTATAGCATCTCGAATGACTAAGACAATCACTGATGCTGTTTTCTATAACAAGATACCTTCCTGATTCAGCCTTCGCATGTCTAATAATGTCATCTCTCCCTTATGAATTCTGCCTAACATGTCTAAACTCCAGATTACAGCCCTGTTGGACGTTTGTTTAGTGAGTGGATAAAAAAAAAGATGTCACAACAAAGCTATTTCTTGATTTTTAAAAAATTGCTTTCTGGGCCAGCAAATGAGTTGAATACCTTAATTGGGATTAGGATCAATTGTTTATAATAGAAATCACCAAAACAATAGTGGTTAAACAAAACAGAAATGTATTTCTCACTTAAAAAGAAGCCTAACTATAGTTAGTTCAGGACTGGTGTGGCACCCGGTGATGTCAAGAGCCCAGATTCCTTCCCTCTTGTTTCTCTGACATAAACATGTATCTTCTTCATAGTCCAAAACGGCTGCGCAAAATCCAGTCACCCGTTACACATTCAGCATAAAGTTGGAATAGTAGAAAGGCACCCTTTTACAGACACTTTTAAAATGTGTACTACTACTTTCACTTACAGCCCACTGGCCAAAACTTGGCCACCTCGTCATAGCTAGCTGCAAGAAAGGTTGGGATGTGTAGTTTTTATTCTCAGTAAGCATATGCCCTGACCAAAACTAAATTCTATGACTGCAAAAAAAAAGAGAGAATGGAGAGAGGATTTGGAGAAAATGGCAGCATAGAAAGCACCAGAAATCTGTCTCCCAGCCTAGACAGCAGCTGCATTGGCAGAATCTATCTGATGCAACTATTTTGGAATCTGGAGTCTGTTGAAATTTTGCAACTTCCAGGGGAAGATGATAAATTGTAGTTAATTTTGGTCAATTTCAACTCTTAGGACGGTAGTAACTACCAGTTCCTCACCCCTCAGTCCTATGGCGACAGCTGTGCACATATTTCTGGAGCAGTTTGCACACAGCTTGATTTTTTCCTCCTTCATTTTTCTCTTTTAACCCCTTTTGGGAGCAAGACATTGAAGACTAGGACATTCAAAAGCATCTGCATATATGGGGAAACTATAAAATCACCATGTACGCTGAGGGGAGGTGCAGGATTAGAAAAGGATTGAGTAGAAAAGTTTATATTTCATGCTGATTCTTGGGACAGACACAGCCTAAACAATGAAAGAAATAGAAACTCTGAGGAATGGGGAAAATCTGATATCCAGAGTTACCACATTAGATTAAAATGTCTAGTTTTTGGCGGAGCATGGTGGCTCACTCCTGTAATCCCAGTGCTTTGGGAGGCCAAGGTGGGTGGGTTGCTTGAGGTCAGGAGTTCAAGACCAGCCTGGCCAACATGGCTAAACCATGTCTCTACTAAAAATGCAAAAATTAGGGGGGCGTGGTGGTTCTGAGGTTTTGGGACTCAGACTGGCTTCCTTACTCCTCAGCTTGCAGATGGCCTATCTTGGGACTTTACCTTTTGATCGTGTGAGTCAATACTCCTTAATAAACCCCCCTTCATATATACATCTATCCTGTTCTGTCCCTGTAGAGAACCCTGACTAATACACTGGATGACAGCACATCTGTTTACAGCATGGATGACTATTTTAAGCCCACTGTTGAGACCTACTGCTCAGAAAAAAAGATTCCTTTCATACTGTTACTGCTCATTGATAGTATACCTGTTCATCCAAGAGTTCTGACGGAGACATATAAGGAGATTATTGTTTTCATGCCTTCTAACACAACATCCACTCCAGCCCATGGATCAAGGAGTCATTTTGAATTTCAAGTGTTGTTATTTAAGAAATATATTTCATAAGGCTGTAGCTGCCATAGATAGAGATTCCTCTGATGGATTTGGGCAAAGTAAATTGAAAACCTGCTGAAAAGGAGTCGCCATTTTAGATGCCATTAAGAATGTTGATATTTGGTGGCTCACGCCTGTAATCCCAGCACTTTGGGAGGCCGAGGTGGGTGGATCACGAGGTCAGGAGATCAAGACCATCCTGGCTAACATGGTGAAACCCCATCTCTACTAAAAATACAAAAAGTTAGCCGAGCGTGGTAGCAGGTGCCTGTAGTCCCAGCTAATCGGGAGGCTGAGGCAGGAGAATGGCGTGAACCTGGCAAGCGGAGCTTACAGTGAGCCGAGATCGCACCACTGCACTCCAGCCTGGGCAACAGAGCAAGACTCTGTCTCAAAAAAAAAAAAGTGTTACCTTACCTTCAATTTTTTGCAAAAGTTTGAGAACTGGTATTGCTTCTTCTTTAAATGTTTGGTAGAATTAACTAAAAAACAATATTCTTAAAAAAAGAATGTTGATATTTTAACCTCCAACCAAGACAACTAGAATTAAAAGTGGAGCCTGAAGATGTGACTGAATTGCTGTAGTCTCATGATAAAACTTGAACAGATAAGGAGTTGCTTCTTATGGACGAGCAAATAAAATGGTTTCTTGAGATGCAATCTGCTCCTGGTGAAGATGCTGTGAATATTGTTGAAATGGCAACAAAGGATTTACAATATTACATAAACTGAGTTGATAAAGCACTGGCAAGTTTTGAGAAGACCAACTCAAATTTTGTAAAAAGTTCCACGGGGGTAAAGTGCTATCAAATGGCACTGCATATTGCATGCTACAGAGAAATTTTTTTTTTTTTGGGACAGAGTTTTGCTCCTGTTGCCCAGGCTGGAGTGCAGTCCCAGCTCACTGCAACCTCTGCCTCCCCAGTTCAAGCGATTCTTCTGCCTCAGCCTCCTGAGCAGCTGGGATTACAGGCACGTGTCACCACGCCCAGCTAATTTTGTATTTTTAGTAAAGATGGGGTTTCACCATGTTGGCCAGGCATGTCTCGAACTCCTGACCTCAGGTGATCCACCCGCCTCGGCCTCCCAAAGTGCTGAGATAACAGGTGTGAGCCACTGTGCCCAGCCTGAGAAATCTTTGTGAAAGGAAGAGTCAATCAATGGGGCAATCTTCATTGTTGTCTTATTTTAAGAAATTGCAAGGCTGAGCATAGTGGCTCATGGCTATAATCCCAGAACTTTAGGAGGCCAAAGTAGGAGGATCACTTGAGGCCAGTAGTTCACAACTAGCCTGGGAAACATAGTGAGACCCTGTCTGTACAAAAATTTAAAAATTAGATAGGTGTGATGGTGGGCACCTCTAGTCCTAGCTACTAGGGAGGTTGAGGGGGAGGATTGCTTGAGCCCAGAAGTTTGAGGCTATAGTGAGCTATGATTATGCCACTGCACTCTAGCACCTGGGCGACAGAGTGAGACCCGCCTTAAAAAAAAAAAAAATCAACAACTTAACTTTACAACTTACGGAACTAGAAAAAGAACAAGGCCAGGCGCAGTGGCTCATGCCTGTAATCCTACCACTTTGAGATTGTGAAGGTAGGAGCATCACTTGAAGCCAGTATTTCAAAACTCACCTGGGCAACCAAGAAAGACCTTGTCTCTACAAAAAATTGAAAAATTAACCAGGCATGGTGGCTTAGGCCTACAGTCCCAGCTACTCAGGTGGCTGAGGCAGGAGAATCCCTTGAGCCCAGGAGTTGCAGGCAGTGAGCTATGATCATGCCACTGCACTCCACGTAAGCAACAGAGCGAGACCCCATCTCTCAAATAAATAAATACTCAACCCAAAGTTATCAGAAGGAAGGAAATCATGAAGATGAGAGCAGAGATAAAATAATGAATAGAAAAACAATAGAGAAAATCAATGAAACAAAAAGTTGTTCTTTAACCAAACACTTACATAAGTGTATGCCAACAAATTGGATAAACTAAATGAAATGGACAAAATACTAGCAACATAAACATACTAAGACTAGGACTAAATCATGAAGAAATGGAAATCTGGTCAAAGCCATTTCATTGCACATTGTTTACTTTCACAAGTCTGGTTAGATGGAATACACACAAAGCAAGTTAAATGCAGTGAATTTGTTACTTACAGTTAGACCTCAAGGGACAACAGAAGACTAGGATTCAGGACAAGCCATCTGAAACACTCAGGAAAGCTACCCGGGGTGGATGGAGGCCTGTGTGTCATGTGCCCATGTGCACTGCACCTGAGAGACCCCAGAAAGCTGCCCATCTCCCCGGGTTTTATTATTTATTTATTTATTTATTTTTGAGACATGGTCTCGCTCTGTCTCCCAGGCTGAAGTCTGGTGGCGCAATCTCGGGTCACTGCAACCTCTGCCTCCCGGGTTCAAGTGATTCTCATGCCTCAGCCTCCCGAGCACCTGGGATTACAAGTACCCGCCATGACACCTGGCTAATTTTTGTATTTTTAGTAGAGACGGGGTTTCACCATGTTGGTCAGGCTGGTCTCGAACTCCAAACCTCAAGTGATCTGCCCACCTGGGCCTCCCAAAGTGCTGGGATTACAGGCATGAGCCACCGTGCCTGGCCCCTCTGGGTTTTATACCATGGGAACCATGGGAACAACATGACAGAGTGGGCTAAAATGTTAAAGGGCATCCTGTTTCTATGGGGGACAGGAAGAGAGCCTGGGCTTTTCTACCCATCTCCTTTATCTTGGAATGTTGCATTCCCAGTATATTCTACAGTTAATCTTTTTTTTTTCCCCCCGAGATGGAGTCTCACTCTGTCACCTAGGCTGGAGTGCAATGGCACGATCTGGGCTCACTGCAACCTCTGCCTCCTGGGTTCAGGTGATTCTCTCACCTCAGCCTCCCAAGTAGCTGGTATTATAGGCACCCGCCATTATGCCCGGCTAATTTTTGTATTTTTGTAGAGATGGGGTTTCTCCATGCTGGCCAGGCTGGTCTTGAACTCCTGACCTCAGGTGATCCACCTGCCTTGGCCTCCTAAAGTGTTGGGATTACAGGCGTGAGCCACCTTGCCTTGCCTATACACTTATTCTTAAGAAATAAGAATGAGTGAGAAACAGGAGAGAACTAGGTTGCTCGAAGGCCACCGAGAGAATTGTCCTGTACTATTAACTAATAATGAGATTGAGTCAGAAATCAAAAGTCTCTGACAAAAGCCCAAGACCTGATGGCTTCACTAGTTAATTCTACCAAGCATTTAAAGAAAAAGCAATTCCAGTTCTCAAACTTTTGCAAAAAATTGAAGATAAGGTAACACTTTTTTTTTTTTTTTTTTGAAACGGAGTCTTCGCTCTGCCACCCAGGCTGGAGTGCAGTGGTGTGATCTTGGCTCACTGCAGGCTCTGGGTTCATGCCATTCTCCTGCCTCAGCCTCCGGAGTAGCTGGGACTACAGGTGCCCACCACCATGCCCGGCTAATTTTTTTATTTTTTTAGTAGCTACGGTGTTTCACCGTGTTAGCCAGGATGGTCTCAATCTCCTGACCTCGTGATCCACCTGCCTCGGCTTCCCAAAGTGCTAGGATTACAGGCGTGAGCCACAGCACCCGGCCAAGATAAGGTAACACTTTCTAACTCATCCTATGAGGCCAGCCTTAACCTGACATCAAAGCCAGACAAAAACACTACAGGAAAAAACAACAGACCAATATCTCTTACGAATATTGATGCAAAAATCCTCAACAAACTACTAGCGAATCAAATTCAGCAGCACATTAAAGGAATATACACCATGATCAAGTGGGATTTATTCCTGGGATGCAAGGGTGGTTTAATATTGGAAACTCAATTAATATAATACACCATATTAACAAATGAAGGGAGGAAAGCATGCAATCATGTCAATTGATGCCGGAAAAGTCTTTGACAAAATTTAGCCCCCTTCCATAATAAATAAAACGGTCAACAAACTAGGAATAGAAATACAACAATTAGTAGCATTTCTATATTTGAACAAAAAACTAGGCAAAAAGGAAGTCAAGAAGGAAATCCCATTTAAATTGCTACCCAAAATTTTTAAATATCGAGGAATAAATTTAACTGAGGAGGTGAAAGACATCATGAGGAAAACTACAAAATACTGATGAAATAAATTGAAGAGGATTCAAATGAATGGAAAGACATTACATGCTCGTGGGTCAGAATTAATATTGTAAAATGACCATACTACCTAAGGCAATCTACAGATTCAGTGCAATCCCTATCAGAATATCAATGACATCCTTCACAGAAATAGAAAAATGTCTTAAAATTTGTAGGGAGCCACACAAGACCCCAAATAGCCAAAGCAATCCTGAGCAGAAAGAACAAAGCCAGAAGAATCACACTACCTAACTTCACAATATAGTACAAAGCTGTAGTAACCAAAACAGCCTTGTACTGGCATAAAAACAGACACATAAATCAATGCAACAGAATAGAGAAACCAGGAATTAATCACATATCTACAGCCAACTAATTTTTGGCAAATGTGCCAAGAACACTTTTTGGGGACAGAGCAGTCTCTTCAACAAATGCTGCTGAGAAAATGATATCAATATGTCGAAGAATGAAACTAGACTCTCATCTTTCACCCTATAAAAAAATCAACTCAAGGCCAGGCGCGGTGGCTCACGCCTGTAATCCCAGCACTTTGGGAGGCAGAGGTGGGCAGATCACGAGGTCAGGAGACTGAGACCATCCTGGCTAACACGGTGAAACCCCATCTCTACTAAAAATACAAAAAATTAGCTGGGCATGGTGGCTGGCGCCTGTAGTCTCAGCTACTCGGGAGGCTGTTTGGCAGGAAAATGGCATGAACCCAGGAGGCGGAGCTTGCAGTGAGCCGAGATCACACCACTGCACTCCAGCCTGGGCAACAGAGCCAGACTCCGTCTCAAAAAAAAAAAAAAAAAAATCAACTCAAAATGGATTAAAGACCTAAATATAAGACCTGAAACTATAAAACTACTAGAATAAAACATAGAGGAAATGTTTCAGACTATTGGTCTAGGGAAATATTTTATGAATAAGACCTCAGAAGCACAGACAACAAAAGCAAAAAATAAACAAATGGTATTATACCAAACTAAAAAGCTTCCGTGCAGCAAAGGGAACAACAGAACGAAAAGACAACCTGCAGAATGGGATAAAATATTTGCAAACCATTCATTCAACAAGGAATTCATATCCAGAATATACAAGGAACTCAAATGTCTCAACAGCAAAAAAATGAACAATGCAATTAAAAGTGGGAAAATGATCTGGACATTTCTCAAAAGAAGACATACAAATGGCCAAAAAATATATGAAAAATGTTCAACATCACTTAATCATCAGGGAAATGCAAATCAAAACCACAATGAAGTATCATCTCACCTCAGGATGGCTATTATCAAAAAGAGAAAAAAATAAGAAATGCCCTTTAGGATGTGGACAAAACGGAACTCTTACACTGTTGGTGGGAATGCAAATTAGTACAGACACTGCGGAGAACACTATGGCGTTTCCTTTAAAAACTACAAATAGAATTATGTGATCCAGCAATCCTACTGGGGCATTTATCCAAATAAAAGGAAATAAGCATATCAAAGAGATATCTGCATCCCCATATTTATTGCATCACTATTCACAATAGCCAAGATATGGAATCAACCTAGGTGTCTAACAATAGATGAATGGATGAAGAAAATGTGGCATATATGGACAATGGAATACTATTTAGCCAGAAAAAAAGAATAAAATCAGCCAGGTGCAGTAGCTCGTGCCTGTAATCCCAGCACTTTGGGAGACCGAGGTGGGCGGATAACAAGGTCAAGAGATTGAGACTATCCTGGCCAACATGGTGAAACCCTGTCTCTACTAAAAATACAAAAATTAGCTGGGCGTGGTGGCACACACCTGTAGTCCCAGCTACTCGGGAGGCTGAGCCAGGAGAATCGCTTGAACCGATGAGGCAGAGGTTGCAGTGAGCAGGCAACCTACAGAATGGGAGAAAATTTTTACAATCTACCCATCTGACAAAGGGCTAATATCCAGAATCTACAAAGAACTTAAACAAATTTACAAGAAAAAATCAAATAACCCCATCAAAAAGTGGGCAAAGGATATGAACACACACTTCTCAAAAGAAGACATTTATGCAGCCAACAGACACATGAAAAAATGCTCATCATCACTGGCCATCAGAGAAATGCAAATCAAAACCACAATGAGATACTATCTTGCACCAGTTAGAATGGCGATCATTAAAAAGTCAGGAAACAACAGGTGCTGGAGAGGCTGTGGAGAAATAGGAACGTTTTTACACTGTTGGTGGGACTGTAAACTAGTTCAACCATTGTGGGAGACAGTGTGGTGATTCCTCAAGGATCTAGAACTAGAAATACCATTTGACCCAGCCATCCCATTACTGGGCATATACCTAAAGGATTATAAATCATGCTGCTCTAAAGACACATGCACACGTATGTTTATTGTGGCACTATTCACAATAGCAAAGACTTGGAACCAACCCAAATGTCCATCAATGATAGACTGGATTAAGAAAATGTGGCACATATACACTATGGAATACTTTGCAGCCATAAAAAAGGATGAGTTCATGTCCTTTGTAGGGACATGGATGAGGCTGGAAACCATCATTCTGAGCAAACTATCACAAGGACAGAAAACCAAACACTGCATGTTCTCACTCACAGGTGGGAATTGAACAATGAGATCACCTAGACACAGGGTGGGGAACATCACACACTGGGACCTGTTATGGAGTGGGGGGAAGGGGGAAGGATAACATTAGGAGAAATACTTAATGTAAATGACAAGTTAATGGGTGCAGCACACCAACATGGCACATGTATACATATGTAACAAACCTGCAAGTTGTGCACATGTACCCTAGAACTTAAAGTATAATAAAAAAAATCAAGTCAAATCAAATCCTGTCATTCTCAGCAACACATATGTAACTGGGGAACATTATGTTATGTGAAATAAGCCAAGAAAAGAAGGTTAAACAACGCATGTTCTCACATGCAGAAGCTTTAAAAACTTGATCTTATAGAAGTAAAAAGGAGAGAAGAGGATACTAAAGGGTAGGACGAGTTTGGGGAAGGAGGGGATAGGAAGATATTTGTTAAAGGATAGAAAATTACAGCTAGATAGCAGGAATAAATTCTCATGTTCTATACCACTATAGGATGACTATAACAATAATATAGTTTCAGATAGCTAGAAGGAAGGTATTGAATATTCCCAACACAAAGAGATGATAAATATTTGAGATGAAGTATATGTTAATTACCCTGATCTGAACACTATACATTATACATATACACTATGCCTATGTATACACATGCACTATATATATACACTATATGTCAAAATATCACTATGTACCCCATAAATATGTACAGTTATTATATATCAATTTTTACAAACCTCACCAGGGTCCTACAAATTTAGGTACTGTTATTGTTCTCATTTTACATTTGAGGAATCTGAGGCACAGATAAATTTATAAACTGGCCCAGTGTTGCATACCTAATAAGAGGTAGTGCACTGATTCAAATCCAGGCAGTCTATCTCTGCAGCCCACACTGTTAGCCACTAGTATGTCAGAAATTCAAAACTTCAAAGTCAATGTCTAACCAACCCAGGAGCAGTGAACACCACCAGATGCCTGATCAAGGTCTTGAAATACCATCTCCCATTAAAAAGAGCCAGGTTCCTTGGAGAAATGGCTGATTTAAGGTCTGGGTCAGGAAATGAACAAGAGAAACCTGAAGCACCTTGTCATATAGATAACAAGCTATTGAAGACTAATAGGATCATTCCAAAAGAAGAGGACTCTCAAGAGCCAACTTAAAGAGGCTCCCAATGGCCAAAGATGTGACAGTTTGAATATCAGTAGGGATAACAATAGCAATAGATTGAAGCACATCAAACATGTTTAAATCTATGAGTTCATAATGATGCTCAAAAATTGGTCATGTTTAAGAGATAATTGGGATGTTAAGTTGAAAACTGGTAAATAAATTTTTTTCCTGACATTCCTATGTGAACTGTATACCTGAATAACTACATAGTACATGATATGAAGTTCCTCTTTATAGGAATAATCCAGCTGCTAAATGACAAAGGAATGATAGAATTAGAGTGTCCCTTTTTTACAACCTCTAAAGTTGTGGTATGATCATAGCTGACTGCAGCCTCAAACTCTTGGCCTCAAGCAATCCTCCCTCTTCTTCAGCCTCCCAAAGTGATGTGGTTACAGGCATGAGCCACTGTGCCCAACGTTTGTACTTAATTTTTTAAAAACTCTAAAAGAAATTGCAATTATGAGAAAATTGATAATTTGAACAATGACTCAATGTTTGATGATGTTAAGGAAATATTGTTAATATTTTAGATGTGATAATAATATGGTTTTTTAAGTCTTTATTTTTATTGGTGAAATTATATGCTCTGGGATTTGCTTCAAAATACTATGCAATGGGGTTGGGGGTAGAGATGAAACAGAATTGGCCCTGAGTTGATAATTATTGGAGTTGGGGGATGGATACATGGAAGTTCACCACTATTCTTTCTACTATTGCATAGTTTAAAATTACCATAATGAAATGTTTTGTAAAATTAAATGCCTAATTTTTGGGTTGCACAAAATACATACTGTTTCTAATAAAAATACATAAGTAATTTGGTCCAAAATACTTTAGATATTAAGATGTAATGAATTTATTCTACTACCCATGTCTTTAATATATGTCCTTTCTGTTGAGAGAGAGGAGAGGAGAGGGGAGGGGAGGGGACGGGAGGGGAGGCAGAGAGAGAGAGATGTGTTTATTGCATAGAAAATGCTAGTAAAGTCAGTGGGTACTAATATCACTTGATCTTAGCCAAAAGGCTGAGAAGCGATAATGGCTACTAATATCAAGCCAGTTCTTAATGGTGCCAGGCAATAGTACTACATTTCCTTAATCTATTCACTTGCTCACATTCATAAATCATACTTTATCGAATCTCAGATGCCATTGATTATAAGTTGTATTATTATTTTATATACTAATAAAAAACAATGCTCCTGATTAAACTATGGAATGCCATCACTTGTAAGACAGCAATTTCACAGATGTTAAAATATGAAAAAATCATGTTTCAAAATCATCATAATACGGTATTCATCTTTTCTGTCAAGTCTAAAATACTTTCCCCCTATCTTCATTTCAGCTTCCTATTTCACTGGGAAAATAGAAGCACTCAGAACAGGGCATCCTCTTTCTCCTACCACCATATTTGTCCACCTGTTTGGATCTGTACTTATAAACTCTGCCTCCCCTTTTATTTCAATGGAGATGAATTATCCATACTCTTACTTAGAATGATCCCTGTGATTGTGTACTGGATTCCATCCCTTCTCTTCTCAAGGACATTCCTCCGAGTAACTAGCCTGTCTATCCTGAATTGTGTATTTCCCGCCTCTACTGGATCTTTTGTTTTATTTTATTAACTAATTCATTTATTTGAGACAGAGCCTCGCTCTGTCGCCCAGGCTGGAGTGCAGTGGTGTGATCTCGGCTCACTGCAACCTCTGCCTCCCGGGTTCAAGTGATTCTCCCGCCTCAGCCTCCCAGGTAGCTGGGTTTACAGGCGTCTGCCACCACGCCCGGCTAATTTTTGTATTTTTAGTAGAGACGGGGTTTCACCACGTTGGCCAGGCTGGTCTCCAACTCCTGACCTCAGGTGATCTGCCCACCTAAGCTTCCCAAAGTGCTGGGATTACAGGCGTGAGCCACTGCGCCCAGCCTAGATCCTTTTAATTAGTACATAAACTTACTATAATTTCTTCCATCTTTTTTATTTTATTTTTTTGAGACAGAGACTAGCTCTGTCGCCCATGCTGCAGTGCAGTGGCGGGATCACGGCTCACTGCAGTCTCTACTGTCTGGGCTCAAGCGATCCTCCCATCTCAGCCTCTCAAGTAGTTGGGACTTCAGGCGGGTGCCATGCCAGGCTAGTTTTTTATTTTTTGTAGAGATGAGGGTCTCACTATGTTGCCTAGGCAGTTTCAGACTCCTGGGCTCAACCAATCCTCCCACTTTGGCCTCCTGAAATGTTAGGATTACAGGCATAAGCCACCACACTCAGCCCCATCTTTGAATTAAAAAAAAAAAAAAAATTAGAACGTGGAAAAACGCAACAACAAAAGATTAACAAAATCCCTATCCCATGATAGCCTTATTTTTCTGCTCACCTTAAAAACAAAACTTCTTAAAAGTATTGCGTATATTTGCTTTCTCCATTTCCTCTCCTCCCATCCTTCCCTCCAACTCCTATCAAATTTTCATCAGACTTTATCAAACTTCCACCACTGCCAAAATGGCGTTTCAACATCACTGGTGACCATTGCTACAGTGGCCCATTCTTAATTCTCATTTTACTTGACCTATGAGCAACATTTGAGACAATGGGTCACTCCCTTCTTGAAACACTTCCTTCCCTTGGTTTTGCAGATCTAAACTCTCCTACTTTTCCATCTACTTCATGGATTATTCCTTCTCAGTCTTCTTTGTTGGATCCTCTTCACCTCTCCGACTTAACCTGGTGCATTGCTAGAAGAAACCCTGCTGAGTAAGAGCAAATTGTTTTTAGCATACCGCCGATTTTACTTTCCAGTATTTAAAAATGCTGTGTATCCTTTTAAATGAAAACGACTTAAAAAGCGTGGCTCTCAGGCTAGCAATAGAGATACCAACCCGGGAATCTCCGCACCACCCCCCAAGAGGAAGCAGCGTCTGACGTCTTCCGGAAACGAGCTCCACTGGCCTTATGGGAAATGTGGTCTCCGACGGATGGCCTACACCCGGGAGGAGTCCAGGAACTCTAGGTGGACAGTTACTTCCGCACACGCGTAGTAGGACGGTAGCCGGTATTCAATCTTCAAATCAGCGCCGCGGGAAGTGCGGGCGGGTGTTGCTCCCCTGTCTCTGGACGACGCTGTGACTGATCCCAGGCTTGGAGCCGGAGCTGCGAGCGAGGCAGTGAAAGGGTGGCAGGTATGGCTTTGCTGGACTCGGAGGACGTAAGAGAAAGGCGGGGACTGGCTTCTAGGTTTACCCTACCGAAGATAAAACTTTAGTCTCCAAGCGCAGTGACTTCAGGTTTGGATATGTGGGTCCTGTTCAACTCGAGTAGCTGAGAGAAAGCAAGAGTTGGGCTCCGACTGGCACTGGGTAGATGTCCAGGGCTCTGGTGGGACTGGGAGAGGCTCAATTTGCATTCCTGCTCTTGTAGGTCAAGGTCACTATGTAGGAGTCTGTTCATCTAACTGTACCTTTCCTGGTTCCAAGAGCATAGTTGGCCCGACTGGAGCCTGCGACAATTTTAAGCCGTGTCAAGGGATCCAGTGGAAACTGTAAGCTATTTCAAGGGATCCAGGAAGAAAGCATTCTTGAGAAACTGCTATGGATTAGAAGGGTATTCTCAGCAATCATTTGAAGTAAATGCTATTACCATTTTGCATATGAGTTAACTGAAGCTGAAAGGTGAAATTACTTGCCTGGACTCACACAGCTTAGTAAGTGGAAGAACTGAGATTCAAACTCAGATACATTTTCTCCAAATTTCTTTTTTTTTTTTTTTACAGTATAGCATTCCTGCATAAAACAGAGTTGGGTTTATTCTCCTGAAATGTTTGAGCAATGAATGCTGAGTAAATTTCGATTTGTAGTCATTTTGTAGAGTCTCTTGGTGTATCTGCAGATCTTCCAGTGCAGACTGTGTAAATGAAGATGTGAGTCCCCGGTTTGCCCATTATACCCTTTCTAGAGCCCCAGCAGTTCTAAGCTCATAGGAGATGGCGAGTTTCTACAGAGAGAAACATTTGGAGTTTAAACTGAAGGATCCAGCTTAACAAAAAAAAAATAAAAAAAAGTGTTCCTGGGTCCCTGAATCCAGCCTTCTCAAGAAAGCCCAACCTAATTTGCAATCTCTTATCCCAGCGTCAGAGTAGAAACCAGAGAATCACAGGAAGGAATCATTTTTAGACTTACGGAGCTTCAGAGACCAAGCTTTTAAGTGAGTCAACTCATTCATTATTTCTTCAGGATAAATTTCTGGGAGGAAAAAAAATAACTGTTTCAAGAGGAACCACTTGGTGCTAGATCAGTAGGACAGAAACATATAACATCCTTATCTAAGCTCCATATATTCCTAACAATCACAAGTAGAGATCTGTGCTTATGGAACATGGACTTTTCTGTCTTGCTAGAAATGTCATTCTCCCCCACTAGGTGGCATTTTCTGAGGCTGCAGTGTGGGTACTTATGGTCTGATAGAGCAGGGTTCTACTTTGCATGCAGTCCTGGTATCTCAGGTCTTTCTATTCTCTTCCCCATTTCTACTTTCATAGATTTCTGTGTAAGAGCTGCAGAAAATGATCAGCTTCCAGGTAAGGTATCCATCTATTCATCCAGTTGTTTAAATCTCCCAAAAATCCATATGATAAAAAGGAAATGTATGGTCAGGAAAAATGTAAACCAAATAAAAGATCAAGTCTAAAAGGAAATTTAGAAGATTGGTAAGTTGATATTCAAGTCATAGGGTTTGCAGATGGTTGGAACAAATTTGAGCTGCAAATGTGTACTCAGTCTTCCTGGAAATCATAGTAAATGGATAACCAGCCAGTTAAAAAGTATTGGCATTGCTGTGAAGATAAAGCAAAATTATTCTCCTTGTAAGTAAAGTTTTTCCTGACACAGTTCTTTGAAGAAAATCTTTTCTAATGAGTTTTCACATAGATAACATTAGAAATAACATTCACAGCAGCAGCCTGCGATAAATACAGCATCAGGTTTCCTATGACTTTCTTAGAGTATTCCCTAGAGTAAGAACATAGTGCCAAGCAGCACTAAATGAACTCAATTTATAAGTCCAGGTATGTGGCCTTTTTAATGCCCACCTGGATCCATAAGTAAATCTTGTACCTTTTCCAGTCTCTAGCTATCCTGAGCATTTACTCTTCTACATGAATTTTAAGGTCATCAAAATAACAAATATTGTCAAGGTTCATAAAGCAGTATGTTAGGTATTCTTTTTTTTTTTTTTTTTTTTGAGACAGTCTTGCTCTGTTGCCTAGGCTGGAGTACAATGGCGTGATCTCAGCTCACTGCAACCTCTACCTCCCAGGTTCAAGCGATTCTCCTGCCTCAACCTCCCAAGTAGCTTGGATTACAGGCATGTGCCACCACGCCCAGCTAATTTTTGTGTTTTTAGTAGAGACGGGGTTTCACCTTGTTGACCAGGCTGGTCTCGAATTCCTGACCTCAAGTGATCTGCCTGCCTCAGCCTTCCAAAGTGCTGGTAGGATTACAGTTGTGAACCACTGCGCCCGGCCAGATATTCTTATTAGGATTGCATTAAACTTAATAGGTTAATTTGGAGAGAATTCATGACTTTTCAATGAGTCCTATTTATTCAGGTTTTCTTATAGGTCTTTTATTATAATTTTTTTTTTTTTTTTTTTTTTGAGACAGAGTTTCACTCTGTTACCCAGGCTGGAGTGCAGTGGCACAATCTTGGCTTACTGCAACCTCCATCTCCTGAGTTCAAGTGATTCTCCTGCCTCAGCTTCCTGAGTAGGTGGGATTACAGGTGCCCGCCACCACGCCCGGCTAATTTTTGTATTTTTAGTAGAGACAGGGTTTCACCATGTTGGTCAGGCTGGTCTCGAACTCCTGACCTCAGGTGATCCACCCATCTCAGCCTCCCAAAGTGCTGGGATTATAGGCATGAGCCACCGCACCCGGCCCTTTTATTATAATTTTATAGGTTTTATAAGTTTCTTATTGTAATTCCTGTACATTTCTTATATTTATTCTTACATATGGTTTTAGTTGCTATTGAGAATGAGGTAGGCCTTTTTTTCATTATCTCTTCTAATTGGCTATTTTGGTAAATAGAAAAATATGGACTTCTCTTGGCTGGGCATGGTGGTTCATGCCTATATTCCCAGCACTTTGGGAGGCTAAGGTGGGAGGATTGCTTGAGGCCAGGAGTTCAAGACCAGCCTGGGCAATATAGCAAGACCCCATCTCTAGAAAAAAAAAATTAATTAGCATGGCATGATGGCACACACCTGTAGTTCCAGCTACTAGGTAGGCTAGGGCAGGAGGATCTGTTGAGCCTAGAAGATCAAGGCTATAGCTAGCTATGGTCACAGCACTGCACTCTAGCCTGGGTGACCCTGTCTCTGAAGAAAAGAAAAGATGGATTTCTCTATGTTGAATTTATATCCAGCCAATGTACAGAACTCTTGTTAGATCTAAGAGTTCTTTAGTTGATTCTTCTATTTCTTAGGTAGACAATCATACATTCCAAATGGAGTTTTATCTCTTCCTGCCCAATATTTATACCTTCCCCCATATTTTCCTTGTCTCATTGCAATGGCCAGGACTTCTAGTCACTGCAGTTTTGAATAAACAGCCATCCTGTGGTATCCATGGGAGACTGGTTGCAGAACTCCTGCAGATCCCCAAATCTGAACATAATGAAGTCCCACAGTACAGTTGGCCCTGTGGAACTTAAGGATAGGAAAAGTTGGCCATCCATATTCATGGGTTTTGCATGGCAAGAATACTGTATTTTTTTTTATCTGCATTTGGTTGTAGATGCAGAACCTGCCAACCAAGGGCCAACTATATTCATTGCAAAAAAATCTGAGTATAAGTGGAACCAGGCAGTTCAAACCTGTGTTGTTCAGGGATTAACTGTAATTGCTAGCCAGAAGTCTTTTTTGTCCTAATTTTAATGGGAGTGCTCCCAGTGTTTCACCGTTTCCTCTTGTATTCTAGTAGATAGTTGTTTTTTTTTTATTTTGTTTTTAATCAAGTTAAGGATTTTTAACTTGCAAAGATTATTTTAATAACTAGGGACTTTTGGCCTCATACCCTTTTTTAAAATAGCTGTCAGTAATATAATATATCTTGCCACCCTTAATATACCAGTTTAGAGAATTTTCAGTGCATTTCCCAGTACTGAACTATCTATACATTCCTGGAATAAACCCTTCCTAGTCCTAACTTTTTCATAAAGGGTGAGATAGTAAATATTTTAGATTTGAAGGTCATACAGCCTCTGTGGCAACTACTCAACTCTGTCCTTGAAGCTGAAGTAAATGAATGAGTGTGACTATGTTTCAATAACATTCTGTTTACAAAAACAGGAGGCCAGTCCATGGGTTACAGTTTCCTAATCCCTGCTGACAATGGTCTTAACTATCTCTTTTGTGGTAGATATGTAACTACTTGTCTTTAATTTCGGTGCTTTTAACATTTATCCATTAAACATGATTTTGGAATTATGGTTAAAAGGACATATTTTAGCCGGGTGCAGTGGCTCACGCCTGTAATCCCAGCACTTTGGGAGGCTGAGGCGGGCAGATCACGAGGTCAGGAGATCGAGACCATCCTGGCTAACATGGTGAAACCCCGTCTCTACTAAAAATACAAAAAAATTAGCCGGGCATGGTGGCGGGCGCCTGTAGTCCCAGCTACTCAGTAGGCTGAGGCAGGAGAATGGCATGAACCCGGGAGGTGGAGCTTGCAGTGAGCCGAGATCGCACCACTGCACTCCAGGCTGGGTGACAGAGCGAGACTCCGTCTCACAAAAAAAAAAAAAAGAAAAAAAAAAGGACATATTTTATCATGTAAAAGTATCCATGTGTTCCTATTTTATTATGCTTACATGCATCTGGCATGTAAACCTTACAGTCTCAGTAACATCTTTTTTTTTTTTTTTATACTTTAAGTTTTAGGGTACATGTGCACAATGTGCAGGTTAGTTACATATGTATACATGTGCCATGCTGGTGCGCTACACCCACTAACTCGTCATCTAGCATTAGGTATATCTCCCAATGCTATCCCTCCCCCCTCCCCCCACCCCACAACAGGCCCCAGAGTGTGATGTTCCCCTTCCTGTGTCCATGTGTTCTCATTGTTCATTTCCCACCTATGAGTGAGAATATGCAGTGTTTGGTTTTTTGTTCTTGCGATAGTTTACTGAGAATGATGATTTCCAATTTCATCCATGTCCCTACAAAGGACATGAACTCATCATTTTTTATGGCTGCATAGTATTCCATGGTGTATATGTGCCACATTTTCTTAATCCAGTCTATCATTGTTGGACATTTGGGTTGGTTCCAAGTCTTTGCTATTGTGAATAATGCCGCAATAAACATACGTGTGCATGTGTCTTTATAGCAGCATGATTTTTATTCCTTTGGGTATATACCCAGTAATGGGATGGCTGGGTCAAATGGTATTTCTAATTCTAGATCCTTGAGGAATCGCCACACTGACTTCCACAATGTTTGAACTAGTTTACAGTCCCACCAACAGTGTAAAAGTGTTCCCATTTCTCCACATCCTCTCCAGCACCTGTTGTTTCCTGACTTTTTAATGATTGCCATTCTAACTGGTGTGAGACAGTCTCAGTAACATCTTATGGCACTTACGTTTACTTTGTAGAGTCTAATAGAGTGTAAGATCCCTGAGAGGAGTAATAATTTTATTTCTTTTGATATCTCCAGTATAGGGTTGGTAGAGCCTCATTAAATATTTTATAAGTGAACAAATAAGAATATGTAAGTGATATTTTTAAATAGCTTTATTGAAATATAATTATCATACCACAAAAGTGACCCAATTAAAGTATATACAGTCAGCCAGGTGCAGTGGCTCATACCTGTAATCCCATCACTTTGGGAGGCCAAGGTGGGCGGATCACTTGAGGTCAGGAGTTAGAGACTATCCTGGCCAACATGGTGAAACTCCGTCTCTACTAAAAGTACAAAAAAAATTAGCCAGGTGTGGTGGTGCATACCTGTAGTCCCAGCTACTCAGGAGGCTGAGGCATGAGAATCACTTGAACCTGAGAGACAGAGGCCACAGTGAGCCAAGATCACACTACTGCACTCCAGCCTGGGCGACAGAGCAAGACTCCGTCTCAAAAAAAAAAAATAACAATTGTATACAATTCAGTGGTTTTTTAGTGTATTCACAGAGTTGTACAGCCATCACCACTATCTAATTTCAGAACATTTTCATCACCCTAAAAGCAATTCCATACCCTAATTAGCAGTCACTACTCATTCCTCCCTTTCCCTAGCACTAATCTACTTTCTCTTTCTATGGCTTTTCTCTTCTGAACATTTCATACAAATGGAACCATGAAATATGTAATCTTTCATGACTGGCTTCTTTCACCCAATACAATAGTTTCCTATTTTTCTTTTTTATTTATTTATTTTTTTGAGGCAGGGTCTCACTGTGTTGTAGCTTCAACCTCCCAGCCTCAAACAGTTCTCCCACCTCAGTCTCCCAAGTAGCTGGGACTACAGGTCCATGCCACCATACCCAGCTAATTTTTTTTTATTTTTGTAGAGACTGAGTCTTGGTATGTTGTCCAGGCTGGTCTCAAACTCCTGGGCTCAAGTGATCTGCCTACCTCAGCCTCCCAAAGTGCTGGGATTACAGGTGAGAGGCATGACACCTGGCCCCATACAGTATTTTCAAGGTTCATCCATGTTGTAGATGTACCAGTGCTTGATTCCTCTTTTATTGCCAAATAATATTCCATCATATGGATATACCACATTTTCTTTATCCATTTATCAGTTCATGGACACCAGATTATTCCACTTTTTTGACTATGAATAACTCTTACTATGAACATTTGTCTGTGGGTTTTTGTGTGGACAAATGTCTTGAATTCTCGTGGGTATATACCTAGGAGGGGATTGCTGGGTTATATGGTTACTCTATGTTTAACACTTGGAGAAGGCTGGGTGCAGTGGCTCATGCCTGTAATCCCAGCACTTTGGGAGGCTGAGGCGGGTGGATCACTTGAGGTCAGGAGTTTGAGAGCAGCCTGGCCAATGTGGTAGAACCCCGTTTCTACTAAAAATACAAAAATCAGTGATGTGCACCTATAATCCCAGTTACTCAGGAGGCTGAGGCAGGAGAATTGCTTGAACCCGGGAGGCCCCACTGCACTCCAGCGTGGGTGACAGAGTGAGACTCCATCTCAAAAAACAAACAAACAAACAAACAAACACTCGGAGGAACTGCTAAACTCTTTTCCATAGTTACATGGAACTGCGTATGGAACTATGGATTACAGGTAGCTCATGCCTGTAATCCCAGCCTTTGGGAGGCTGAAGCAGGAAGATCACTTGAAGCCAGGAGTACAAGAGCAGTCTGGGCAATGTAGTGAGACCCCATCTCTAAAAATATATGTATATATATTTTTTTGAGACAGAGTCTTACTCTGTCACCCAGGCTGGAGTGCAGTGGCGCAATCTCGGCTCACTGCAACCTCCGCCTCTCGGGTTCAAGCAATTCTCCTGCCTCAGCCTCCTGAGTAGCTGAGACTACAGGCGCATGCCACCACACCCGGCTGATTTTTTGTATTTTTAGTAGAGACGGAGTTTCACCATGTTAGCCAGGATGGTCTCGATCTCCTGACTTCGTGATCCACCTGCCTCGGCCTCCCAAAGTGTTGGGATTACAGGCATGAGCCACTGCACCTGGCCTCCAAAAAATATTTTTTTAATTGCCTGGGTGTGGTGGCATGTGCCTGTAGGCCCAGCTACTTGAGAGGCTGAGGTAGGAAGATCGCTTGAGTCCAGGAGTTGGGTGCTACAATGACCCCTGATTGCACCACTCCACTCCATTCCAGCCTGGGTGACACAGCAAGACCCTATATCAAATAAAAGAAAAGAAAAAAGAAAAAACGTCGTTGCTGCACCATTTTGCAATCCCAGTGTACAGGAGTTGAGTAACGTACAAGAGTTTCGGTTTCTCCACATCCTTGCCAACACAGGTCATTGTCTGCGTTTGATTTTAACTGTCCTCATAGAAGTGAAATGCTGTCTCATTATGGTTTCGATTTGCATTTCACTAATGACTAATAATTAATGATTTTGAGAATCTTTTTTCTTTTTATTTTTTTTTCTTTCTTGCTTCAGTTTCAGACCCTAATGTTGAGCATCTTTTCATGGGCTTATTTACTATACACATACCAACACAGATACATAGATACATACATATATCTATGTCTATATCTATATATAGATATATAGATATATCTTTGGAGAAATGTCTCTAAATCCTTTGCCCATTTTTAAATTGTGTTGTCTGTTTATTGTTGATTTTTTTCTCCCCTCCCCCTATTGTTGAATTTTAAGAGTTACTTATATATTCTAGATACAAGCCTCTTATCAGATATATGATTTGCAAATATTTTCTCCCATTCTGTGGATTTTCTTTTCACATTCTTGGCAGTGTCCTATGGAGCACAGAAGTTTTAATTTTGATGAATTCCTATTTATTTTTTATTTTGTCACTTCCACTTTTTCTGTCATATTTCACAAATCACTGCCTAATCCAAGGTCACAAAAAACTTTTTTTCTGTTTTCTTCTAACTGTTTGATAGCTTTGTTTCTTACTTTTAGCTCTCTGGTCCATTTTAGTTCATTTTCTTATATGATGTAAAATGGATGGGGAGTTCAGTGTCATACTTTTGCATGTGGATGTCTAGTGGTCTCAGTACCATTTGTTGAAAAGACTTTTTTTTCCCCTGTTGAACTGTTCTGGCACCAGTTGGATATGTTTAATAAGATTTTTCTTACTATCACAAAGCATATTTCCGAATCAAGCATGTAATCATTATAACTGATTTTCTACAAACTCAACAGTGAACATGATATGATATTAAGGAGCTGCCTTGATTCTCTTGCAAGTTCGCTAGTGATACACACTTTAGTTTGAAGATAAATGTGCTGTTACAGGAATCAGTGACATTCCAGGATGTGGCTGTGGATTTCACTGCAGAGGAGTGGCAGCTGCTTGATTGTGCTGAGAGAACCCTGTATTGGGATGTGATGTTGGAGAACTATAGAAACCTCATCTCAGTGGGTAAGGACAATGAGTGGTAACTTTTCAGTGTAATTCAGTGTATACTAATAGTGCTCATTTTTTAAGACTTGGGAACGTTTGCCAATTGTGGTCGCTCATGCTTATAATCCCAGCACTTTGGGAGGCAGGAGAATTGCTTGAGCCCAGGATTTCAAGACCAGCCTGAGCAACGTTGTGAGACTGTCTCAACAAAATTTAGCTAGGTGTGGTGGTACATGCCTGTTGTCCCAGCTACTTGGGAGGCTGAGGTGGAAGGATCGCTTGAGCCTAGGTGTACCACTGCATTCCAGCCTGGGTGACAGAGTGAGACCCTATCTCAAAAAAAAAAAAAAAAAAAAATCGTATGAAAACTGTGAGCATTCTGAAGCATTAATCAGCTGGGCCCTACATTTTAGTTGTCAAAGATTCTGAGTCCCCTCTGAGCTTCACGTAGTCTGCTTATTCTTCTCCTTCCCAGATGGAGGAGAAGGGTCTGTTCTGTTTTTTTTTTTTTTGGAGGGGGGAAGGAGTCTCGCTCTGTCACCCAGGCTGAAGTGCAGTGGTGCAATCTCGGCTTCACCTCCCAGGTTCACGTCATTCTCCTGCCTCAGCCTCCCGAGTAGCTGAGACTACAGGTGCCTGCTACCACGCCCGGCTAATTTTTTGTATTTTTAGCAGAGACAGGGTCTCACTGTGTTAGCCAGGATGGTCTCGATCTCCTGACCTCATGATCCGCCCGCCTCAGCCTTCCAAAGTGTTCGGATTACAGGCGTGAGCCACCGCGCCCAGCCTGGGTCTGTTCTGTTTTAAAGGCTGCTTGTTATCCTTTAAAAATCCTGAGACTCAAGGAGGTAACCCAAGTTGTGAGCTGGTTGTTTGCCTAGCACTTTGGCCCCACTTCTATGCTGTTTTCCCACCAACAGGATGTCCAATTACCAAAACAAAAGTGATCCTCAAGGTAGAGCAAGGACAAGAGCCATGGATGGTGGAGGGAGCGAATCCACACGAGAGCTCTCCAGGTGAGTGAGAGAAATTCAGATGGGGCTGTGTGGAGTTGAGATCCCCATTGGTCAGTGAGGGACAGGAAGTTCTGAAATACTCTTAGAAGCACCTCTTAAAAGCCACACACCTTTAACATAACATCATCAGCCAGCTCCCCAAAAGCTGCCTTCACCCTCATTCTCCCCACACGTGCCCTTTCTCTTTGCTCAGCTGTTGTATGGAGGGTTGTCCCTCTCCTGTCTCCTCAGGCTTCTCACACTGCCTGTTTCATCTAGGTCCTTGCTTTGTTTATGTTCTCTTAATTCCTAAAACCCTCATTATTCTTCCCTTCTCAACATCGATCTTTTTCTATATACGTAGTCCTTATAATGAAGTTAAATTATCTGAATTTGAGGCGTTACTCTACCAATCACTGTCTAACCTTAAGCAGATTATTTTGTAGCATAATTTTCTTTATTTATAAAATAGGAACATTAATCCTTACCTCAGGTTTCCTGTAAAGATTATATGAGGTAATACATGCAAAACACTTCAAATAGTTGGCAGATAGTAAATGTTCAGTATATGCTAATTATTTTTTTCAAAACTTTTAGGTACATCATGTTCTATTTTATTTTCCTTTTGTTTTTTCTTTAACTTATTCCTTTTCTTGCATCATAAATCCCATCTTGCATCTTTCTTCTCCCTGATAATTTGGGATATGTCTTGTAGCGCAACTTTCTGTTTCACTTGGTAATATTGATAACTTTTTGAAATTCCCCTCCAGCTTTTTGTTGTCTTACTAATCTGTTCTCACCCTTTCTTACTGCTTATTCACCTTTTGCTCAGGCCTTCTCTTCCATCTTCTTGACTTCTCTCTACAATAACTCCCTCAGAAGCCTCATCACTCTGAAAACTAAAGTTACTTGTTTTATGCCAACTCTAGCATCTTTGCCTCACCAACTTTTCATTCCCATAATTTTACTCTACCTGGCCTTCATGGTAACTAATTTTTTTATTTCTTCAATTGTCACCCTTAGCTTTATATCACAATAAATAATAATGAATGGCCCCCTGCTTTGCAGTCTCAAAACCACTGCATTAAGCAATTTGATTTTTTTCCTGTCAATAGTTTCTCCTTAAATATGATACTAACTTATGGCCTATGATTTCAGCGATTAGTTTATTCAAGACTGATTCAAAATTAAATTTTCCCTTTCTGCAGAGTTCACAAAAGAACTCTTTCAAATGATTGACATATCTTTCAAATGATTGACACCAATTAAATATATTTCAGATTCCCTGGGACCCCAACTTCTGTTGACATAAACCAAATGACTTTTTTTTTAGAGACAGGGTCTTACTCCATCACCCAGGCTGGAGTGCAGTGATGCCATCATAGCTCACTGCAGCCTTGAACTCCTGGCCTCAAGCAAGTCTCCTGCCTCAGCTTCCCAAGCAGCTGGGACCACAGGCACATGCCACAGTCCTCAGCTGAATTTTAATTACTGATATTGTATCTAGACTGTTTATGTTACTGTTTTACAAATTACATTCTATTTTCTAGTTTACATTAGATATTTCTACAAGATTTATCCAAATTATTCTATTTCTGTTGTTGCTCTCCTGAAAAATGTAAATTATCCCCTTTATAACCTGTGTTGTGATATTTAAATGGCTTTTAATGTCCTCTATAACATGGTCCCATTTTACTTACCCAGAATTATCCATCTTTTTTTTATTCCATGGAAATTGGCCTTTTTAATGTCCACTATATACAGTTTTCTTTTTTTTTTTTTTTCGAGACAGAGTCTTGCTCTGTTGCCCAGGCTGGAGTGCAGTTGCGAGATCTGGGCTCACTGCAAGCTCCGCCTCCCGGGTTCACGCCATTCTCCTGCCTCAGCCTCCCGAGTAGCTGGGACTACAGGTGCCCACCACCACACCCAGCTAATTTTTGGTACTTTTAGTAGAGACGGGGTTTCACCACGTTAGCCAGGATGGTCTCGGTCTCCTGACCTCATGATCCTCCCGCCTTGGCCTCCCAAAGTGCTGGGATTACAGGCGTGAGCCACCTCGCCCAGCTTATATACCGTTTTCTTCTCTGCATCAATCCTTCTGATTCTGGTCTGTTCCTAAAACCAGCATTTTCTTAAGTCTGATTTCAGCTTTTCCTCTTTCATTGTAACTCCAGTCTAAATTAATCTTCACTTTCTTTGAACTCCCAAGCCAATTCTATTATGACTCTGTCATGAAAAATTTACATATACTGTCTTGGATATATTTTTTTAATGCATGTGGCTTTTAAGGCCTGTTTTCTTTTTCTTTTTTTTTTTATGATAGTGCCTGAAGAGAATGACCTGTTTTATGCAGAGCACATCATGGTATCCAATGAATATTTTATTAATTTATTGTTATAGAGCCAGACATTGTGGGGGATGTTTCTTTTTTTATTTTTCTTTTTTTTCAGTATCCCTGTCATAGCAATGTGGGAGATGTTTCTTATTCTTCCATTCAACAAGGCTTTTAAAAATGTTACCTGAAAAGGTTCAAAGGAAGCAAAAATCTCATTACCATTTTCTAACTTATGAAAGGTAGTTGGAACAGCAAAACATGTTCATATTAAAATATTTTCCCTGGTGGTTTAGTGGTTAGGAAAACAATATATAAATAAAAAGTAAAAGTTTTGTTTTCTTGTTGTTGTTTGTTTGTCTTTTTTTGAGACAGAGTCTCGCTCTGTCGCCAGGCTGGAGTGCAGTGGCGCAATCTCAGCTCGGGTTCAAGTGATTCTCCTACCTCAGCCTCCCGAAGAGCTGGAACTACAGGCGCCCGCCACCATGCCTGGCTAATTTTTGTATTTTTAGTAGAGACACGGTTTCACCATGTTGGCCAGGATGGTCTTGATCTCTTGACCTTGTGAGCCACCCGCCTTGGCCTCCCAAAGTGCTGGGATTACAGGTGTGAGCCACCGTGCCTGGCCCAAAAATAAAGTATTTTAAAATTCAACAAACGAGTATGAAACATTTCTTCAATGCACATTAACATTGCAGTTTTGTTCTAATTAACTGTCAAAATGACAGACAGCAGCAGTGACTATCTTAGAAATTCATAGAAAATGGAGCTTAAAGTTTAAAGTATGCAAAATTTGGAGAAGTCTTTTTTTTGAGGTCATGGAACAGTGGTTCCTCCCTAAAGAGTATCTAAGTTCTAGATAGGACGAGAGGAGATAAGGGGGGGTGCAAATGAAGGTGGACAACGAACATGAGCAAAAGATTGAATTTAGGAATCTAGAATCCATGGAGTAGAAGGTATTTGTTGAGGACTAGTGAAATGCATGCTTCCCATGAGTGAATTCATATCTTGCATAATTTTGTTTGCCAGGCTGATTATGTTGAATTTTTCAGTGGATTATTGTTGGTAGAGGTAATGCAAGATGCTGCTTCCCATCGGTTGAAATAGAGCGGAAAGAAGAAAGGAACCAAATCCCCAGAGTCAGAACCACTCTATAAAGAAATGTGTACCAATGGCTGTAGCCCACTACTCAGTCTAGCTCCGCAGAGAATAAGGCATAGAGAAAGAGGCTTGGAGTATTGTACTAACACTCCACATGGAGGAAAACTTAAGCGTGGGGAATTATGACCCCCTCTCCCCAATTTTTTTTTGATGGGAACAGATTTGGGATTTATAGTGTTTTGAGGATAGTGAAAAAATGTGAATTCAAGAGCAAAGCAGCTTGCTGAAGACTGGTTTGTTAGATTGAAAGAGGATGTAAAAAGAGTATTTGCCAAATAGAAGTATGACAGGTATTTTTCATATATAGAAACTCAGCCAGAATAAAAAAATAATAGCAAATAGACAGAATCTGTTTGCTGTTATTATCCCAAGCTAAGGATGACTTACGCTTGGATGACTTGCTGGACATTTGTGTTCCTGGGCTTACAAGTACAGGTACAAATGAATTCTAGCTCTCAGTAGAGCTGGAGCCATGACTACAGACATGCTTCAGCTGTGGTTTGCTTGGGGTTAGAGGACTGGAGATTTGAGAATGTTTCTAAAGGAAACTGATACTGTGCAGAATGATTAAGAGGAAAAAGGCACAAGTGAGAGAAATAGGGAATTATCCTACCAATGTTGTCTAGAAATTAATTATGTAGTGATTTATATAACTCTGCCTGTTACCACCTCCTCCAAACCTAGTCTGTTCTCTGATATTTTCCCTTAATCCCTTTGCCTTTGTCTCCTTTTCTTTTTTTTTTTTTTTTTTTTTTTTTGGAGATGGAGTCTCGCTCCATCACCAGGCTGGAGTACAATGGCGTGATCTCGGCTCACCACAACCTCCACCTCCCAGGTTCAAGCAATTCTCCTGCCACAGCCTCCTGAGTAGCTGGGACTACAGGCATGTGCCACCACACCCGGCTAATTTTTGCATTTTTAGTAGAGACCAGGTTTCACCATGTTGGCCAGGATAGTCTTGATCTCTTGACCTCATGATCTGCCCGCCTCGGCCTGCCAAAGTGCTGGGGTTACAGGCGTGAGCCGCCATGCCTGGCCTATCTCCTGTGTGTTTGGTTGTCCTATCCATTAATCAGATCTCCACAATGGGTCTTCTTCATTTTATGAGCTAACCCTGCACCCTCGTTGAGCAGCCTTTTGACTTCCTTCGTACCCTCACTCTACCTTGTGCCTAATTTACTGTCTTTCCACAGGTCACAAGTTAAGGCATCTGCTCCCATTCCCTCTTCAGCAGTTTTATTCTTAAAGCTCAGGAGGAGTGAGGCAAATATAAGATTTCTTTCAGAATGAGATACTGTATTTGAAATTATAGACGTTTTTCTCTATAGCATGTTGATGGGAAAAAGTAACTAGGAATGTTTTGTTGTACTCCTTTTTAGAATCTGACTACCCACTTGTTGATGAACCAGGGAAGCATCGGGAAAGCAAAGACAATTTTTTGAAGTCAGTTTTGCTCACATTCAATAAAATTCTGACTATGGAGAGAATCCACCATTATAATATGAGCACAAGTCTTAATCCAATGAGAAAAAAATCATATAAATCGTTTGAGAAGTGTTTGCCACCTAATTTAGACTTACTTAAATATAATAGAAGTTATACTGTAGAAAACGCTTATGAATGCAGTGAATGCGGGAAAGCCTTCAAAAAGAAGTTTCATTTCATTAGACATGAAAAAAATCATACAAGGAAAAAACCTTTTGAATGCAATGACTGTGGAAAAGCCTATAGCAGGAAGGCACACCTTGCAACTCATCAGAAAATTCATAATGGAGAGAGACCCTTTGTGTGCAATGATTGTGGGAAGGCGTTTATGCATAAAGCCCAACTCGTGGTCCACCAGAGACTTCACACTGGAGAGAAGCCTTATGAGTGCAGTCAATGTGGGAAAACATTCACTTGGAACTCCTCATTTAATCAACACGTGAAATCTCATACACTTGAGAAGTCATTTGAATGTAAGGAATGTGGGAAAACCTTCAGGTATAGTTCATCCCTTTATAAACATTCCAGATTTCATACAGGAGAGAAACCCTACCAGTGTATCATATGTGGCAAAGCTTTTGGCAACACATCCGTGCTTGTTACACACCAAAGAATTCATACAGGAGAGAAACCTTACAGTTGTATTGAATGTGGCAAAGCCTTCATCAAGAAGTCCCATCTCCTCAGACATCAGATAACTCATACAGGAGAGAAGCCCTATGAATGTAACAGATGTGGGAAAGCATTTTCCCAGAAGTCAAATCTTATTGTACATCAGAAAATTCATACATAATATTCACTTTATGAATATGAGAAGGCCTTATTAAATATTTGCTAAATCTTATTAAATACTAAAGAATTCATGGTGAGAAGTCTACAATTTAAATGAATTTGGAAGAGTAGATTCCCATAAAAAACAACCAATGCCAATCATGTTCTGGAAGTGATAATAAACTTTTTACAGAAAATATGACAGAAAACAACTATAAATAATAGAGCATAAAGCTTGGAAAGTAAGCATAACTTAAAAAATCAAAGAACCAGTGAAAACTACATTTGCCATTCCTGACTTTTAATTTTTATAATAAAATAATTATGCAAGTGTGAGTTTAAAATATATGCTTATACATTATATTAAAGTATGCCTATTAACAGTTTCTGCAGTAAATAACATTTTTTCTTCCAGTCTCAACATACATAATTAATCAAGTGAGAAAATGTGTTTTAATATGTCATATGAATTTCAGTGATATTTTCATCCATTTGCTGGCACTTTTAATGGGCATGACAGTGTTTCTGAATCTGAGTCTCCTTTAATTATACAAGTGAAGACTTCTTATTAAAATTAATATAAAGATATTTTCCTATGTATGTAAATACCAGAACAAAAAACAAGACACTAATTGAGGAGAGAAAGGCACTTGTATTCTGTATTACAGTAAGTATTCAGTTGAGGAAAAGAATTATTTAAATATGTAAATAAATAATTTGCACTTCAAATATTTCTGTTTTGCTTTTTCATTGATATATCTACGTAAGCTGTAAGGATAGCTTAAGTGGTTTTGTGTTTTTTGTTTTTCTTTTTTTTTGAGACAGAGTCTCACTCTTCCCCGCAGGCTGGAGTGCAGTGGTGTGATCTCGGCTCACTGCAACCTCTGTTGCCTGGGTTCAAGCGATTCTCCTGCTTCAGCCTCCTGAGTGGCTGGGACTACAGGCGCATGCCACCACACCTGGCTAATTTTTGTATTTTTAGTAGAGACAGGGTTTTGCTATGTTGGCCAGGATGGTCTCGAACTCCTGACTTCGTGATCTGCCCACCTCGGCCTCCCGAAGTGCTGGGATTATAGGCGTGAGCCACTGCGTCCGGCCAGCTTAAGTGGCATTTAACTGGGGCATCATCTGTATTTTATTTTAATTAAGTAGGGTCTCATGATACTTTGCAACTTTTGGGGAGAGAGTTTTGGGGATTTTGTTGTTTTGTTTGTTTGTTTGAGGCGGAGTCTCACTCTGTCACCCAGGCTGGAGTGCAGTGGCGCAATCTTGGCTTACTGCAAGCTCCGCCTCCTGGGTGCACGCCATTCTCCTGCCTCAGCCTCCCGAATATCTGGAACTACAGGCGCCTGCCACCAGGCCTGGCTAATTTTTTTTTTTTTTTTTTTGTATTTTTAGTAGAGACGGGGTTTCACCACGTTAGCCAGGATGGTCTCGATCTCTTGACCTCGTGATCCTCCTGCCTCAGTCTCCCAAAGTGCTGGGATTACAGGCGTGAGCCACCATGCCCGGCCTGTTTTTGTATTTTTAGTAGAGATGGGGTTTCACCATGTTAGCCAGGATGGTCTCGATCTCCTGACCTCGTGATCTGCCCACCTCGGCCTCCCAAAGTGCTGGGATTACAGGCGTGAGCCACCATGCCTGGCCTTTTGTTGTTTTATAGAGACAAGGTCTCACCCTGTTCCTGAGTCTTGAGTGCAATGGCACAATCATAGCTCACCGTAACCTTGAACTCCTGGGTTTAAGCATTCCTCCTACCTCAGCCTCTTAAGTAGCGAAGACGACAGGTGCAAGCCACCACACCTGGCTAATTTTTTATTTTTTGTAGAGAAGGTGTCTCACTATGTTGCCTAGGCTGGTCTTGAACTCCTGGCCTCTAGTGATCCCCCTGCCTCTCATCCCCCTTCAGCCTCCCAAAGCACTGGGATTACAGGGATTTTTTTTTTTTTTTTTTTTTGAGAAGTCAAAACATGTTTAGCCCCGAAGATGCCTGGAATTTTCCGTATGAACAGCATAGGCATCATTAATGAAGATGAAAACTTGTTAGAAAAGAGCAAGTTTTTCTGCTTAGCAACTTTGGAATATGACATTTTGTAAGTTCTACATATTCCCTTCAAGGATTAATTAGCCATTATTTAAAGTTTTCTTGCTGTCCACAGTATTCCTTGGTAATGCCAAAAAACTTATATGTCTTTCTTGAGTGGTGACAAAACTTAGACTTGAACCTAAATTCAGAAATCAAGCCTTTTAAGTTTAAGCTCAGTTACAATTATGTTGCATTGTTTTCTTTCATTAGCCATTTTTTGAAAGAGTAGTGTTGGGTAATAACCATAAACGATAGTGCTTTTTTGAATAAGCATACTGGGACTTTAAAGACCTAAATTAAATCTTGTCTTTCTAAGTTATTTTAGGAGGCTATATGCTAATTTCACTTATGAGGTCATTCCAAAATTTCTGGAACCTTCTTTTCATGGAGTTGTCTTCAAAATCAGTATGCCATCCACACAGGAAAATCTTGGTATTTATAGTCGCAGTACTTGCCTTTTTTCAGCTCAGGAGTTTTCTGTCATTTCCTACATGAAGTCCTCACTTCAGCCTATGTAGTGCTTACCATTTCCATTCTCTCTCCTTCCCCGGCCTGTAACCCTCATCTGAGAAACTCCAAACTACACAGATAAAGGAAGAGAGATAGGGGGCAGGAGGCTCCACTGTTGCTGCATGGTATGAGATGCCCCTGAAAGAGCAGCTATGTAGGTCAAGGTGGCAAGAAGTGTGCAATAGTCTGCTCCAGCTTACCGGAAATAAAATATAGCCAGGACATTTAAATTGTAATATATCAGGATGTATCTGGTTTCATAATTTTGTTTGCTCCCATACAAATGAATTCTACCTAGAAATCGAGTGGGATAATTTTCTGCAAATATGCCTTAGCTGTACTTTGGATGGAGTCAGAGGCTGAGGCTATGAGAAGGTGCCTATAATAAGAGGGAGTTAGTGGCTGACAATTTGCTTGGTGGTTGTGTGCAAGATAAGTAAGAGGGGAAAGACCAGTGTATGAAGGAGACTAAGGAAAATCCTAACAGGACAATTTAATATTTGGAAATTGTGAACCTTGACTCTGATCGAACTCCAAACCAATTCACCTCCTCTCATTTCCCCATCATGCCTTTATCTCCTTGTTCTGATTACCCTCCTCATTCATTCTTCTGAGATGGCTTACCCGATTCTCAGAGTTCACCCCGCATCCTTGTTAAAAATCTTTTAAAAATTCTTTTGTCATCATTATAACTTTGTATCTATTTCACCATCTTTCACAGGTTGGAAAGTATTGTTTCTAACTTTAAAAAAGCTATGTGATGGGGCATAATAGTTCATGCCTGTGATAGTGGTACTTAGGGAGGCCGAGGCGGGAGGATCACTTGAGCCCTGGAGTTTGAGACAACCCTGGGCAACATAGTGAGACCCCCATCTCTATAAAGGGGAAAAAAATGAGCCAGCTTTGTGCACACCTCTAGTCCCCCCAGGAGGATAGGGGGCGACTGAGGTGAGAGGATTGCTTGAGCCTGGGAGGTCGAGGCTGCAGTGAGCCATATTTGCGCCACTGCACTCCAGCCTGGGTGACAGAGCAAGATTGTCTGAAAAAAAAAAAAGCTACTTGTTTTCAATTATTGTCAGTTTTCCAGACCCCTATTTTAGCAGTATTTTCTTAAAGCTCAGGGGCAAGGCAAATGCAGGATTCTGTTTTGTTTTGTTGTCCAGAATGGGAATGACAATTATCATCTATAGGGTAGGTGGTAATGAGATGGAAGAGATATTTTGACCTTTTGTTTTGTTGTCCAGACCTGAAACCAGAAACTGTAAGTGTTAAAAAAAAAAAAAAAAATGAAGTGTACCCTATCAAAATGTTAAATGTACAGTACACTATTGTTTACTAGATGCACTTCATTGTAGAGCAGATCTCTAGAACTTTTTCATCTTGTATGACTGAAACTGAGTACCCATTGAACAATTCCCCATTTCTAACCCCTCCAGCTCCTGGCAACCACCATTTTACTTAACTGATTCTGTAAGTTTGACTACTTTAGATAATACATATAAGTGGAATCATGCAGTATTTGTCCTTTCATGACTGGTTTATTTCACTTGGCCTATTTTTTTTTTTTTTTTTTGAGACGGGGTCTCACTGTGTCACCCAGGTTGGAGTGCAGTGGCGCGATCACAGCTCACTGCAGCTTGAACTCCTGGGCTCAAGTAATCCTCCCTCCTCAGCTTCTTGAGTAGCTGGAATCATAGCTGCATGTCACTATGCCTGGCTTAAAAAAGTTTTGTTTTGTTTTGTTTTGTTTTTGGTACAGACTGGGTCTTGTTTTGTTGCCCAGGCTGGTCTCAAACTCCTGGCTTCAAGTGATCCTCCTGCCTCGGCCTCCTGAGGTTCTGGGATTGTAAGTGTGAGCCACCCTGTCCAGCTGACTTACCCTAATTCTTAAGGATCATTCACATTGTAGCTTATGACAGAATTTCCTTCTTTTTTAAGGCTGAATTATTCCATTGTATTTATATCCCACATTGTCTTTATTCAACCATTGATGGACATTTAGGTTGTTTGCAATTCTTGGCTATTGTGAATAATGCTACTATGAACACGGGACAGCAACTATCCCTTTGGGATCCTGTTTTCAATTCTTTTGGATAAATACCCAGAAGTGGGATTGCTGCATCTTATGGTAGCTCTATTTTTAATTATTTGAGAAGCCTTCATATTGTTTTCCATAGCAGCTTGACCATTTTACATTCCCACCTTAGCGTTCAAGGGTTCCAATTTCTCCACATCCTTGCCAACACTCGTTATTTCTTGTTTTCGTAAGTGATATTACTGATTTTATTGAAAAGATTACAGAAAATTTTGAGTTATAAGTAGACAATTTTAATGTAGAGTATAAAGCTTAGGAAATTGTGAGGAATTGAATATGAGGCTTCAGATGGACTATAATTACATGTATGCACTGCCCCGATTTTTTTATACAAATTATAGAAATATCTGCATTGCTTCAAAATTTATATAACTATAGGTTTGAAATATGTCATGTACTTTATACAAAATTTTATCTATTATGATAATGGTTGTACAACATCATGACTGTACTTAGTGCCAGTGAATGATACACTTAAAAATGGTTAAAATCTTAAATCTTATTTACATTTTACCACAATTTTTTAAAATGCTCCCAAAATTGTGTCTATTAAAAGTTTCTGGCCAGGTGTGGTGGCTCACCTGAGGTCAAGAATTTGAGACCAGCCTGGCCAACATGGTGAAACCCCGTCTCTACTAAAAATACAAAAATTAGCCGGGCGTGATGGTGGGTGCCTGTAGTCCCAGCTACTCAGGAGGCTGAGGCAGGAGAATTGCTGGAACCTGGAAGATGGAAGTTGCAGTGGGCCGATATCATGCCACTGCATTCCAGCCTGGGGGACAGAGTGAGACTCCATCTCAAAAAAAAAAAAAAAAAAAAAAAGAGTCTCTGGTAAACACCTTGTCTCTTCAAATCCTAAAAACCACCATTTGCATAATTGCTGATTGTAAGTGAAATAATATGATTTATTATCTAGTATGAAGTTCATTTCTATGAACTTCATTTCTGACCATTTCCTGGTGCCAGTCAATAGATGTGGCAGTTGTTACTGAGCATTCTCGAACCTCCTTTTAGATAAAAGAAGTCAGGGACAGTCACGTAGTCTTCTACTGCCTCTGGCTCAGCTGAGAGCATTGTAATATGTTTTCTTCCCCATGCAAACCACAAACGGGGTGTGTGTGTATGTACTTGTGCATATAGATATATTTAATCCTGATTAACAAGATACTGAAGAAAGAAAGCAGCTGTGTTCTGTATTACTTTAAGCATTTAGTACAGGAAAAGAGGCATTTCTGCAGGTAAATAGATTTATAAATATAACTCATCCTGTTTCACTGCCGTAGCTACATATGTAGGAGTAAACCTACAGGAGGTCAAGCAGCATGTAACTAGGGAACTCCTATATTTAGTTGAGAAAAATTAATCATGATACTTCGCAGAGACTTCTGGAAGAAAATTAATTAGCATTATATTCTAAAGGAATTTAGGATGGGGGAATGAATAGGTCTTTGCATCAACATACGTGCTATGATTGAAAGGCAAATAAAAACTAGTTAGGGCTTGGTGACTCTTCTTCCCTAATAAGGGAAATGTTCATGATATTTTAATTGAAAAATATTTAAAAAGTTACAGAGAATATCCCAATTTAAAAAAGTTTTATATACATATGTGTTCCAAAATGTAAATAGTAGTAACTTTTGGGTGATGTGATTATGTATTTTGTACTTTTTCTACATCTTCTCTAATTATATATAATATTTACTTTTTTTTTTTTTTTTTTTTTGAGACAGGGTCTCACTCTATTGCCTAGGCTGGAGAGCAGAGGTGCAAATAGGGCTCACTGCAGCTGGAGAGCAGAGGTGCAAATAGGGCTCACTGCAGCTGGAGAGCAGAGGTGCAAATAGGGCTCACTGCAGGCTGGACCTCCCTGGGCTCAGGTGATCCTCCCACTTCAGTCTGCTGAGTAGCTGGGACTACAGGCACACACCACCATGCCCAGTTAATTTTTGTATTTTTTGGTAGAGAGGGGGTTTCACCATGTTGCCCAGGCTAGTCTCGAACTCCTGGGCTCAAGGGATCTGCCCACCTCAGCCTTCCAAAATGCCAGGATTACAAGTGTGAACCACTGTGCCTGGCCTTAGCACTTTTCTTATCAGAAAATAAAAATTTTATATATATATAGAGAGAGAGAGAGAGAGCAAATGAAATGTTATTCCCTTTGCAGTGGTGGGAGGTGTACTTGAAATGTTTGTTGTTTTCTTTTTCCTTTTTTTTTTTTTTTTTTGAGATAAAGTTTCACTCTTGTCGCCCAGCCTGGAGTGCAATGGCGCCATCTCAACTCACTGCAACCTCTGCCTCCCAGGTTCAAGTGATTCTCCTGCCTCAGCCTCCCGAGTAGCTGGGATTACAGGCATGCGCTACCATGCCTGGCTAATTTTTGTATTTTTAGTAGAGACGGGGTTTCCCCATGTTGGCCAGGCTGGTCTCGAACTCCTGACCTCAGGTGACCCACCCACCTCAGCCTTCCAAAGTGTTGGGATTGCAGGTGTGAGCCGCTGCACCCGGCCGAAATGTTTGTTGTTTACATCAAATTTTATTTTATTTTTCTTTTTTTTGAGATGGAGTTTTACTCTTGTTGCCCAGGCTGGAGTGCAATGCCGTGGTCTTGGCTCACTGCAACCTCCGTCTCCTGGGTTCAAGCAATTCTCCTGCCTCAGTCTCCCGACTAGCTGGGATTACAGGGGCCTGCTACCATGCCCGACTAGTTTTTGTATTTTTAGTAGAGACGAGGTTTCACCATGTTGGCAAGGCTGGTCTTGAACTCCTGACCTCAGGTGATCCGCCTCCTTGGCCTCCCAAAGTGCTGGGATTACAGCCGTGAGCCACCGCGTCCGGCCCAAATTTCCTTTCCATGGATGAATGGTGATGATAACAACCATCCACAGCCTAGGAAAAAAGTCATAATTTAAGTATTCTAGCCTAGAAATACAAGCTGTCAAACTATTGGGCAAGATAAGAGGCTTACAGTTGCTGATGCAATTATTATATAAAAAGAATATGCAGCAGTCAGAGAAAATCTTTAGCCAAGTGAATAGATAATACAACTATACTGCACACACATTCTAGAAGAGAAGAATATGGAGAAGAACCAGAGATCATACTTTCTATATGTAAAATCAAGTAGATCGTAGGCTTAGAGGTTTCATTTATATCAGCAACTAATTTACGTGTGTCTGTATTATTCAATGTAGGATCATTATAGATATGAGGTATTTTAACACTGCAGATGATTTTTCAGTATGGTCTGAGGTGGTATAGTCATACATGCACTTGATCTTGCTTCTTTTCTCATAGCTAAAATAAACTCTAGGGTTGGGCATTAAAAACTATGGTTTTAAGCATTTAAACAGTAAGAAGTTTCTATTCTATTTAGAAATAAATTTTACAAAATAACAATGTAACTGGTATGGTTATTCATTATTAACTAAGAACAAAGCCAATTTTATGTGTGTACCTGAGTAAATTTGTAAAGCAAACTCCTTAGCAAAATATTGTCAAGCTCCCTATATTCAAACTAAGTCAAAATGCTAAAAGTCTCTGTATTTTGGAGACCAACTTAAATACGTTCATTTTCACAACCAGTTCCCAAAAACTTGTCTTAATTAAGGATTGAAAATGATTGCTACTATGTGAACATATCTAATTACTGGGAATTTACTCTGATCAGCTTTGGTTCTTAAGTTGCTATGTCTCTAGATTTAGTAATTTTGCATTAATTCACTGTACTGCAATGAATGGGTTTGTGATGATTCAGGTACAAGATTGAGAGAGTGGATAGCTATTCAGAATTTATGTTTTTTTGTTTGTTTGTTTGTTTTTTTGAGACAGAGTCTCGCTCTGTCGCTCAGGTTGGAGTGCAGTGGTGCAATCTTGGCTCACTGCACCTCCGCCTCCCAGATTCCAGAGATTCTCCTGCCTCAGCCTCCTGAGTAGCTGGGATTACAGGTGCGTGCCACCACGCCTCGCTAATTTTCGTATTTTTAGTAGAGACAGGGTTTCACCATGTTGGCCAGGCTAGTCTCAAACTCCTGACCTTGTGATCCGCCCACTTCAGCCTCCCAAGGTGTTGGGATTACAGGTGTGAGGCACCGTGTCCAGCCTAGAATATATGTTTTAAATCTGCCTTTAAGTAACATATAATATAGTTTTAAAAAACAAGGGTTACAATTATTACAGACTAAACATTCATTATGCTGATGCGTGAATTTCAAGACTGAAAAACCACTAGTAAATTATTTCAAAGCTTTACAAAAGACAGTGAATTTTACTCTGTGACATCTCACAATGCAACTTACTTTTTCTTCTTAGAACCATAATAAATACAAATAACCATACTCAAAGATCTAGCACATCCTTATTCATATGTTTTATAGCGCAATAACCGGGAAGGAAAGTACTGGCTTTTAAGTAATCCTATAAAACAATTTCAGTTGATAAAACACCTGCCTACTTATTGGCAAAACTACCAGTTCTTATGAAGGGTATTTTAATGCTCAGCTGCTCTATTGAGGTGTGAATGCAGCTAAGTTTGCACTTGTTAGTCTATAAGATGGTCCAAGCATCTACAAATTGCCTTGAAAATACGAATGATATCTTCTGGATCAAATGAAAACTTTACATTTTGTGAAAATGAGGATCAAAAGACTGTCAGTAAAATTTATTAGAAAGGTTTTGGGCCAGGCGCGGTGGTTCATGCCTGTAATCTCAGCATTTTGGGAGGCTGAGGCTGGAGGACTGTCTGAGCCCAGGAGTTCGAGACCAGCCTGGGCAACACGGGGAGACCCTGTCTCTACAAAAAACAAAAAAAATCAGCTGGGCATGGTGGTATGCACCTGTGGTCCCAGCTACTCAGGAGGCTGAGGTAGGAGGATTGCTTGAGCCCAGGAGGTTGAGACTACAGTGAGCCATGATCACACCACTGCACTCCAGTCTGGGCCACAAAGCGCGAGACCCTGCCTCCAGAACAAAAAAAAAAAAAAAAAAAAAAAAAAACGAAAACGGATCCCAAACTCCTAAGCAACACATATGGTTATTGTCTTTAAAAATTAATGCATGTGGCCGGGTGTGGTGGCTCATGCCTGTAATCCCAGCACTTTGGGAGATAGAGGCAGGTGGATCACCTGAGATCAGAAGTTCAAGACCAGCCTGACCAACATGGAGAAACCCTGTGTCTGCTAAAACTACAAACTTAGCAGGCATGGTGGTGCATGCCTATAACCAGCTACTCAGGAGGCTGAGGCAGGAGAATTGCTTGAACCTAGGAGATGGAGATTGCAGTGAGCTGAGACCGCGCTATTGCACTCCAGCTGTGTCCGGAATTGATGGGTTCTTGGTCTCACTGACTTTAAGAATGAAGCCGCAGACCCTCGCGATGAGTGTTAAAGATGGTGTGTCCGGAGTTTGTTCCTTCTGATGTTCAAACACGTTCGGAGTTTCTTTTTTCTGATGGGTTCATGGTCTCACAGGCTTCAAGAGTGAAGCTGCAGACCTTCACAGTGAGTGTGACAGCTCTTAAGGCAGCGCGTCCGGAGTTGTTCATTCCTCCTGTTGGAGTCGGCGTCTCGCTAACCTCAGGAGAGAAGCAGCAGACCTTCGTGGTGAGTGTTACAGCTCATAAAGGCACTGTGGAGCCAAAGAGTGTGCAGCAGCAAGATTTATTGCAAACAGCAAAAGAACAAAGCATCCACAAGGTGGAATGGAATGCCAGTGAGCTGCCACTGCTGGCTCTGGCAGCCTGCTTTTATTCCCTTATCTGGCCCCACCCACATCCTGCTGATTGGTCCATTTTATAGAGAGCTGATTGGTCTGTTTTACAGAGAGCTGATTGGTCCATTTTGACAGGGTCTGTTTTGATTGGTCTGTTTTACAGAGAGCTGATTGATGCATTTACAATCCCTGAGCTAGACACAAAAGTTCTCCAAGTTCCCACTAGATTAGCTAGACACAGAGCACTGATTGGTGTGTTTACAAACCTTGAGCTAGACACAGGGTGCTGACTGGTGTGTTTACAAACCTTGAGCTAGACACAGAGTGCTGATTGGTGTATTTACAATTCCTTAGCTAGACATAAAGGTTCTCCAAGTCCCCACCAGATTAGCTAGACACAGAGCACTGATTGGTGCATTTACAAACCTTAAGCTAGACACAGGGTGCTGATTGGTGTGTTTACAAACCTTGAGCTAGACACAGAGTGCTGACTGGTGTATTTACAATCCCTTAGCTAGACATAAAGGTTCTCCAAGTCCCCACCAGATTAGCTAGACACAGGGCACTGATTGGTGCGTTTACAAACCTTGAGCTAGATACAGGGTGCTGATTGGTGTGTTTACATACCTTGAGCTAGACTCAGAGTGCTGATTGGTGTGTTTACAAACCTTGAGCTAGACTCAGAGTGCTGAGTGGTGTATTTACAATCCCTTAGCTGGACATAAAGGTTCTCCAAGTCCCCACCAGATTAGCTAGATACAGAGTGCTGATTGGTGCATTTACAAACCTTAAGCTACACACAGAGTGCTGATTGGTGTATTTGCAATCCTTTAGCTAGACATAAAGGTTCTCCAAGTCCCCACTAGATTAGCTAGACACAAAGCACTGTTTGGTGCATTTACAAACCTTAAGCTAGACACAGGGTGCTGATTGGTGTGTATACAGCCCTCCAGCTAGACATAAAAGTTCTCCAAGTCCCCACTAGACTCAGGAGCCCAACTGGCTTCACCTAGTGGATCCGCCCGCCAGTCCCGTGCCCTGTGCCCGCACTCCTCAGCCCCTGGGTGGTGGATGGGACCAGGCACAGCAGAGCAGACGGTGGCGCTCATCGGGGATGCTCCGGCCGTGCAGGAGCCCACTGCGGGGGGGAGGCTCGGGCATGGCGGGCTGCAGGTCCCCAGCCCTGCCCCGCGGGGAGGCAGCTGAGGCCCAGCGAGAATTCGAGCTCAGCGCTGGCGGGTCAGCACTGCTGGGGGACCTCCGCAGCTGCTGGCCTGGGTGCTAAGCCCCGCACTGCCTGGGGCCAGCGGCGCCCAGCCGGCCGCTTGGAGTGTGGGGCCCGCAGAGCCCACGCCCACCCGGAACTCGCGCTGGCCTGCCAGCGCGGCACGCAGCCCCGGTTCCCGCCCGCGCCTCTCTGTCCACACCTCCCCACAAGCCGAGGAAGCCGGCTCCAGCCTAGGCCAGCCCAGAGAGGGGTTCCCACAGTGCAGCGGTGGGCTCACTCTGTCACCCAGGCTGGAGTGCAGTGGTACGATCTCGGCTCACTGCAACCTCTGCCTCCTGGGTTCAAGCGATTCTCCTGCCTCAACCTCCTGAGTAGCTGAGATTACAGGCCCGTGCCACCACACCTGGCTAATTTTTGTATTTTTAGTAGAGATGGGGTTTCAACATGTTGGCCAGGCTGGTCTCTCCTGACCTCAGGGTGATCAGCCCACCTTGGCCTCCCAAAGTGCTGGGATTACAGGCATGAGCCACCTTGCGCAGCCCAAATCATACAGTTTGAAATGAAACTTTGCTACAACCAGCTTTTGCTGTAGCACACACATACACCACTGAACCTGTTTGAAATACAGTTTTTTTCTTTTTCATGATTCATCTTTGAGTAGCTCCAGGCTGAAGGACTGAGGTACCAGTAAAAACTTAAAGGCACAAATTCTCCTTGAAGACCGTCTCCCTTTTCTTTGTCCTCATATTTTATGTTGCTTTATCTTTGAAATTTTTCATGAAAAGGAAATTAGTGGGTTCAAATGAAATTGTCCTTTAGAGCATGAGTACTTGTTCCCATGGACAAATCTTTTTCTCCCCTTGCTCTTCCTGGCCTGAAACACAGGAAACCAGAGTCAGAAGTTATCTCCCTCTCCCTGTGATGCCTTGAGATTTTTTCTGCATTGTTTTATGCCTGAAATCCAATAGTCTTCCTCCATTAGAAAATACTGTTATACCAAATAATTCTAGATGAATAACAAAGATCTTTGTAGGCCTTCATTTTATGTTTTTTTCTTAACTGTTTTATTATCATGACACAGATTGTAATATTACGAATTTTTGGACGTTTCAAAAGGTCAAGAAGAAAAAGATGTTGGAAAGCAATGAGTGAGTCCTTTTGATTTTTAACTTATTCCCCATGTCCCTATACTTACTTCCTGTGCTTTATCTTTTTTTTTTTTTTTTTTTTTTTTTTTTTTTGAGATGGAGGCTCGCTCTGTCACCTAGGCTAGAGTAAAGTGGCACGATCTGGGCTCACCGCAACCTCTGCCTCCTTGGTTCAAGCGATTCTCCTGCCTCAGCCTCCCGAGTAGCTGAGATTACAGGCACGTGCCACCACACCCAGCTAATACTTATATTTTTAATAGAGATGGGGTTTCACCATGTTGGCCAGGCTGGTCTCAAACTCCTGACCTCAGGTGATCTGCCCGCCTTGGCCTCCCAAAGTGCTGGGATTACAGGCGTGAGCCACTGTGCCCGGCTTATTTTTCTTTATGTTTTTGCTTCATAAGAGGTTCTGTTAAGCAGTGATTCCCAACTCTCGCTGACATTAGAGTTGCTGGGGAAGCTTTAACAAAAAAATGCCCCAGAGAGATTCTGATTTGATTGGCTTGGAGTAGAATTCAGGCACTGATATCTTTAAAAACTCTCCCCAGTGTTGAGAAACAAATTTAGAGAGTTGAGAAGTAGTATGTTAAATTACAGAATCGTACTGAGTTTTCGTAGTCTGATAATACAATTTGCTTTGCTTTTCTTAAATTTGCATTGAGATGGGATTTGAAGCATATTGTGCTCTTTTGAATGTTGAAGTTGCATTGTAGAAGTTTAGAAGCTCTGGCTATGGGTTATCTAAGTTGATGTTTTGAGGAGGCATATTAATGTTATATACTTGGCTGACTTTTAAGGTTGTGTTGTAGCATGAGGAACACAAATAAAACAATTGTAAATAAAAAAAAATTTGAAGTGCCTGTGGGACATCCAATTAAAGAAGTCTAGATGGTAGGTAGTAGATATCAAGGTCTGAGAGAGATCCCGGGTAAAGGTACAAATTTATGAGTTGTCACCATAGATTGGTCATTAAAGCCATGGACTTGGTTGATACGTAAGAAGAGAAGAAAAAGAAACAGAGAAGAACCTTGAGGAACACAAATATTTAAGAAATGGGCATAAAAAGAGGAGATTATATTGCAGAAAGGCAACATGGTATATAGACCAACTAGGAGGAGAGGTGAGAGATCACAGTGGCTCAGAAAAAAGTGGTGGCAGCAGAGATACTTATTTATTTATTTATTTAGCGACAAGGTCTCTCTCTGTCACCCAGGCTGGAACACAGTGGTGCAATCATGGCTCACTGCAGCCTCGTCCTCCTGGGCTCAAGTGATCTTCCTATCTCGGCCTCTTGAGTAGTTGGGACTACAGGTGCATGCCACCACACCCAGCTATTTTTTTTTCTTTCTTTTTCTTTTGAGATGGATTTTTCACTCTTGTTGCACAGGCTGGAGTGCAATGGCGCAATCTCAGCTCACTGCAACCTCCGCCTCCTGGGTTCAAGTGATTCTCCTGCCTCAGCCTCCCAAGTAGCTGGCATACACCACCACAGCCAGATAATTTTGTATTTCTAGTAGAGATGGGGTTTCTCCATGTTGGTCAGGCTGGTCTCGAACTCCCGTCCTCAGGTGATCTGCTTGCCTCGGCCTCCCAAAGTGCTGGGATTACAGGCATGAGCCACCACGCCTGGCCTTATTTTTTTTCTTTTTGGTAAAGATGGAGTCTCCCTATATTGCCCAGGCTGGTCTTGAACTCCTGGGCTCAAATGATCTTCCCACTTGGGCCTCTCATGGTGTTGGGATTACAGGCGTCAGCCACCACACCCAGCAAAGAGATATTTAGATTTAGTGATGGAGCAGATGTGAGGGAGGAGGGAGAAAAAGAAATCAAGGATGACTCATATTTTTCTGACTTAAACATTTTGGTGGTTGGAGGTATGATTTCCTGAACTCAATTTCCTGATCATTTCCTAAACATGAAAGAAAAGCAGGAGATAAAGTTGGAATTTAGCATGTTAATTTAGATGCCTTTGAGACATCCAAGTAGGTGTTTGTTTCATTGGGTAGATATTTATTGATTACCTATTCTAAGTCAGGCACTGTGTTTCAAACTGGATATTCATCTGGCACGTACTTGGGTCTGTAACTGTCTGGCTTGAGGTCTCAGCTGCAAGTGTACATTTGAGTTGTCAGCATTCAAATGGCATTTGAAGCTATACGAATAGATGACATCACATAGGAGGAGTAAGTAGAGTAAGAAGAGGGCTTAGGTTCCAACCTGGGGAACCCCAACATTGATGAGTAAAGGAGATTGAGAGTGATCAGAGAGGTAAGAGAAAAACCAGGTTACTATGAGAGGAAACCAGGTTACTATGAGAGGAAAGAGTTTTGAGGAAGACTGTGTAGTCAACAGGGCCAAATAATGTCAAGAAATCAAGTATAAAAAGGATTGAAAACTTTCCATTGGATTTAGTGGCAAGGAAGTCATTAGTTATCTTAATGAAGATGAATTTCTGAAATTGGAATTGCTGGGTCAAAAGATGTTTAATAAATATTGCCAAATTGCTCCCCAAAAAAAGTTTATAACAATTGATACTCCTTCCAACGGCATATGAGGGTATCTGTTTCCTCATACCCTCACTAATGAATATTATAAGTCTTAATCTTTGCCCAATGGGTTGAGAGAAATAATGTCTCATTGTTATCTGAATGTACATTTCTTTTTCTTTTTTTTTTTTGAGATGGAGTATTGCTCTTGTCGCCCAGGCTGGAGTGCAATGGCGCGATCTTGGCTCACTGCAACCTCTGCCTCCCGCCTTCAAGCAATTCTCCTGCCTCAGCCTCCCGAGTAGCTGGGATTACAAGCATGTGCCACCATGCCCGGCTAATTTTGTATTTTTAGTAGAGGCGGGGTTTCTCCATGTTGATCAGGCTGGTCTCGAACTCCTGACCTCAGGTGATCCACCCGCCACGACCTCCCAAACTGCTGGGATTACAGGCATGAGCCACGGCGCCCAGCCTGAGTGTCCATTTCCTTGATGATTTGTGAGGCAGCATATGTTTTTGTCTGTTTATTGGCCATTTGTTTTTCTTCTAGGAATTATCAGGTCATTGTCCATTCGTCCATTTTTTAACCAGAGCATTTTATCTTTTTCTGACTGATGTTTAAGAGCTCTTCAGATTATTAAGGTTAGTGAGCCTCTGCATATGACACATGTATCTTTCTACATTTTTTAAATTGTTCTTTTAATTATTCTTATGGCTTGAGGCGAACTCTGAGGTTATCTACCGCCCCCAGTGTTGCCAGGTGGACCCTGTGTACCACATGCATTGCTGTAGATGCTTGCTCACCGAAGAGGAATTCCTGTTCATTGGTGTTTTAGGAACCTGTTACATTCAAGGATGTGGCCATGGACTTCACCAAAGAGGAATGGGGGCAACTAGACTATGCACAAAGGGCCTTTACAGAGAAGTGATGCTGGAGATCTATGGCAACCTGGTCATAGTGGGTGAGGACAACTACTCTTTGGAGAATTCTGTTTTCCTTGGTTGTAAAAAGCTGTGGACTCTTAAGTGTTTAACAAAGCTAGGGCTTGAGATTCAAATATCAGAATTTCCAAATCGTGACTGAAGAAATAAAATGCTTCTATCTAAGTAAAAACTCAAGTTTCAGGGCCAGATGTGGTGGCTCACTCCTGTAATCCCAGCACTTTAGGAGGCCAGGGCAGGAGGATTTCTTGAGCCTAGGAGCCTAGACCCTGTCTCTACAAAAAAATTAAAAATTAGCTGGGTGTGTTGGCACATACCTGTAGTCTCAGCTACTTGGGAGGCTGTGGTGGGAGGATTGCTTGAGCCCAGGAGTTTGAGGTTTCAGTAAGCTATAATTATGCCACTGCACTGGACCTGGGTGACAGAGCAAGACCCCCACCACCCCCTGAAAAAAAACCCTCCAAGTTTCTACATCCCTATTTGTTTTCTTTTCTTCTTTCTTTTTCTTTCCTTCCTTCCTTTCTTTCTCTCTTCTTTCTGTCCTTTCTTCCTTCTTTCCTGAAATAAATATCCTTGTACTTATATTTTTGAGTATTTGTTCCAGTATTTCTATAGGATAAATCTCTGGAAGAGGAATTGATGGATCAGAGATTTATATATCTACTATAAATTTGCCCCCTGAGAAGTTTGAATTAATTTCTATTCTTGTCATGGGAATCCCCGTTCTCCACACTCTCACAACTCCTAATCTTTTTATTCTTCACCTACCTGAAGAGTGGGGAAAATACTATCTCACTGTCTTTTGATTTGCCCCCTTTCTCTCCCAACTTGTTCTCCCTCTATCTTCTCTTTCTCACAATAAAGTGGAAACTGCATCCTTCAAGTTGCCTAGGCCAAAAACCTTGGAGCCACCCCATTTTTCTTTCTCTCTCACCACCAGATCAATCCGTCAGCAAATCTGTCAGCTCTACTATCAAAGTACATTCAGAATCCAACCACTCCTCACCACTTCCACTGTTGTTACCCTAATTAACCCACTGTGCCTCTCTGTCTCCCCCTCCCTTTCTCTCATTTTGAAGAGCCTCCTACTCTCCACATCCCAGCCTGTTTTACATGTGGCAGTCACTGCGATTGTGTAAAACACTCAGTCAAATCAAAACCTTCTCAAATCAATGCTCTTCAGTTAGCGAATACACAAACTGGAGTATATCCATGCTTTGGAATTCTACACAGCATAAAAAGAATGAACTATTGATTCACACAACAATTTGGATAGATTTGAAGGGAATTATGCTAAGTAAAGAAAGGTAATCTCAAAAAGTTACATACTGTGTGATTTAATTTCTATAACATTCCTGAAATGACAAAATTATCAAGATGCAGAACAGATTATTGGTTGCCAGGGACTGGAGAGAGGAAGTGGGAAGTGAGATGGGTCTGGCTGTAAAAAGGGTAGCACAAAGAATCCTTACGATAGAATAGTTCCTTATTTTGTTACACAATTCTACACAGGTAATAAAATTGCACAGAACTAAATACACACACAAATTAGTGCATATAAAACTGGCGACATTTACAAAGACATATGCACACATATGTTTATTGCGGCACTATTCACAATAGCAAAGACTTGGAACCAACCCAAATGTCCAACAATGATAGACTGGATTAAGAAAATGTGGCACATATACACCATGGAATATTATGCAGCCATAAAAAATGATGAGTTCCTGTCCTTTGTAGGGACATGGATGAAGCTGGAAACCATCATTCTCAGCAGACTATCGCAAGGACAAAAAACCAAACACCGCATGTTCTCACTCATAGGTGGGAATTGAACAATGAGAACACATGGACACCAGAAGGGGAACATCACACACCGGGGCCTGTTGTGGGGTGGGGAGAAGGGGGAGAGATAGCATTAGGAGATATACCTAATGTTACACGACGAGTTAATGGGTGCAGCACACCAACATGGCACATGTATACGTATGTAACTAACCTGCACGTTGTGCACATGTACCCTAAAACTTAAAGTATAAAAAAAAAAAAACTGGCGACATTTGAATGAGGTCTGAATTGGTAACATCATCTTACATGTAAACCAAATTATAAAAATTAGATTTGAAAATATATTTATTCTACAGAAATTTTAGAAAATACAGATGCTTAAAAATAAAATGTAGGATGGAATTTCACTAAGTGTATTCTCTTAAAAAATGAAATATTAGCTGGGCGTGGTGGTTTATGCTGGTAATCCCAGCACTTTGGGAGGCCAAGGCGGGCAGATCACCTGAGGTCAGAAGTTTGAGGCCAGCCTGGCCAACATGGTGAAACCCTGTCTCTGCTACAAATACAAAAATTATCCAGGCATGGTGGTGCATGCCTGTAGTCCCAGCTACTCGGGAGGCTGAGGCAGAAGAATTGCTTGAACCCAGGAGGCAGAGGTTGCAGTGAGTGGAGATCATGCCAGTGCACTCCAGCCTGGGCAACAAGAGTGAGACTCCATCTCAAAAAAAAAAAAAAAAAAAAGGAATATTATTCAGCGCTAAAAAGAAATGAGCTATCAAGCCATGAAAAGACATGGAGGAACTTTAAATGCATATTACTAAGTGAAAGAAGCCAAACTAAAAGGCTACATGTGCTGTATGATTTCAGGTATATGACAGTCTGGAAAAGGCAAAACTATGGAGAAAGTAAAAATATCAGTGGTTTCCAGTGTTTAGCGGGGAGGGAGGATGAGTAGGGAAAGCACAGATTGTTAGGGCAGGGAAATATTCTTTATGATACTAAGATGGTGGAGACATGTCATTATACATTTGTCAAAGCCCACAGAATGTGCAACACCAAGAATGAAGCCTAGTGTTAACTATGGATGTTGAGTGATGTGTGGGTGTAGATTCAGCAGTTGTAACAAATGTACCATTCTGGTACAGGAAGTTGACAGTGAGGGAGGTATGCATGTATGGGGGCAGGGTATATGGGAACTCTACTTTCTTTTTTGAGATGGAGTTTCGCTCTTGTCACCCAGACTGGAGTGCAATGGCGTGATCTCGGCTCACTACAACCACCACCTCCCGGGTTCAAGCGATTCTCCTGCCTCAGCCTCCCAAGTAGCTGGGATTACAGGCGCGCACCACCACGCCCAGCTAACTGTTTTGTATTTTTAGTAGAGACAGGGTTTCACCATGTTGGCCAGGCTGGTTTCGAACTCCTGACCTCAAGTGATCTGCCCGCCTCAGCCTCCCAAAGTGCTGGGATTATAGGCATGAGCCACTGCGCCCAGCCAAGATTATCTCTTTATCTTTAAAGAGGTTTAGCAAAATCCTCAGAGGCAGAAAAATGTCCTGCCATTTCACTAAATGTATCTAAGCATGAGTTTTTTATGTTTTTCCTAATCAGGACACATTATGCTTCTTTCTTGGTGCTATTTTCTATTTTATTAATTTTTAAAATCTTTACTAAATCCTTCTACTTATTTTAGGGTGTTTTTGTTTGTTTTGGGGTGTTTTTGTTTGTTTAGTTTTTAGAGAGACAGGCTCTTTCCCTGTCACCTAGGCAGGAGTGCAGTGGCATGATCATAGCTCACTGTAACCTTGAACTACTGAGCTCAAGGGATCCTCCCATCTCAGCCTACAAAGTAGCTAGGACTACAGGCGCACACCACCACTCCTGGCTAATTTTTAAATTTTTTTGTTGGAGATAGGGTCTTGCTATGTTGCCTAGGCTGGTCTTGATCTCCTGGCCTCAAGTGATCCTCACATCTTGGCCTCCTGGACCTCTGGGATTACAGATGTGAGTCACTGCACCTGGCCTTCTTCTATAAACTTCTTTTAAGTTTATAATTATTTTTCTAGTTTCTTGAGTTAGAGCTTATTTATTCTTATTTTCTAATAAATGCATTTCACTGAATTAAATTTTCCCTGAATACTTTGGCAGCATCCTGTCCAGAACACAGTTTGGCAACATATATCAAAAGCCTTTAAAATGTTTCTGCCATTTGACTTAGAAATTTTACATCTAAGAACTACATTAAGGAAATAATCAGATGAATGATGTATAAAAGGTATATATTACCATGTTATTTTTAGTATTTTTTAAAAAAGGAAAAATTTTACATTACAATAACAGAAATGTTTTTCTGTAAATTATAATATTTATATATGATTCATTATTCTCTAGCAAGAAAAATTATATTTTTGGATTATTTTTAATGACAGGTAAATGTACATAAGTTATAGCAGGATGTTAAAGATACATACATATAAGAAAAACCTGGAAAGACACTAATATATTAATAGTATCAATGAGTGGTTTTTATTTTCTATTTTATGCTTTTCAGGATTTTGCAAGCCATCTTGAATGTTTCCCAATACTATTGCTTGGCAAATAGCAAAAGTAAGCAAAAGTAAGTGTAACTGGTTTATTGTAGAGTGTCAGCTCAATGGCGCATATAAGATTATGAAATGGTTTTTTTTTCCAATCACTGCTTTCAACCATATTCTATTGAATTCCTCAAATAAATTAATGTATGAATAAATATTGAATGGGAAAGAAAAACCTAGAGGGAGGGCTTTAAAAAAGAGAGGTTTTCCCCTTTACCAGCTCCCAGAGGAAGAATACAAATGGAGTAAAATATTACAAACTGTTGAAAATATTTGCAATTCATATTACAGACAAAGGGATCCATTGCCTTATTTATCAAGAGCTCTTAGAAATCAAGAAGAAAAAGCATGGAAAATATGAAGAGACTTGTCAGAGAGAGATACAAATGATCCTTAAATTTTTGGAAAGGTGTTCTACCTTTCTCATTATATGAGAAATGAAAATCAAAACCATACTGAGACACCATTTCCTACCTATCAGGTTAGCAAAAAATTGAAAAGGTTTTTTTTTGTCTGTTTGTTTTGTTTGTTTGTTTGTTTGTTTGTTTTTTGAGATGGAGTCTCGCTGTTACCCAGGCTTGAGTGCAGTGGCACGATTTCGGCTCATTGCAACCTCGACCTCCTGGGTTCAAGTGATTCTCCTGCCTCAGCCTCCTGAGTAGCTGGGACTACAGATGCATGCCACCATACCTGGCAAATTTTTTGTATTTTTAATAAAGACAGGGTTTCACCATGTTAGTCAGGATACTGTTGATCTCCTGATCATGATCTGCCTGCCTCGGCCCCCCAAAGTGCTGGGATTACAGAAATTGAAAAGTTTTAAAACCCATTGTTAGTGAGGCTGTGGAAAAACAGGCATTCTCAGACTGCTGTGGGCAGGCACAAAATAGAATAATTCCTTTGGAGAGCAATTTGACAGCATCTACCAAAACTGTAGATACACTTGCCTTCCAAGACAAACACCCCATTTCTGGGAGTTTATCCCACAGATACACTTGCACATGTGCTTTGAAAACATTCGGCATTGTCTCCATTAGTAAAAAATGGAAAACAACACAAATGTATGTCAATAGAGGACTGGCTTAGTAAACTAGATATCCACATAGTGGAATAGTATGCAGCTCCAATGAAGAGTAAGCAAAATTTCCTCATTGAAATGGAAATATCTCCAAGATATGTTATTAAATGAAAAAATGCAAGATAAAGAACAATGTATGTATGTATGTATATATAAATATATTAAATATGTACACAGAGTATTTTGTGTAAGGGAGAATGAGAATTATATCCATATTTGCTTATATTTGCATAGTGTCACACTGGAAGCCTAAATAGGAACTAATAAAGTCATTTAATAATCAAAACTATATTTAAAAGTTGTCTGGGGAAGCAAGGGTAAGAGTGAGGCTTTCCTGTACTTCTTTTTCACTTTTAAATATAGTTTTGATTGTTGAATAACTGGAACACATTACCCATTTTTTAAATATAAACAACAGAAATGTATTTCTCACAGTTCCAGAGGCTAGAAGGTAGGGATCAGAACCTCGCCAGAGTCAGGTTCTGCTGAGGGCCCTCTTCTGGTTACAGATTGTAGCCTCCCATAGCAGAGAAGGCTACAAGGACCCTGGTTTGTTTTGTTTGTTTGTTTGTTTGTTTGTTTGTTTTTGAGACGGAGTCTTACTCTGTCGCCCAGGCTGAAGTGCAGTGGCGTAATCTTGGCTCACTGCAACCTCCACCTCCCAGGCTCAAGCAACTGTCCGGCCTCAGCCTCCCGAGTAGGTGGGATTACAGGCGTGCGCCACCATGCCCAGCTAATTTTTGTATTCTTAGTAGAGACAAGTTTTCACCATGTTGGCCAGGCTGGTCTTGAACTCCTGACCTCAGGTGGTCTGCCCACCTTGGCCTCCCAAAGTGCTGGGATTACAGATATGAGCCACCATGGCTGGACCCTGTTTTTTAAATTGTGCTAAATGAGAGCCAGTGGGTTTTCAGTATTTATTGATATTAAAATATTGTTTTTCCATATTAACTTTTTTTTTTTTTGAGACAGAGTCTTGCTCTGTCACCGAGTGCAGTGGCACTGATCTCAGCTCACTGCAACCTCTGCCTCCCGGGTTCAAGAGATTCTCCTGCCTCAGCCTCCCGTGTAGCTGGGACTACAGGCACCTGCTACCATGCCCGGCTAATTTTTTGTATTTTTAGTAGAGATGGGGTTTCACTGTGTTAGCTAGGATGGTCTCGATCTTCTGACCTCATAATCTGCCTGCCTTGGTCTCCCAAAATGCCTTATTAACTATTTATGTGATTTTTTAAATAAAATACTTTATTTGTAAGTTTTACACCTATAGATTTGTCTGTTTTTGTTTTTTTTTTTTTCTTTTTTAAATTTGTGTGTGCTATTTTAGTCAGGATTTGGTATTATGGTTATTTGGTCTCCAAAATGGAGTATAATCCACCTAAATAAACTAGAAAAAGAAAAGCAAAAATAAAGCAAGCAGAATGAAAGAATAAAGTTTAGCCGGGTACAGTGGCTCACACCTCTAATCCCAGCACTTTGGGAGGCCGAGGTGGGCGGATCACCTGAGCTCAGGAGTTCGAGACCACCCTGGGCAACATGGTGAAACCCTGTCCAAAAATTTGGCCGGGCGTGGTGGTGCGCGCCTGTAGTCCCAGCTACTCAGGAGGCTGAGGCACAAGAATCGCTTGAGTCCCGGGAGCAGAGGTTGCAGTGAGCCAAGATCACGGCACTGCACTCCAACTTGGGCTAAAGAGTGAGACTCCGTCTCAAAAAATAAATAAATAAAAATTTTTTAAAAAGTTTAGAGCAGAAATCAATGAAATTGAAATCAGAAAAATAGAGAAAATAAATTAAACACTGATTCTTTAACAAGAAAGACAGAGAAGACACAAATTGCTGACATAAACAATGACATAAACAATGAAAGAGGGGACATCACTACTTTCCCTTTTTACAGACAGTAAAAGGATAATAGAGAATCCTAGGGACAACTCTGTGCACACATATACAACAACTTAGATAAAATGGACCAATTCCTTGAAAGACACAAATTATCAGAACTCATTCAAGGAGAAATAAAGTGAATAGTCCTGAATCTATTAAAAGATCTAATTCATAGCTTCCAAAAAGGAAAACTTGAGGTCAAATGATTTCACTGGTGAATTCTTCCAAACATTTGAAGAAGAAATAGCAGCAATTCTTCACAATCTCTTCCAGAAGATAGAGGCAACACTTTGTAGCTCATTTTATGAAACCAGCATTACACTTGTATCAAAACTAGACAAAGACACCAGGCATGGTGGCTTACACCTGTAATCCCAGCACTTTGGGAGGCTGAGGTGGGGGGGGATCACCTGAGGTCAGGAGTTCGAGACCAGCCTGGCTAACATGGTGAAACCCCGCCTCTACTGAAAATACAAAAAATTAGCCAGGTGCAGTGGCGGGTGCCTGTAATCCTAGCTACTCAAGAGGCTGAGGCAGGAGAATTGCTTGAACACAGGAGGCAGAAGTTGCGGTGAGCTGAGATCTTGCCACTGCACTCCAGCCTGGGCAACAAGAGCAAAACTCCATCTCAAAAAAAAAAAAAAAAAAGAAAAAGAAAGAAAAGAAAAAGAACAAAACTAGATAAAGACATCATGAGAAAAGAAAGCTACAGATCAATAACCTTCATGAACATAAGTGCAAAAATTCTTCAGCAAAATCTTAGCAAATCAAATTTAGCAATATATAACATGACACGTCACAACCAAATGAATTTTATCCCAGTAATACAAGGCTGGGTCAGTACTTGAAAATCACTGGGTGTGATTGCAGCACTTTGGGAGGCCAAGGCGGGTGGATTAATTGACATGAGGAGTTCAAGACCAGCCTGGCCAACGTGGTGAAACCCCGTCTCTACTAAAAATACAAAAAATTAGCCAGGCGTGGTGGTACGCACCTGTAGTCCCAGCTACTTGGGAGGCTGAAGCAGGAGAATCGCCGGTGTGGGGAAAAGAAAGAGAAATCAGATTGTTACTGTGTCTGTGTAGAAAGAAGTAGACATGGGAGACTCCATTTTGTTCTGTACTAAGAAAAATTCTTCTGCCTTGAGATGCTGTTAATCTGTAACCTTGCCCCCAACCCCGTGCTCTCTGAAACATGTGCTGTGTCCACTCAGGGTTAAATGGATTAAGGGCTGTGCAAGATGTGCTTTGTTAAACAGAAGCTTGAAGGCAACATGCTCATTAAGAGTCATCACCACTCCCTAATCTCAAGTACCCAGGGGCACAAACACTGCGGAAGGCCGCAGGAACCTCTGCCTAGGAAAGCCAGGTATTGTCCAAGGTTTCTCCCCATGTGATAGTCTGAAATATGGCCTCGTGGGAAGGGAAAGACCTGACCGTCCCCTAGCCCGCACCCCCGTAAAGGGTCTGTGTTGAGGAGGATTAGTATAAGAGGAAGGAACGCCTCTTTGCAATTGAGACAAGAGGAAGGCATCTGTCTCCTGCCCGTCCCTGGGCAATGGAATGTCACGGTATAAAACCCGATTGTATGTTCCATCTACTGAGATAGGGGAAAACCGCCTTAGGGCTGGAGGTGGGACATGCGGGCAGCAATACTGCTCTTTAAGGCATTGAGATGTTTATGTGTATGCATATCTAAAGCACAGCACTTAATTCTTTACCTTGTCTATGATGCAGAGACCTTTGTTCACATGTTTATCTGCTGACCTTCTCTCCACTATTATCCTATGACCCTGCCACATCCCCCTCTCCGAGAAACACCCAAGAATGATCAATAAATACTAAGGGAACTCAGAGGCTGGCAGGATCCTCCATATGCTGAACGCTGGTCCCCTGGGCCCCCTTATTTCTTTCTCTATGCTTTGTCTCTGTGTCTTTTTCTTTTCCAAGTCTCTCGTTCCACCTAACGAGAAACACCCACAGGTGTGGAGGGGCAACCCACCCCTTCAGCTGGAACCTGGGAGATGGAAGTTGCAGTGAGTTGAGATCAAGCCACTGGATACCAGCCTGGGCGACAGAGCAAGACTTTGTCTCAAAAAAAAAAAAAAAAAGAAAGAAAGAAAAAGAAAAAGAAAAAGAATAAAAGAAAGAAAATCAATGTAATGTACACTTATATAAACATTAACTCAAAATGGATCATAACAAAACTATGCGATTTAACACATCCTCAAAAAGTTACACGGAAAGTTTCCAAATGGCCCAGCAACTCCACTCCTAAGCATACTCAAGAGAAATGCAAACGTACACCCACACAAAAACCTGTACACAAATGTTCATAGCAGCAGTGTTCATATCAGCTAAAAAGTTGAAACAACCGAAATGTTCGTCAACTGATGAGTGGATCAATAAAACATGGTATATACACACAATGGAATATTATGAAGCTATAAAAAGAAATCAAGTACTGATATCTGCTACAACATGGATGAATCTTGAAAACATGCAAAGTGAAAGAAGTCACAGAAGAACACATATTGTATACTTCCATTTACATAAAATGCCCAGAATAGGCAAATTTACGGAGACAGGGTGGGTTAGTGGTTAGTGGTTTAGGACTAAGGGTGGGAAGTAGGGAAGAGGATTGATTGGTAATGGGTATGAAGTTTCTTTTGGGGTGAATGATAATGTTCTAAAATTAGTTTGTAGTGATGGTTATACGATCCTGTGAATATACTAAAAAACATTGAGGCTGGGTGTGGTGGCTCACGCCTGTAATCCCAGCACTTTGGGAGGTCAAGGTGGGTGGATCACCTGAGGTCAGGAATTCAAGACTAGCCTGACCAACATGGTGAAACCCTGTCTCTACTAAAAATATAAAAATTAGCCTGGTGTGGTGGTGGGCGCCTATAATCCCAGTTACTTGGGAGGCTGAGACAGGAGAATTGCTTGAACCCGAGAGGCGGGGGTTGCAATGAGCCAAGATCTCACCACTGCACTCCAGCCTGGGCAACAGAGCGAGACTCCATCTCAAAAAAAAACCAAAAACCAAAAAAATTTACTTTACATTTTAAATGAGTGACTTGCATGGCATGTGAATTACATTCTAATACAGCAATTAAAAAAAAAAAAAAAGACCAGAGGCCCAGTGTGGGGGCTCATGCCTGTAATCCCAGCACTTTGGGAGGCGGAGGTGGGCAGATCACCTGAGGTCAGGAGTTCCAGACCAGCCTGGCCAACATGGTGAAACCCCGTCTCTACTAAAAATACAACAATTAGCCAGGTGTGGTGACACATGCCTGTAATCCCAGCTACTAGGGAGGCTGAGGCAAGAGAATCACTTGAACCCCAGAGGCGGAGGTTGCAGTGAGCCAAGATCGTGCCACTGCACTCCAGGCTGGGTGACAGAACGAGACTCCAGCTCAAAAAAAAAAAAAAAAAAAAAAAAAAAAAAAAAAAAAATCAGAGACCTGAATGTAAAACATAAAATTATTATAAAACTCTTAGAAAAAAAATAGGAGAAAATCTTTATAAGCTTTAATTAAGCAAATATTTTTTTTTTTTGAGAGCATCTCACTATGTTGCCCAAGCTCCCTTCAAACTCCTGGGTTCAAGCAATCCTCCCATCTCAGCCTCCTGAGAAGCTGGGACTACAAGTGTGTGCCAAAGAGCTGTAACATATAATATCAAAAGCACAATCCATGAAACAAAAAATTGATAAATTGGATTTCATCAAAATTTAAAGCATTTTATCAGTGAAGGACATTGTTAAGAGAATAAAAAGACAATTGAGAGGAAAACAGTTGTATGACACATCATACAAAGCCATATGATATGGTTTGGATTTCTGTCTCCGCCCAAATCTCATGTCAAATTGTAATCCCCAGTGTTAGAGGAGGGGCCTGGTGGGAGGTGATTGGATCATAGGGGCAGATTTCCCCTTGCTGTTCTCATGATAGTGAGTGAATTATCACAAGATCTGGTTGTTGAAAAGTGTATAGTACCTCCCCTTTCACTCTCTTCCTCCTGCTCACAAGAGGTGCCTGCTTCCCCTTTGCCTTCTGCTATGATTGTAAATTTCCTGAGGCCTCCAGAGTCATGCTTCCTGTACAGCCTGTGGAACCTGAGCCAATTAAACCTCTTTTCTTTTTTCCTTTTTTTTTTTTTTTTTTGAGATGGAATCTCACTCTTGCTCAGGCTGGAGTGCAGTGGCGTGATCTCGGCTCACTGAAACCTCCACATCCCAGGTTCAAGCGATTCTCCTGCCTCAGCCTCCTGAGTAGCTGGGATTACAGGCGCATACCACCACGCCTGGCTAATTTTTGTATTTTTAGTAGAGACGGGGTTTCACCATGTTGGTCAGGTTGGTCTTGAACTCCTAACCTTGTGATCCACCTGCCTCAGCCTCCCTTTCTTTATAAATTACCCAGTTTATGGTATTTCTTTATAGCAGTACAAGAACAGATTAATATACCATATATTTAGAATATATCTGTTTAAAAACCCTGTCAGGCTGGGCTTAGTGACTCATGACTATAATCCCAGTGCCTTAGGAGAATGCAGGGAGAGGATTGCTTGAGACCAGGAGTTTCAGGCTGCAGTGAGCTATGATCATGCCACTGCACTCCAGCTTGGAAGACAGTGCCAGAACCTGTTCTCTGAAAAATAAATAAATAACCTTGCAAAACTTGACAATAAGGAAACACATGATCCAATTTTTAAAAGAAAGAAACAATATGAATGGATGTTCACCAGAGAATATATACAGATAGCAAATAAACATCTCAAAAGATGCTCAACATCATTAGTTATTAGAGAAATGCAAATTTAAAACAAAATGAAACATTATTACACGTCTGCTTGATATTTATTGCTGTGTAACAAATTACCCCAAAACTTAGTGGCTAAAACAACATGATGTTTATCTCAGTTTCTGTGGGTCAAGGATCCAGGAACAGCTTAATTGGGTTCTCTGCCTTAGAGTCCCTCACAAGGCTCCAATCAAGTTATTGGTTGGGGCTGTGAACGCCAATGAAGGCTGGGAGGCTGGAGGGAAAGGATCTTCTTCCAAGCATGATTATTCACAGGATTCAGTTACTTGAGGGCTGTTGGACTGAGGGCCTCAGTTCCTCGCTAAGGAACAGTGGAGTTCCTCCACTGTTGGTTGGAGATGGCCTTCAGTCCCTTGCCAGGGTTGACCCTTCCCATCAGATCAAGCACGCAAGAGGAGCCAGCAAGAGAAGTCCAGCAAGACAGAAGCCACAGTCTTTTGTAATGTGATCCCAGAAGCAACACCTCATCACTGTTGCCATATTAATTTCCATTTAAGAAAGTGAAAGGGAAATTAATATTGTTAGTATTTCTTCTTCTATTCATTAGAACCAAGGTATTAGGTTCGGCCCAAACTCAAGACGAGGAAATTATCCAAGGGTACAATTACCTGGAGGCATGAATACCATGGGAGCCATGTCAGAAGCCTCCTACCATGTGCCCTTTTGAGATTAGCTAAAATTTGAAAATACTGACAATACCAAGTGTTAGCAAGGGTTCAAAGCAACAGGAATTCTCATACATTGCTGGTGGGAATGCAAAATGTCACAGCCACTCTGGAAAACAGTTTGGCACTTTCTTAAAAAGTTGAACATATATCATGTTACCCAGCAATCTCACTTCTAGGTATTCATTCTAGGGAATGGAAAATGAGAACACATGGACACAGGGGCACACATCACTGGGGACTGTCAAGGGGTGGGGGCAAGGGGAGAGAGAGCATTAAGACAAATACCTAAAGCATACGGGGCTTAAAACCTAGGTGATGGGTTGATAGGTGCAGCAAACCACCGTGGCACATGTATACCTATGTAACAAACCTGCATATTCTGCACATGTATCCCAGAACTTACAGTAAAATAAAATAAAAATAAAAATAAGAACTTATATCCAACAAAAACCTGTATACAAATGTTTCTAGCAGCATTATTCATAATCATCCAATGCTGGAACCAACTCAAATGTCCTTCAGTGAGTGAATGAATAAAAAAATTGTGGTATATCCATTAAAGTTACTACCCAGCAGTGAAAAGGACTTAATTATTAATAAATGCAACAACATGGATAAATCTAAAATACTAAGTGAAAGAACCCAATCTCCAAACTCATCTCACACACATAATGTGTGATTCCATTTATATTGTTACTGGCAGAGGGTGTCCAAGTTCTTGGTGTCTTGAGCAAAGAATTGCGCAAAACACACAAACAAAGCAAGGTAAGAATGAAGCAACAGAAGCAGAAATTTATTGAAAATGAAAGTACACTCCATAGTGTGGGAATGGCCCGAGCATAGGGGCTCAAGGGCCCCGTTAAGAATTTGGGGGAGTTTACCCATTTACAATTGCTACAAAGAGAATAAAATACCTAGGAATCCAACTTACAAGGGATGTGAAGGACCTCTTCAAGGAGAACTACAAACCACTGCTCAGTGAAATAAAAGAGGACACAAACAAATGGAAGAACATTCCATGCTCATGGATAGGAAGAATCAATATTGTGAAAATGGCCATACTGTCCAAGGTAATTTATAGATTCAATGCCATCCCCATCAAGCTACCAATCACTTTCCTCACAGAATTGGAAAAAACTACTTTAAAGTTCATATGGAACTAAAAAAAGAGCCTGCATAGCCAAGACAATCCTAAGCAAAAAGAACAAACCTGGAAGCATCACGCTACCTGACTTCAAACTATACGACAAGGCTACAGTAACCAAAACAGCATGGTACTGGTACCAAAACAGATATATAGACCAATAGAACAGAACAGAGGCCTCAAAAATAACACCACACATCTACAACCATCTGATCTTTGACAAACCTGACAAAAACAAGAAATAGGGAAAGGATTCCCTATTTAATAAATGGTGCTTGGAAACCTGGCTAGCCATATGTAGAAAGACGAAACTGGATCCCTTCCTTACACTTCATACAAAAATTAATTCAAGATGGATTAAAGACTTAAATGTAACACCTAAAACCATAAAAACCCTAGAAGAAAACCTAGGCAATACCATTCAGGACATAGGCATGGGCAAAGACTTCATGACTAAAACACCAAAAGCAATGGCAACAAAAGCCAAAATAGACAAGTGGGATCTAATTAAACTAAAGAGCTTCTGCACAGCAAAAGAAACTACCATCAGAGTGAACAGGCAACCTACAGAATGGGAGAAAATTTTTGCAATCTACCCATCTGACAAAGGGTTAATATCCAGAATCTACAAAGAACTTAAACAAATTTACAAGAAAAAAACAACCCCAGCAAAAAGTGGGCAAAGGATATGAACAGACACTTCTCAAAAGAAGACATTTATGCAGCCAACAGACACATGAAAAAATGCTCATCATCACTGGTCATCAGAGAAATGCAAATCAAAATCACAATGAGATACCATCTCATGCCAGTTAGAATGGTGATCCATTAAAAAGTCAGGAAACAACAGATGCTGGGGAGGATGTGGAGAAATAGGAATGCTTTTACACCGTTGGTGGGAGTGTAAACTAGTTCAACCATTGTGGAAGACAGTGTGGTGATTCCTCAAAGATCTAGAACCAGAAATACCATTTGACTCAACGATCCCATTTCTGGGTATATACCCAAAGGATTATAAATAATGCTACTATAAAGACACATGCACACGTATGTTTATTGTGGTACTATTCACAATAGCAAAGACTTGGAACCAACTCAAATGTCCATGGATGATAGACTGGATTAAGAAAATGTGGCACATATACACCATGGAATACTGTGCAGTCATAAAAAAGGATGAGTTCATGTCCTTTGCAGGGACATGGATGAAGCTAGAAACCATCATTCTCAGCAAACTATCACAAGGATAGAAAACCAAACACTGCATGTTCTCACTCATAGGTGGGAATTGAACAATGAGATCACTTGGACACAGGGCGGGAAACATCACACACCAGGGCCTGTTTGGGGGTGGGGGCTGGGGAAGGGATAGCATTAGGAGAAATACTTAATGTAAATGACAAGTTGATGGGTGCAGCAAACCAACATGGCACATGTATACATATGTGACAAACCTGCATGTTGTGTACATGTACCCTAGAACTTAAAGTATAATAATTAAAAAAAAAAAAAGACTTTTAGGGAGTTTAGATACCCTCTAGAGGATTCCATTGGTTACTTGGTGTATGCCCTATGTAAATGAAGAGGATGAAATAAAGTTACAAAGTCATTTACTCTGCATACGCTCTATAAAGAGGATATTTCCTGTCATAGCTGAAGTGTGAATTGGCCTTATGTTCCCTGCCTGCAGACCCTATTTTCCTGCCTCAATATGACATTCTGGAAAAGGCAAAAATATAGGAATAGAGAACAGATCAGTGGTTGCCAGGGTTAAGGGATAAGGGAGAGAATTTGCATAGAAATCAGCCAGGAACAGTGCATTTGACAATAAAAAGCACAAACAGATGGTTCCTGAACCTGAAGAAAAAGAGATGGTATCTGGATGCTACAAAGAATCTTTATGTGCAGTGACTGGGCAATAAACAAATTTGTAAATACCTCTTCTCTACCCATTCTAGATCTTTGTCAATATGTCACTATGCCTCACATTGGCCCATGAAATTGCTAATATATTTTTTAATCAAATGTTTTATATAGGCTGGGCATGGTAGCTCATGCCTATAATCCCAGCACTTTGAGAAGGCTGAGGTCAGAAGTTTGAGACCAGCCTGGCCAACATGGTGAAACCCCGTCTCTACTAAAAATACAAAAATTAGCCAGGCTTAGTGGCAGCTGCCTGTAATCCCAGCTACTCAGGAGGCTGAGGCTGGAGAATCTCTTGAATCTGGGAGGCAGAGGTTGCAGTGAGCTGCGGCCATGCCACTGCACTCCAGCCTGGGCAACAGAGCAAGACTCTGTCTCAAAAAGAACACAAAAGGGAAATTAGTATTACTAGTGTTTCCTATGTACTGGACATTGTACAAGTACATTTTGTCATCACAGTCACACATCATCTTCATTATAGCCCTATGTCATGGAAAGAGGTTGCTATTCCTGTTTTACTGAAAGAGAAGACTCAATTATAGAGAGATTTCACAGCACGTCCCGTGGCATACTGTAAAAAATTGATGGTGTCAGAATTCAAACATAGGGGCCAGGTGCGGTGGCTCACATGTGTAATCCCAGCACTTTGGGAGGCCAAGGCAGGTGGATCACGTGAGATCAGGAGTTTGAGATCAGCCTGGCCAACATGGTGAAACCCCGTCTCTACCAAAAATACGAAAACTAGCTGGGTGTGGTGGCAGATACGTGTAATCCCAGCTACTTGGGAGGCTGAGGCAAGAGGGTCATTTGAAGCTGGGAGGTGGAGGTTGCAGTGAGCCGAGATCGCGCCACTACGCTCCAGCCTGGGCAACAGAGTGAGACCCTGTCTCAAAAAAAAGACTTTAAACACAAGCCTGTCTTTGTCTTCCTATTCTCAAATACTGAACTCTGTGGGAGAAAAGCAAAAATAACCTTTACTTGCCCTCATTGATTCTTATAGAAGGCTGGAATGAAAACTATGTAGGAAATCTTCAAATAAAAGAATTTAGGCCGGGTGCGGTGGCTCATGCCCGTAATCCCAGCATTTTGGGAGGCTGAGGTGGGTGGATCACGTGAGGTCAGGAGTTCTAGACCAGCCTGGCCGACATGGTGAAACCCCCTCTCTGCTAAAAATACACAAATTAGCCGGGCATGGTGGCAGGCGCCTGTAATCCCAGCTACTCGGGGGGCTGAGGCAGGAGAATCGCTTGAACCCGGGAGGCCATCGCACTCCACCTGGGGGACAAGAGTGAGACTTCATCTCAAAAAAAAAAAAAAAAAAAAGAATTATTCTTTACAGAAAACTTTCTTGCTGCCAAATATAGGAAAAGGTGACAGTCAGATAACTCAGATTCACAACTACATTATGACTCCTGAAGGGGAGGATTCCAGGAACACAGATAAGATCTTTCTCTCATCATACATGGGAAGGGGAACCTGCAGGAGCAAGAATGGTAAGGTTAATCTTTGAGGGGATGATACTAAAAAAATACAGAAAATCAAGAGGATACAGCTTGAGAAACGGAGAAATCTGCCCAGCCAGGGCCTTATATAAAATTCTATGATTCCTTGTTAGTATGGTGGTGAGTTTTTAAAAAAGTCCTATGTGAGTGAAGGCCGAAATACATTCTTCAGGCAGCAAAGGTTACTTTGGGATCCAGAACAATATTGAAAGAAGAGTAAAATGTGGGAGTGAGAGACCTTCTCCCAGAAAATATTGCTTAGAGAAGCTCCAAAGTCAACTGTTGCCTGGCTTTATAGAGCAACACTCTCCATTACCTAATGCAGGGGTTCCCAGTCCCCCAGCCACAGGTACCAGTCTGTGGCCTGTTAGGAACCTAGACACACAGCAAAAGGTGAGCGGTGGGTGGCAAGCATTACCACCTGAGCTCCGTCCGCCTTCTGTCAGATCAGCGGCAGCATTAGATTCTCATAGCAGCGCAAACCCTATTGTGAACTGTGCACGCAAGGGATCTAGGCTGTGTGCTCCTTATGAGAATCTAACTAATGCCTGATGATCTGAAGTGGAACAGTTTCATTCCGAAATCCTTCCCCCTCCTCGCCCCTGTCCATGGAAAAATTGTCTTCTATGAAACTGGTCCCTGGTACTCAAAAGGTTGGGGAACGCTGAGCTAATAGCTCAGAAACCTAATCCAACTCTGTACTTAGGGTTACGAATATTTATAACCAGAAATCACAATTTGTCACAAACGGGAACCAAAGAAACATAGAACAGAAGTCCTAATTTTGTAATAACTATGGATTTTTATTTTTATTTTTTTTTGAGATGGAGTCTCGCTCTGTCACCAGGCTGGAGTTCAGTGGCGTGATCTCGGCTCACTGCAACCTCCGCCTCCTGGGTTCAAGCAATTCTCCTGCCTCAGCCTTCCGAGTAGCTGGGACTACCGGCATGTGCCACTATGCCCAGCTAATTTTTGTATTTTTAGTATAGACAGGGTTTCACTATGTTGGTTGGACAGGATGGTCTCGATCTTCTTGATCTCATGATCTGCCCACCTCAGCCTCCCAAAGTGCTGGGATTACAGGCATAAGCCACCGCACCCAGCCAGAAAATTTTTTTGTAATCACTCAAATGTGCAAGGATATACCATAACTCACAGAGAAATTATATATAGATGAATGACTCAGATATAGCTGAACCCCTTACCAACTATCACCAAATTCAGACATTCCACAAGGAGAGAAACCCTGCCAATGTTTGTGGTAGGCCTTCAGCTAAGGTATTTCCTTTGAGATCATGAGACAATCGGACAGAAGAGAACCTTGTATATGTGAAGAATGTGTTAAAAGCTTTGGCCCAATTCCTCTTGGAGTGCACACAATAGAGGGGGCTTATAAATATGATGCATGAATTGTGGGTATCAGCTGGTACAAAAATTTTTCCAATTATGAAAGCACCTGTGCAGGAGGAAAACCTTTGAAGTGAAGGGAATGTGGTCAGGGTTATTGTACAGTTGGAGATCCACATGGGACTCAGGAACCGTATGGGAGAGCAACCCTACCTGTGTGATGAACGTAGTGAGAGCTTCACCAGGTGCTCCTCTCTTCTCCTTTGTAGTACCCTCCCTCCATTCAGGAGAGAAAGCACATCATTATCATTTCTAAGAGCGGTGAGAATTTTTCTCAGAGTGCAAAACTTGGCACTGATGAGCAAGTGCATAGGGGAGAGAGACCCCATAAATGTGATGAGTTCAGTACGGGCTTCTCTCAAGCCTCAGAAGTTCACATTCACCAGAGAATCCACACTAAAGAAAATTGCTATTAATGAGTGTAATACAAACTTCAGTCAGAAGGGAAATGTTCACCTTTAGTAGAATCTAGGCAGAAGAGAATCAATGTGATAATAAGGACTGTCAAAACATTCAAATACATTCAAGTTATAAAGCTGCAGAATAGATGCCTACTATAAATGTGACAATTAAACTTGGGGTTGGGGTGAGGAAGTTTACCCAGTATCTTAAAACTCAACAAAATTATACATAGGAAATAAACAATACCAATAGCCTAAATTAAATCTAAATGAAAATATTACTTGCCAAGTGTTTCAATGTTACAAAATGTTTTAAGGGGTTACCATAAGGTTCTGTTTGTAAGGAAGCAAGGAAGAGAGTTGAAGAGACTGATCTCTTGGCCGGGCAGGGCTGTAATTCCAGCACTTTGGGAGGCCGAGGTGGGCGGATCACCTGAGGTCAGTTCAAGACCAGCCTGGCCAACATGGTGAAACCCTGTCTCTACTAAAAATACAAAAAATTACCCGGGCATGGTGGCAGGTGCCCATAATCCCAGCTACTCGGAGGCCCAGGCAGGAGAATTGCTTGAACCCGGGAGGCTGCAGTGAGCCGAGATTGTGTCATTGCACTCTAGCCTGGGTGACAGAGTGAGACTCCATCTCAAAAAAAAAAAAAAAAAAAAAAAAAAAAAGACTGATCTCTTATAAAACATTCTGGAGCCATAATGAGACCAAACAGAAACAAAATCAAAACCTCAGGGAGAGTTGGTTTCATAACATGACTCACCCAGTGGTAGGAGATTTTGCCAAGAATGCAAGTGACCATGGAGATAAGGCCACAGTGCTATTTTTCCTGGGTAATGATGTTCTATGCAATTGTGTGAAATCTTGTCTTATTTGAGATGTGTGAAACTTTCCACTTTAGCATCTTTTACAAGGGTATATTCATCTCTCAAATTGTGGTTTACAGACCACCTGTATCAGAAGTACTCAAAGTGTGTACTAAAGTGTAAATAGTACTACTTTAGTATTTTATACACAAAAACTTTAGTGTACGTAATTATCTGGGGGTACTTGAAAATACAGATTCCTGAGCCTCATCCCATATCTACTTAATCACTCAGTGGGTACAGAGACCAAGGGTTTGCATTTATAAAAGCTCCTCCCCCAGAGCTGGGCGCAGTGGCTCATACTTATAATCTCAGCAACTTGGGAGGCTGAGGCAGGAGGATTGCTTAAGACCAGGAGTTTGAGACAAGCCTGAGCAACAGAGTGAGACCCCTGTATTAGTCCGTTCTCATGCTGCTATAAAGAACTGCCTGAGACTGGGTAATTTATAAATGAAAGAGGTTTAATTGACTCACAGTTTCGCATTGCTGGGTAGTCCTCAGGAAACTTACAACCATGGTGAAAGGCAAAGGAGAAGCAAACACCTTCTTCACAGGGTGGCAGAACGGAGTGAATGCAAACAGGGGAAATGCCAGACACTTATAAAACCACCATATCTCGTGAGACTCACTCACTATCACGAGAATAGCATGAGGGAAACCGCCCCCATGATCCAATTACCTCCATCTGGTCCTGCCCTTGACACATGGAGATTATGGGGATTACAATTCAAGGTGAGATTTGGGTGGGGACACAGGGCCAAGCCATATCAACCCCTGTCCAAAAAAAAAAAAAAAAGTTTTTAAGCTCTTTTTCCCATTGCAGGTGATTTTTATGCATGCAAAAGCTGGAGAATTATTCTATGAGATGTTTGGATGAGGTCAAGAAAAACAAAATCTTAAGTGGCACTTTTGCTAGTGTCCTGAATCTACTGGATATTGACATTTTTACCAACAAATTGATAGAAATCAGGAAGTAAAATTCAGGAGACTTGAAACACACAACAACCAGCCCAAGGGAATATTAACAAATGGCTGACAGCACCCAGGATAAGACAGGTGATGGCCACAAATGAAAACTAATGGAGTCAAGCAGCCACAATTCAGCTTCAAACAGCATCAGCTTAATAAGGGGAATCTGGTATGAGTCTATTATATCTGAAAAATAAGAAATGGATTGAGAAGTTCAAATATTAGAGTGGGATAATAGTTAAATTATCCTTAGTGCAATGATGATTATATTAGAAACACCAGGATAGGCCGGGCGTGGTGGTTCACGCCTGTAATCCCAGCACTTTAGGAGGCCAAGGTGTGCGGATTACCTGAGGCCAGGAGCTTGAGACCAGCCTGGCCAAGATAGCTAAAAATACAAAAATTAGCCGGGTGTGTTGGTGCACACATCCAGCTACTCGGGAGTCTGAGGGGGAAGAATTGCTTGAACCTGGGAGGCAGAGGTTTTAGTGAGCCGAGATCATGCCACTGCACTCACTCCAGGCTGCGCGACAGAGTGAGACTCCATCTGAAAAAAAAAAAAAATGGAAAGAAAGAAACACCGGGATACATTCAACCTGTTACTGAAATAATTCACGCTGACTCTGGCATCAGCCTTTTTACTGCAAATCGTCCTATTGAATGGCATAAACATGCAATTTATACCTTAATCTGAATCTATGTCAGTGGTTCCCAAATGCAGCTGGGCTTCAGAATCCACTCTACAGCTTGTTAACGATATAGTTATCTTGGGTTCCACCCGAGGAGGCTGCGATTCAGCATTTCTGAGGAGGCCTGAGTAAGCATGTAAGTTCCTGGTATAGGAACTGCTCCTTTATACACCTTACTAAATGGACCTTGCTTCCTAGAGGCTGGCTTGTTCAGAATCTTGGTCAGGGAGATTAAGATGGGGCCTTGAACATCTCGTGAAATTACTGATGCTTAACAGTTTCCTGGGTAGCCATTAAGAGAAGTAAAGGAACCAGATAAGAAAGGGGCTTCCACTTGTGCTAATGGCCAGGCAATGACAAGCTGAGTTGTTAAAGCAGCCTCTCATCACCCTGCCTCGGGATGATGAATAGGTTCCACAAGTCCTGTTTAAAGAATATAAAAATAATTTTGCACCTGTCAGCAATTCCTCACTGAAAAATGTTTCTGGTACTGGAACACTTTGCTCTATTAAGTAAGAAGCTGTTGGTCCTGGAATAAGTAAGCCCCTGGCCGGGCGTGGTGGCTCATGCCTGTAATCCCAGCACTTTGGGAGGCCGAGGCGGCTGGATCACCTGAGGTCAGGAGTTCGAGACCAGCCTGGCCAACATGGCGAAACCCCATCTCTACTAAAATTACAAAAATTAGCCGGGCGTGGTGGGTGCCTGTAACTCCAGCTACATGGGAGGCTGAGGCAGGAGAATCGCTTGAACCCGGGAGGGGGAGGTTGCAGTGAGCTAAGAAGGCATCACTGCACTCCAGCCTGGGTGACAGAGGGAAACTCCATCACAAAAAATAAATAAATATATAGCCCCTAATTTTTGACATGGTACCATAGGAAGGAATGAACTAGTAGCATCAAGCACCCACTCCCAGCTTCTGTATGGAAACCTTAAGGTGGGACTCTGATACTTTTGCAAAGACATTCAGTAAAGTTCAATAAGGAGCAGGTGTCTGCTTCTGAAAACAGGCTAGGGAGCAACAAAGAGATGAAAAAGATTGAGCAGTTGTCAGGAGCAGGGCTACGTTGTGTCTATCTGTTTTGATAACACTTTAAGACATTCTATGCCTTGGCTTCCCTTAAACCAGCAAACAACTAAGAGGTGGGAGCCCTTCAGTGAACAAGCCATGGTCAGGAGCAGTCTTCTCATTAAGTGTTTTGCTGGCACACTTGCCTAGGAAGAAGGGAGGGAAATTTAGAGGTGGGGATAGAGAGGGGTTGCTTTTTTGGAGGGTCCGCTGCATCCCAACAAATAAGCCTTCGTTTAAAGAATGTACTATTGAGCAACTATTGATCAGTCCATATGGGTAGGTAGAAGAGATAAACACTTTTTCTTCTCTTACACAGCCAAGACAACAACACTCCTGACACCAGATGTGGAGGGATTTTCCTCCATTGGACACTCTCCACTGGAAAATTTCCCATTGAACACTCACTGGGTGTCTTACAATTTAACTGAATTCTAATACTATCTACCTGGAGTTAGCATCAGATCCCACAAGTTAAGGGCTCAGTCCAACACTGCCCCCAACTTCAGGTACCAGTTGAAGGCAGTAGGTTGTACCTGTACTTCTGACCAACTGGCTATACATCAGGGATCCCACGATCCCCACCTCTGGTTTGATTAATTTGCTAGAGTGGCTCACAGAACTCAGGGAAACACTTTACCTATATTTATCCATTTATTCTGAAGGATTTCACAAAGGATACAGATGAACAGCCAGATGGGAAAGTGGCATAGGGCAAGATGCACATGAAGGTGATGGGAGGGTGGCACATCTGAGAGAGCATGGAAGCTCCACACTTCCTGAGTATATGGAAGAGGCACAGAGCTTCCAAGCCCTCTCCAGGTGTACCGCCCTCCCATCACCTCCACGTGTTCAGCAATCCAGAAGCTCCATGAACCTTGTCCTTTGGGGTTTTTATGGAGGCTTTATTATGTAGGCATGACCATTCGCCCATCACTGGCCATTGGTGATCAACTCAGCCTTCAACCTGTCTCCCCTTTTTGGAGGTCCAGGGGTGGGACTGAAAGTTCCAACCTTCATGATTAATTCCCTAACAACTAGCCCCCATCCCAAGGCTGTCCAGGAGCCCACTAAGAGGCACCTCATTAGAACAAAAGATGCTCCTACCACCCAGGAAATTCCAAGGGATTTAAGACCTCTGGGTCAGACACTAAGATTCTCCTAGTCCCTCAATCTACAATAGCATTAGGAGCTCATCTCAGAACTGGAGGCAGAGACCAAATATATACTTTTCATTACATCACAATATCACAGTGGGTTATGCAGGATTCGAATGAACCGTTCTCCTTTCCTTCCTCTGATTCCTCCAGCTGACCAGGGCCATCTGGAACACCAAAATATACTTGGCAAATTCACCCAGAAGCAGCTCAAGCAATGTCTTTATGAAGCCTTTCTCCCAACTTAAAATGTCCTCTTAAATAGGAAATCATCACTTTTGTTATTTTTAAAAAATCTTGGGCATGTTAAACTATGTAAAATTAATGCCTAAGTCCTGGAGGGCTAAGCTTCACTTAAGGATTTGTTTCTCTCCTCTCCCACGGTCCCTGTTCCCTGAATCTTAGAAATGTCATCCTTAAGTGACTAAGATTTTACTTTTGATCTATTTCTCATCTGCCCTTTGCCTGCACACTGATCTTCAGCATTGGAAATGAGCAACATCTCTCAGGCTAGGGTCATCCTATTCCCAGACAGACTTTAAGGGTGTAGCTCCCGGTGATCCTTACTGAGCTTTTTGTATTTTAGTCTCTTCACCATCCAGAATTTTGATTCCAAGTTCCTTCATCCAAACATGAAGAAGTACCCTGGTTTATTTCAAAGACTCTCAGTGGACGCAAAAATAAATAAGCACTAAATACATTTTTATAGTATAAGTAGAGGAAAATGGCACATAGAAGATAGTTGTGGTGGTACCAGGTAGCTGGTACTCTCTCCCAGTCTTTCGTTCACCCTTTCCACCAGTTCTGAATATAATTTTTTAGCACCTCTATATATGTGTGATGCAGAACCAAGCTTTGGTTGATTTATTCATTTTGTTCTAGTTAAATGAATTGCAACCTTCCAACCTGAAAGTCCTTAGAGTCAATTACTCACTTGCTCTTAACATTTCTAGAGCTACTCAATAATTACATACAATTTTATCTGTCAACTAAAAAAATTTCCAGAGCTTCACTTACCAATTCAAATTGACCTAAAACCAACCATGAATTGTCCTTAACAGTCTAATTGGATGGATATATTTAGTAAATATTCCTTCATTGAAAGCCATTTGCACATTTAAGAAACACTCACTGAGTGCCCATCCTGTGCCAGGCAATCTGTTGCATAAAGCATAAAGGCTGGCCTGTTCATTCCTTCACCATGTGCTCGTCTGTGTAGACTGGAAATGCCCGTCCTCTGTGTGATTTAGCCAAGGTTGGCAAATACCACATCTGTCACTCAGACCATTTTGAAATTTTAATAAGAGTTTTTGAGAACCTGTCTCAAAAACAAATAAATAAATAAAACTCATGTTTATTGTTTCTGTGCTATTCAGAACCTTTGGAATAAAGCTGGCCTTTTCATCTTGATAACATTCTCTCCTAAAAACTCTGGTGTCCACTTAAATGAATACTATGTTTTCTTCTTTTTTTTGAGACGGAGTCTCGCTCTGTCGCCAGGCCAGAGTGCGGTGGCACAATCTCGGCTCCCTGCAACCTCTGCCTCCTGGATTCAAGCAGTTCTCCTGCCTCAGCCTCCCATGTACTGGGACTACAGGCACGCACCACCACACCCAGCTAATTTTTGTATTTTTAGTACAGACGGGGTTTCACCATGTTGGCTGGGATGGTCTCGATCTCTTGACCTCATGATCTGCCCACCTCGGCCTCCCAAAGTGCTGGGATTACAGGCATGAGCCACCGCACCCGGCCTATTTTGTTTATACTATACCTGGTAGAAACCTTAAGTGTCTCCTTATTCACCACTTTAAGTCGTAAGCCTCTGCCTAATTTTCTAGGCCATTCATACTTGATCCTGTTACTGAATGCCCTTCCATTAACTCTGAGCTCCAATTTCTCATAGAAGATGAATGGAGGGAATTATGCTCTAAGTGATTTCACCGATATCCTCAATCATAATAATTCTTTTTTTTCTTTTTTCTTTTTTTTTTTTTGAGACAGGGTCTTGCTCTGTCACCCAGCCTGAAATGCAGTGGCATGATCATAGCTCACTGCAGCCTCAGATTCCTGGGCTCAAGCAATCCTCCCGCCTCAGCCTCCTGTGTATCTGGGACTACAGGCAAGTGCCACCATGCCCAGCTACTTTTAAAATTATTTTGTAGAGACAAGATCTCACTATGTTGCCTCGGCTGGTCTCAAACTCCCAGCCTCAAGCAATCATCTCACCTTGGCCTCCCAAAGTGCTGGTGTTACAGGCATGAGTCACTGAGCCTGGCCTCTCACCTTAGAGAGTACTGAAACCACCCAAGAATTCCACATTTCATTAATTAGCCTGCTGCCTGCTTTCCAAGACAATTTGAAAGACCAGGCCTTGGTATCTGACATTTCAGAGTCTAGATTCAAGTCATCTCTCTGCCCGCTTAGTAGCTGGATAACCTCAGACAAGTTATTTAACTTCTCTCTGCCTCACTTCTTTCTTTTATTTATTTATTTCTTTTTTTTTTTTTTTTGAGATGGAGTCTTGATCTGTTGCCCAGGCTGGAGTGCAGTGGCGTGATCTCGGCTCACTGCAACCTCTGCCTCCCAGGTTCAAGCGATTCTCCTGCCTCAGCCTCCTGAGTAGCTGGGATTACAGGCGCGCACCACCACACCGGCTAATTTTTTTGTATTTTAGTAGAGACGGGGTTTCACCATGTTGGTCAGGCTGGTCTCAAACTCCTGACCTCGTGATCCGCCTGCCTCGGCCCCCCAAAGTGCTGGAATTATGGGCGTGAGCCACCGCGCCCAGCCCCCTCACTTCTTTATCTGAAGAATGAGCTCAAAATGTTGTTTAATTTACACGTTGTGAGGATCAAATGAGTTAACACCAACACAGTGTTACCTCATGCCTAAGAAGCACTCAATCAGGCTGGGCGCAGTGGCTCACGCCTGTAATCCCAGCACTTTGGGAGGCAGAGGTGGGCAGATCACCTAAGGTCAGGAGTTTGAGACCAGCCTGACCAACATGGTGAAACCCTGTCTATACTAAAAATACAAAAATTAGCCAGATGTGGTGGGTGTCTGTAATCCCAGCTACTCGGGAGGCTGCGGCAGGAGAATTGCTTGAACCCGGGAGGCAGAGGTTGCAGTGAGCCGATATCGTGCCACGGCATTCTAGCCTGGGTGACAGAGGGAGACTCCACCTCAAAAAAGAAAAAAAAGCACTCAATCAGTCGTTGTTAGCAATTATGACAATTTTCTCCCCCTTTCTGTAAACCAGCTGCAGCTTACCCCACTCTTTTCATAACTTTGCCTCATATTTTATTGAGAGAATAAGAAAACCACAAAGGAAAGCCAGGAAGCTCCCTTCTTCCTCCCACCACATCTACCTCTGTGCCTGCATCTGTACTAATATTGTTTCTTTCCTCTGCCCATTAAAAATGTCCTTGCAGGCCAGGTGCGGTGGCTCACACCTGTAATCCCAGCACTTTGGGAGGTCGAGGTGGGCAGATCACTTGAGGTCAGGAGTTCGAGACCAGCCTGGCCAACATGGGGAAACCCCATCTCTACTAAAAATACAAAAATTAGCCGGGTATGGTGGCATGTGTCTGTATTCCCAGTTACTTGGGAGGCTGAGGCAGGAGAATTGCTTGAACCCGGGAGGCGGAGGTTTCAGTGAGCCAAGATTGCACCACTGCACTCCAGCCTGGGCGACACAGCGAGACTCCGTCTCAGAAAAAAAAAAAAAATAATAAGTCCTTGCTGACTCAATCTGTGCTCAGGATCCCACCCTGTTTACCTTGAAGGATTTCCTCAACTTCACCTTCTTTCCAGTATTGTTGATATCCCCCTCTGACAGCATGCAGACACCTTTTAAAACAAGAGGGAAAAACCGAACCCTTCCTCAACCCTGTACCCCTGGACAGCCTTTGAAAGATGGGATGGGGCCGGGCATGGTGGCTCACGTCTATAATCCCAGCACTTTGGGAGGCCTAGGAGGGCGGATCACGAGGTCAGGAGATCGAGACCATCCTGGCTAACACGGTGAAACCCCATCTCTACTAAAAATACAAAAAATTAGCCGGGTGTGGTGGTGGGCACCTGTAGTCCCAGCTGCTCGGGAGGCTGAGGCAGGAGAATGGTGTGAACCCGGGAGGCAGAGCTTGCAGTAAGCCGAGATCGCACCACTGCACTCCAGCCTGGGCGACAGAGTGAGACTGTCACAAAAAAAAAAAAAAAAAAAAGAAAGAAAGATGGGATGGGAGAGCAGAAGAGGGTCTCCACGTTTCCCTCATGGGGCTGGCTACTAAAAGGAATATTATCTGATAAATGATGGCAAGTCCCAAACATAGCCCCTACCTTATAGCAAGCACATAAATATTAGCCATTCTTCTCGTCGCTGTTGCTATTATTATTTTAAGTGTTCATTTCAGTGCTTGCTGCCACAGAGTGGAATCTCTTACAAAGATATTTTAGGCACCAATTAGGGTTCCAAATTTAAGAGACAATTCACAGAACTCACTTGAAGTAAGGAAAGGATTGCGAATATTGCCTGTTCCCACTTGATCAGCCAGACGCTGTCTTCCTCTGCCTGCCAGCTGGCAAGTTTTAATTTGCTTGCTCTTTTAGTTTTTTTTTTTTTTCATTAATATGTCTGCATATAAAAGTGAGGCAGGAGACTGGCAGGACTTGTTTTCTGGTCACAACCCTGATGAGCAAAACAGGATCTGGCCGACAGGATAAAGTGAAGAAACCACTGAAACCAGCAGATGGAGACAAAAGCCATCCCTAGCTGTCCTCGTTACTCATTAGCATAAGACATTCCCACCAGTGCCACGACAGTTTACAAATGCTATGGCAATGACCCAAAAGTTAGTACCTGTTTCCTAGAAAGTTCTAAATAACGCACCCCTCAATTTGCATTAACCCACCCCTGAATTTGTGTGTAATTGAAAGTAGGTATAAGTAGGTATAAACAGAATTGCCAAAAGTCCATAGGTTGCTGGTTCTGGGTGCACTGCTTGTGAGTTAGCCTTGCTCCTTGTGATGGTTACTAATAAGTGTCAGCTTGATTGGATTGAAGGATGCAAAGTATTGTTTCTGGGTGTTTCTAGTGTTGCAGAAGAGATTAACATTTGAATCAGTGGACTGGGAGAGGAAGACCCACCCTCAGGAAGACCCACCCACATTGTGAGTCTTGGCACCATCCAATTGGCTGCCAGTGAGGCTAGAAAAGAGCAGGCAGAAGAAGATGGAAGAAGCTGACTTGCTGAGTCTTCTGGCCTTCATCTTTCTCCCATGCTGGATGCTTCCTGCCCTCGAACATCAGACTCCAAGTTCTTCAGCTTTTGGACTCTTGGACTTACACCAGTGGTTTGCCAGGGACATTTAGGCCTTCAGCCACAGACTGAAGGCTGCACTCTCGGCTTCCCTAATTTTGAGGTTTTGGGACTTGGACTGAGCCACTAGTGGCTTCCTTGCTCCTCAACTTGCAGATGGTCTATTGTGGGACTTCATTTTGTGGGACTTCACTTTGTGATCGTGTGAGGCAATTGTCCTTAATAAAGTCCCTTTCATATATACATCTACGCTATTAGTTCTGTCCCTCTAGAGAACTCTGACTAATACACTCCTTGAGGAGCAGAACCGTTCAATAAACGATTGCTGTGTAACACCACTGGCTGGCCCTTGAATTCTTTCCTAGGCAAAGCCAAGAACTCACCTGGGCTAAGTCCCAATTTTGGGGCCCCTCTGTCCTGCACAAAAGGGCCACATGTTTCAAACATTTCAAAAACACATTATTCTTCAGTTGTTTTAGAATGTGTGGTGTGGTCAAAGACAGGCAGTTATCAGAAAATATTTTCTCATTTTATATCTCTTTTATTTCCCTGGTTCATAATGTAAAAGTGAATACTTAAAAAAAGATACGTAGCCCTGTAACTCCTACCCCTTACCAAAAATAGCCCAGCCTCACATAAGTTTAGTGTCAGCAGATGACTATGCTCCTGCTATCTCCTGCTGCATGACCAAGGGTCCTCTTGCTCACTCTTGGCTGCTGCCGGATAATGTCAGTCTCTGCCTTCAGCTCCATGTGCTTTTGTGGGGACCACTGACATTTCAAACACCCGTCTCATTCAAGATTTCCTTGAGGCACACACAGGTTGCATTGTGATGCCAACCACATCCTTTATGTTGTAACACTGGTGTTTCTCGAAGGCAGCAAATAGCAAGGATAAAACGTGGTCTTTATCAGCCTGCACCCTCTTTCCCTCTTCTTTCTTTTTCTTCTCATATGCAATATTACACTGATGATTAGCAACAGGTTTATAACCAGCTGTGACAACCTTGTCCGGTTTCTGCAGGGTTTTGGCAGGTTTGGCAGATTCCTGTGTTTGCATTCTCTTCAGTCTCATGTAGTTTTAATTTGCAGCTGGTTGGCATTCCTCTCACTGTACCACTGTTCCTTCCAGTGAGAGCTTACTCGGTGCACGCTTAGTCAACACTGTGAGCATCTGCCCTCTGAGCCCTTGCACAAGAAACTGAGGCACCCTAGGTGTGCTGATGGGTGGGTTGTCCACCAATATTGTGAATGTTTTTAAGTTCCTCATTCAAAGTAAATGACAGCTCAGACTTTCTCTGATTCTTGGCAGTCTGCAGCTTCCCTACTTCACTACTTCCAGAAGCTTCAGACCACTCATGACAGGTATTTGGGAACCTCCACTAGCCACAACAGCTGCTCTGTTGGATTGCTTCCAAGTCGAGTTGCATGCTCTGGGTCTTGGGTCTGCTGCCTCCAGGCACCATGTACACCTGAGCTGAAGGTGCAAAGGGTAGGTGAGTTAGGGTTGAAGCAGAAGCAAGACACCAAAACCCGCGTGTTTCAGCTGCCATGAAAGTGTAAACCACATGCTGACTTCAGAAATGTTAAAAACTAGAGTCTTAGAATCTAGAGGATACTGTACAACAATCGTCAGTTAATTCATAAGGAAAAATTGGAAGCATCTTTAAAAATCGGGAGGTTAATAAAGAAGTATGGTACCTCTTTAAAAGAAGTACTGCACCAATTAAAAAGAATACAGTAGCTCGTATCTAATAACATGAAAAAATTTCTAAGACATAGACATCTCTCTCAGGCTTTTACTCAGTTGTGCCTTTTGCAGAGAGGCCGCCCTGGACTGCCCTGTTTCTCCCTGTCCTTCCCCGGCGTTTTCTCCTGAGTACCAGTCAACATGAATATACTAGATACTCCACTGGGTGACTCACGCCTGTAACCCCAGGCTTTGGAAGGCCAAGGAGGGAGATTACTGGAGCCCAGGAGTTCAAGACTGCAGTAAGCCACGATTGTGCCACTGCACTCCAGACTGGGTGACAGAGCTAGACCTGTCTAAAATATAATAAAATAATTTTAAATCTAGATACATATTTACACACACACACTAGATACTATTCATATTTATTTATTCATTTATTATTCTGTCTTTCCCACTAGTAAGCAGCATGAGGGTAGTTTGTGGCAGTTATTCACAAGGTGTTTAATAATTTTGTTTTTTGAATGCGCAAAAGGTCTTATTTGATGGATTTGTTTGCTGTGAATAAATCTAGCAGAGGAGGTGCTCCTGGAGAAGGAGGATTGGGCCAGGGGCCTCCTGGGCCCTGCCAGGTCCTCCTGGTACTTCGTCTGACCTGGTACCCCACTCCTCTGGTGCTCCGTGCCCTAATGACATGGTAAGAATGGCCTCCACACAAAGTGAGAGGTGCAGAGGTCCTGGGGATAGGGATTCATCCTCCCACCCGGCCTGGGCCGCCACCAGACCGGGCATAAGGGGAGGTGGACAGTCGCCGAGCCCTGGGTGCCTTGGCTTGACCCCAACTGTGGGCAGGGACCCAGGAGAAGGTGAGAAATTTCTTTCTTTTTTATTCTTTTTTTTTTTTTTAAGAGACATGATCTCGCTTTGTTGCCCAGGCTGGCCTTGAACTCCTGGGCTCAAGTAATCCTCCTGCCTCGACCTCTGGAATGGCTACAGTCAAGGGCTACAGTCAAGGGCCACCATGCTCAGCAGAAATTGTATGCTAAAATAACCTCTCAGGTGCCGTCTCGTGCCTCAGGCAAAGTGAGCAAACCCTGTGCAGGGTGAGCATAATCTGACGAAATGAAGCTGGGGAGGGGAGACTCTCCATCAGGCTGGGGCTCCCCAGAGCAGGCCGGAAGCTGTGTGGGATGAGGTCTCCCAGTGAGAGAGGTCACCGCCAAGCAAAGGTCCTCCTTGCAAGTCAGAACAGACCTTGTGCTGCCACCTTGAGGGACTGTCTTGATTGGGTTACATTAGAGCCATCCTGAGAATTCAGACACCTTGATTTGATTATGGGGGTTTCCCAAACCTCTTAAAGCAGGGGTCCCCAACCCCCGGGCAGCAGACCGGTACTGAACCATGGCCTGTTAGGAAACGGCCCCACAGCAGGAGGTGAGCTGTGGACGAGCATTACTGCCGGAGCTCCACCTCCTGTCAGATTACCCGTGGTATTAGATTCTCATAGGAGTAGAAACCCTATTGTGAACTGCACGTGGGAGGGATCTAGTTGCTTGTTCCTTATGAGAATCTAAAGCCTGATGATCTGAGGTGGAACAGTTTCATCCCAAAACTATCCCTCCTGCCATCCGTGGAAAAATTGTCTTCCACGAAACTGATCCCTGGTGCCAAAAAGGTTGGGGACCACTGTCTTAAAGCATGCCCATAAGGGTGGGTAGCTCACTGGACATCTACTGAACAATTTTTCCTTAATTGTCCAGTTTAGAGTGGGTTACGGTGAAAAACAGCTTGCTTCAGCTCCCCTAGAAAAACTTCAAGATGCAGGTTAGGCCCTCTGAAGAGTTACTAGACATGTTAATCCTAGCACCTGGCCAACCACTTCCACCATGCACTGAAATTGCTGTCACCATCCTGTGGCTAAATGCAAAAAAAAAAAAAAGTCCTTATTTTACTTCTCTGATTGCTCCTTTTATCATCGTTTTCTTTCTTTCTTTTTATACAGGTGGGGACTTGCTCTGTCACCTGGGCTGGAGTGCAGTGCCATGATCATAGCTCAGTGCAGCCTCAAACTCCTGGGCTCAAACAATCCTCCCGCCTCAGCTTCCCTCGTCACTGGGATTACAGGAGACTCCACCAAGCCCCAATAATTTTAAAAAATGTTTTTATTTTTAGACACGGGGATCTCACCATGTTGCCCAGGCTGGCCTTGAACTCCTGGCTTCAAGTGATCCTCCAGCCTCAGCATCCCAAGTAGCTGGGATGACAGGTATGAGCCACCATGCCCACCTTGCTCCCTTTTTTCCCCCAATTTTTATTTTATTGTGGCAAATAAAACATAAAGCTGGAGAGGCATGGTGGCTCACGCCTGCGATTCCAGAATTTTGGGAGGCCAAATCAGGCGAATCGCTTGAGCTCAGGAGTTCGAGGCCAGTTGGGAGGCCAAGTCAGGTGGATCTCTTGAGCCCAGGAGTTCGAGGCCAGCCTAGGTAGCATGGTGAAACTCTTGTCTCTACAAAAGATACAAAATTGGCTGGATGTGGGGGCTCACACCTGTAATCCTAGCACTTTGGGAGGCTGAGGCAGGCGGATCACTTGAGGCCAGGAATTCGAGACTAACTTGGCCAACATGGCAAAACCCTCTCTCTACTAAAAAAACAAAAAAATTAGCTGGGTGTGGTGGCTTACGCCTGTAATCCCAGCTACTCGAGAGGCTGAGGTGGAAGAATTGCTTGAGTCCTGGAGGTGGAGATTGCAGTGAGCCGATATCATGCCACTGCACACCAGCCTGGGTGATAGAGCAAGATCCTGTCTCAAAAAAAAAAAAAAAAAAAATTAGCCAGGCATGGTGGCACACACCTATAGTCCCAGCTGCCCAGGAGGCTGAGGTGGGAGATCTCTTGAGCCTGGGAAGTTGAGGCTACTCTCGTGAGCTGTGATCACGCCACTGCACTCCAGCCTGGGCAACAGAGTGAGATCCTGTCTCAGAAAAAAAAAAAAAAAAAAAAAAGCTTACAGTCTTCATTATTTTTAACTGTCCAGTTCCGTGCTATTAAATACATTCGCAATGTGCAACCATCACTATCATTCATCTCTTCATCTGGTAAAACCGAGGCTCTCTACAGTACCCCATTATCCCTGGTTTCAGTCTCTGAGGTTTCAGTTACTCCCATCAACTGGGGTCTTAAAATAGGTGAGTACAGTACAATAAGATTTTTTGAAGAGAGAGAGACCACAATCACACAACTTTTATTACAATATATTATTATGATTGTTCTATTTTATTACTAATTAGTTATTAATCTCTTATGATGACTAATTTATATTCTTTTTTTTCTTCAACTTTTATTTTAAGTTCAGGGATACATGTACAGCATGTGCAGGTTTGTTATATAGGTAAACGTGTGCCATGGTGGTTTCCTGCACAGATCATCTCATCACCTACGTATTAAGCTTAGCATCCATTAGCTTTTCTTCCTGATGCTCTCTCTCCCCCAAATCCCCACCAACACTGCCCAACAGGCTCCAGTGTGCGTTGTTCCCTTCCCTGTGTCCATGTGTTCTCATCATTCAGCTCCCACTTGTAAATGAGAACATTCGGTATTTGGTTTTTTGTTCCTGAGTTAGTTTGCTGAAGATAATGGCTCCCAACTCCATCCATGTCCCTGCAAAGGACCATGATCTCGTTCCTTTTTATGGCTGCATAGTATTTTATGGTGTATATGTAACACATTTTCTTTATCCAGTCTATCATTGATGGGCATTTTGGTTGATTCCATGTCTTCACTATTGTGAATAGTGCTGCAGTGAACATATATGTGCATGTACCTTTATAATAGAATGATTTATGTTCCTTCGAGTATATACTCAGTAATGGGATTGCTGGGTCAAATGGTATTTCTGCCTCTAGGTCTTTGAGGAATCATCACACTGTATTCCACAATGATTGAACTAATTTACACTCCCACCAACAGTGTAAAAATGTTCCTTTTTCTTTACAACCTTGCCAGCATCTGTTGTTTTTTTACTTTTTAATAAACTCCATTCTGACTGGCATGAGACGGTATCTCATTGTGGTTTTGATTTGCATTTCTCTAATGATCAGTGATGTTGAGCTTTTTTTCATATGTTTGTTGGCCACATGTACGTCTTCTTTTGAGAAGTATCTGTTTATGTCCTTTGCCAACTCTTTAATGGGGTGTTGTTCGTTTTTTTCTTGTAAATTTGTTTAAGTTCCTTGTAGACTCCAGATATTAGACCTTTGATAGATGTATAGATTGCAAAAATTTTTTCACATTCTGTAGGTTGTCTGTTCCCTCTGATGATAATTTCTTTGCTGTGCAGAAGCTCTTCTGTTTAATTAGATTCCATTTGTCAATTTTTGCTTTTGTTGCCATTGCTTTTAGTGTTTTCATCATGAAATCTTTGCTCATGCCTATGTCCTGAATGATATTGCCTAGATTTTCTTCTAGGGTTTTTATAGTTTTGGGTTTTACATTTAAGTCTTTAATCCATCTTGAGTTAATTTTTGTATGTGGTGTAAAAAAGGGGTCCAGTTTCAATTTTCTGCATATGACTAGCCAGCACTCCCAGCATCATTTATTAAATAGAGAGTACTGTGACTAATTTATAAATTAAACTTTATCAACGGTATATATATCAAAGGTATATATAGGAAAAACACAGTGTATATAAAGTTTGGTACTATCTGAGGTTTCAGACATCCACTAGGGGTCTTGGAACATATCCCCTGAGGATAAGTGGGGTTTACTATATCCTTAAACAATAACTCCTCATTCCTCCTTTATCCAGCCCCTGGCAACCACCATTCTACTTTCTGTCTCTATGATTCTGACTACTATAAGTACCTCATAGAAGTGGAATCATTCAGTATTTCTCTTTTTTTTTTTTTTTTGAGATGGAGTTTCACTCTTGTCCCCCAGGCTGGAGTGCAATGGCACGAGCTCGGCTCACTGCAACCTCTACCTCCTGGGTTCAAGCAATTCTCCTGCCTCAGCCTCCTGAGTAGCTGGCACATTAAAATTTATGTACATTGAATTTATGTGCTTTAGGCCACCGTGCCCAGCCAATTTTTATATTTTTAGTAGAGATGGGGTTTTGCCTTGTTGGCCAGGCTGGTCTCGAACTCCTGACCTCAGGTGATCTGCCTGCCTCGGCCTCCCAAAGTGCTGGGATTACAAGCATGAGCCACCACGCCCGGTCAGTACTTTTCTTTTTGTGACTGGCTTATTTAACTTAACGGGATGTCCTCAATGTTCATCCATGTTGTAGCATGTGTCAGAATTTCCTTCCTTTTTAAGGCTGAATAATATTCCATTGTGTGTCTATACCATATTTTGCTTATCCATTCATCCCTCAGTGGACACTTGGGTTGCTTCCATGTTTTAGCTATTCTGAATAATGCTGCTATGAACATGGGTGTCCAAATATCTCTTTCAGTCCCTGCTTTTAATTCTTTTGAATATATATGCAGAAGTGAAATTGCTGGGTTAGAACATAATTCTATTTTTAATTTTTTGAGGAACTGCCACACTGTTTTCCACAGCCGCTGTACCTCTTTACATTCCCACTAAGAGCACACAAGGGTTCCAGTTTCTCTCCATCCTGGACAATACTTGTTACTTTATGTTTTTTTGATAGTAGCCATCTTAATGGGTATGCAGTGGTATCTCATTGTAGCTTTGATTTGAATTACCCTAACAATTAGTGATGTTGAGCATCTTTTCATATGCTTATTGGCTATTTGTCTACTTCTCTTCTTTGGAGAAATATCTATTCAAGTCTTTTGCCCATTTTTTAAAACTGGGTTGTTCGTTTTTTGTTGAGTTTTAGGAGTTCTCTCTCTATATATCTTCTGCATATTAATCCCTTGTCAGATATATGATTTGCAAATATCTTCTCCCATTCTGTGGGCCGCCTTTTTACTGTGTTTATATAGTCCTTTAATGCACATAATTTTTAAATTTTCATGAACTGCAATTTGTCTATTTTTTCTTTTGTTGCCTGCCAAATCCAAGTCATGAAGCTTTTGCTCTATTTTTTCTTCTAAGAGTTTTACAGTTTTTAGGTCTTATATTTAGGTCTTTGATCCATTTTGAGTTACTTTTTATGTATAGTTTTAGATATGGGTTTTACTTCATTTTTTTTTGCATTTGGATATCCAGTTTCCCCAACACCACTTATTATATTTAAAAGACTGTCCTTTCACCATTGAATACTCTTGTCACCCTTATCAGAATTATTTTACTGTATATATGAGAGCTTGTTTCTGAGCTATTTCATTTCAGCTGAAAACACTCTCTTTCCTTGGGTTCCATGACATTACATGCTCCTGGATTTCCTCCTCCTTTCTGGGCTGCTCATTTCCAGTCTTCTTTGTGGGCTCCTCTTAATCTGTCTTGGGCCATGCACCCTGTTTCTTGGTTTTAGGTGCCATCCCTTCTTTTTTTTTTTTTTTTTGAGACCGAGTCTCACTCTGTTGCCCAGGCTGGAGTGCAGTGGTGTGATCTCAGCTCACTGCAACCTCTGCCTCCTGGGTTGAAGCAATTCTCCTGCCCCCACCTCCCCAGTAGTTGGGATTATAGGTGTGTGCCACCACACCCAGCTAATTTTTGTTTTGTTTGGTTTGGTTTTGTTTTGTTTGGTTTTTTGAGTCAGAGTCTTGCTCTGTCGCCAGGCTGGAGTGCAATGGTGCGACCTCCGCTCACTGCAACCTCCGCCTTCCTGGTTCAAGCAATTCTCCTGCCTCAGCCTCCCGAGTAGCTGGGACTACAGGCACGCACGACCACACCCAGCTAATGTTTGTATTTTTTTAGTAGAGACAGGGTTTCACCATGTTGGCCAGGATGGTCTCAATCTCTTGACCTCATGATCCTCCCGCTTCGGCCTCACAAAGTGCTGGGATTACAGGTGTGAGCCACCGTGCCCAGCCTCAGGTGTTTCTTTATGGCAATGTGAGAACAGACTAATACAGCGGAACTTCTTGCTTCCTCCTTCATTATATTCCACGCGCTGGAGTTATAGTGATATTTCTAAAAGATGCTTCTAAGCATGTCTTTCTCCTTCTCAAAAGCTTTCATAAAATAAAGTCCATTCTCTCAATGTTAGTTTACAAAACCCTTCCAAAAGAAACTGCTGTTCATCTCTTGTCAGAAATTCCCTAACGCTCCACTGGAATAAACTTTGTGTTTTTGTTTTTTTTTTTTCCGAGATGGAGTCTCGCTCTATTGCCCAGGCTGAAGTGCAGCGGTGCGATCTCGGCTGATTGCAACCTTTGCCTCCCGGGTTCAAGTGATTCTCCTGCCTCAGTTTACAAGCGTGCACCAACACACCCAGCTAATTTTTGTATTTTTAGTAGAGATGCGTTTTCACCATGTTGGTCAGGCTGGTCTCAAACTCCTACCCTCAGGTGATCTGCCCGCCTCGGCCTCCCAAAGTGCTGGGATTACAGGCACGAGCCACCACACCTGGCCTGAACTTTGAACTCAGCCTCCATTGCTCTCTGCTGCCACCAGGTCTCCTTCAGTGTTATTTCTTTTCCCTGGACATTGCCACCACAACCACCCCACCCCTTTAGCTTAGCTAACTCCCATTCTTCTTCTAGGTGTCACCTGAGAAGTCTCTTTCTCTCCCCTGAACCACCGACTCTGGCATGGCCACCCTCCTGTGTTCCTCCATGGCACCGTGTGCTTCCCCACTCACAGTGTTTCTAAGGACCTTGTGACAATGGACCGTGTCCGTCTTGCTCCCCACTGAAGCTCCAGCACATAGGAGGGGTACAATAAAAATGTGTAGCATGAGTGAAGGATTGACAAAATCTTAAGCTGGCATCGCCTTTTTGGGATACTATTTGGCTATATGAAATGAGAGCCTGTCCTTTATAGATGTCATCTCTGGACAGTCAGAAGAAACAGAGAGGACTTGAAGTTCACGCTGTGGAGTTAGACTGCCTGAGCTCAAACCCTGGCTCTGCCACTTACTGGTTGTGTGGCCTTAGTGGGTCACTTTACTTCTCTATGCCTCCTCTTCCTCCTCAGTGAAATGGGGGATAATAATAGTACCTACTTTTAAGTTGTTATGAGGATTAAGTGAGTTAGTAAAGTGGCTGACATGTAGTGTGGGCTCAGTAAATGTAATCCATTCTTATCCACTAGAATGTAAGTTCCATAATGGTAACCAGGGTTTGTGTCTTGTTTCGTTTGCTGCTGTATAAAAACAGGGCATAGAACCAAATAGGTGCTTAAACAATATTTATTAAATAGGGCCAGGCGCGGTGGCTCACACCTGTAATCCTAGCACTTTGGGAGGCTGAGGCGGGCAGATCACAAGGTCAGGAGATTGAGACCATCCTGGATAACACGATGAAATCCCGTCTCTACTACTAACACAAAAATTAGCTGGGCGTGGTGGCGGGCGCCTGTAATCCCAGCTACTCGGGAGGCTGAGGCAGGAGAATCACTTGGACTCGGGAGGTGGAGGTTGCAGTGAACTGAGATCACACCACTGCACTCCAGCCTGGGCAACAAAGCAAGACTATGTCTCAAAAAAGAAAAACTTAAATAAACGAGTAAATAGGCAAAATTCATATAAAATCATTTTTTTAGATGGGGTCTCTCTGTTGCCCAGGTTGGAGTGCAGTGGTCTAATCACAGCTCATTGCAGCCTCAAACTCCGGGGCTCAAGTGATCCTCCCACCTCAGCCTCCCAAATAGCTGGGATTACAGGTGTGCACCACCATGCCTGGCAAAGTTTTCAATTTTTCTGTAGAGACAGGGTCTTGCTATGGTGCCCAGGCTCGTCTCAAACTCCCAGATCCTTGTCTTGGCCTCCCAAAGTACTGGGATTATAGGCATGCACCACTCTGTGCTTGTAATTTTGCTCTTTAAGACTATTGAAATAGTATGACATTACATATTGTCACACTATTTCATTATATACATGGTTAATTTTTTAAAATAATATTTACATAGGGCTTATAGTATGCTAAGTACTGCGCTAAGTGCTTTACATAAATTAACTCCTATAATTTTTATAATAATGCAATTAGATAAGTACTGTTCCCATTTTTGGATGAGCTAACTGAGACACAAGAGTTTGCATTTACTCAAAGTCACTTACCTAGTGAATAAAGGAGCCGGGATTCAAACCCAAATAGTCTGTTTCAGCATGCTGGTTCTTGACCTCTATCTGTATAGCCTTAATGAGCTAAGGGCAAAAATATTCGGGGAACTAGGAGACAACTTTTTTTTAATCTAGTACTTGGAAAGTTTTCCAAAGGAAAGCACAAAAGTCATGAAGCAAAACTTGGGCAAACTTAATTACATAAAAAATGAAAATGTCTGCATTACTGAATACTCTGTAAACCAAGCTAAAAGACAAATGACAGCCTGCAATTATTTTCAATTGCAACATCTAAAACAGAGAAGGAATCAATATCTAGATGATATATAAAGATTGTGACAGTAACAAAAGAAGAAAATTACATTTTAAATGAGCAAAGATAACGAATAGGAAATTCAGAGACTACTTGATCAATAAGCATGAAAAGGTGTCTAGGGAAATTAAATCAAAACAAGAAAAGCAAATTAAAATGAAATTTTTTTAACCCATCAAATTAGTGAAATTGACAAAGTTTGTTACTATTCAATGTCTATGTGATGGTTAGTTTTTTTTGTTGTTTGTTCTTTTTTTTTTTTTTTTTTTTTTTTTTTTGAGATAGAGTCTTACTCTGTTGCCCAGGCTGGAGTGCAGTGGTGCGAACTCAGCTCACTGCAAGCTCTGCCTCCTGGGTTCACGCCATTCTCCTGCCTCAGCCTCCTGAGTAGCTGGGACTACAGGTGCCTGCCCCTACACCCGGCTAATTTTTTGTATTTTTAGTAGAGACAGGGTTTCACCGTGTTAGCCAGGATGGTCTCGATCTTCTGACCTTGTGATCTGCCTGCCTTGACCTGGGATTACAGGCGTGAGCCATCGTGCCCGGCCATGATGGTTAGTTTTATGTGTCAACTTGACTGGGTCAAGGGGTGCCCAGATAGTTGGTCCAACATTATTCATAGTGTTTCTGTGAGGGTATTTTTCGATGAGATTAACATTTAAGTTGGTACACTTGGAATAAAGCAGATTGCCTTTCATAATGTGGGTGGGCCTCATTCAATTAGTTGAAGGCCTGAACAGAACAAAAGATGCCAACTGCACCCTATCCCCATGGAGCAGAAGAGAATTCTCCAGCAGAGTGATGAGTGACCATGAACTTGAACTGGAATATCGGCTCTTCTGTTTCTCCAGACTGGTGGCTCACCCTGCAGATCTGGGACTTGCCAGCCTCCATAATCACATGAGCCAAGCAATTATATATGTATAATAAGTTCCTGATAGTAATTTCTTATTTATCAACAGAGTTATATCAAGATACATAGATACAATCTCCTATTGGTTATGTTTCTCTGCAGAACCCTGAATAATATAGTCTATTAATAATTCAGTCCTGGCTGGGCATGGTGGCTCACGCCTGTAATCCCAGCACTTTGGGAGGCCGAGGCAGGCAGATCACCTGAGGTCAGGAGTTCGAGACCAGCCTGGCCTACATGGTGAAACCCCATCTCTACTAAAACTACAACAATTAGCTGGGCGTGGTGGCATGTGCCTGTAATCTTAGCTACCCAGGATGGTGAGGCAGGAGAATCGCTGGAACCCAGGAGGCAGAGGCTGCAGTGAGCCGAGAACACACCACTGCATTCCAGCCTAGGAGACAGAGCAAGACTCCATCTCAAAAAAAAAAAAAAAAAAAAAAAAAAAAAATCAGTCCTGGAAGAAGTGCCAAATGTTAAAAATAAAAATAATTCAGGAAAGCGGGCACAGCCACACATATATACAGCAGAATAATACTTGGCTGGGCACGGTGACTCATGCCTCTAATCCCAGCACTTTGGGAGGCCAAGGCGGACGGATGGCTTGAGCCCAGGAGTTCAAGACCAGCTTGGGCAATATGGTGAAACCCTGTCTTTACAAAAAATACAAAAATTAGCTGGGTGTGGTGGTGCACACCTGTAATCCCAGCTACTCAGGAGGCTGAGGTTGGAGGATGACTTGAGCATGGGAGGTCAAGGCTGCAGTGAGCCATCATCATACCACTAGACTCCAGCCTGGGCAACAGAGCCAGACTTGTCTCAAAAACAAACACTAAAAAGCATAGTAATACTCAGTATAGGATACACTGATAAAGTAGAGGCTGTGGTCCAAGGTGAGAGGCTTAGTAATGCTATAGCCTTTCTCTTCTGCCCTAAATCATACAAATGAAAGAAAAAATATGTTTATAAACCCTTTATTTTGGTGGGAACAAAGAATGGCTTTCCTCAGGCCAGAAACTAGTAGGACACCCTGAAAGCCAGAACTAGATTGGCTAACAGGATATGTCAGTCCAAAGATGAGTATACAAGAATCCCAAACATTTGAGGAGTTCTAAAATCATGAAAAAGAGAGGCACAATGGAGACAGAAGAAGCCCCAACAAAACAGAGTAAATAGAGCAATCAGAATAGGACTATAGGATGGTATGGTGGCTCACACCTGTCATCTCAGCATGAGGCAGGAGGATCACTTGAGCCCAGGAGTTTGAGACCAGCCTGGGCAACACAGTGAGGCCCTATCTCTATAAAATAAAATAAAATAAAATTTAAAAAGAAGAAGACTTTAGAAACATTAGCATCCCCAGAGATGAAAGACGATATTGCATCATAGACAATAGTTAGCTAAAGAGCTTGGAAGTTAAAAACAGTCTGAAATAGGCCAGGCACCGTGGCTTAAGCCTGTAATCCCAGCATTTTGGGAGGCCAGGGCGGATGAATCACTTGAGATCAGGAGTTTGAGACCAGTTACAATGGTGAAACCTCATCTCTACTAAAAATACAAAAAATTAGCTGGGCATGGTAGCAGGCACCTGTAATCCCAGCTACTTGAGAGGCTGAGGCAGGAGAATCACTTGAACCTGGGAGGCAGAAGTTTCAGTGAGTCGAGATCGCGCCACTGCACTCCAGCATGGGTGACAGAGTGAGACTCCATCTCAAAAACAAACACACACACACACACACACACACACACACACACACAAACTTAGTCTGAAATAAAATCTTCAAGAACCACATAGCAGCAGAGAGGCAGGTTAAGTGTACAACTTGGTGGTCCTCCCCTTCTAGGAGGTCACCAGGTAGATGCTGAACTTAGTGTGGACACCCAGTTAGCACAGTGCACTACAGCCTAGAACTCCTGGGCTCAAGCAACCCTCCCACCTCAGCCTCCTGAGTAGCTGGAACCACAGGCATGTGCCACAGTGCCTGGCCTTTGTTTCTGAATTTATAAGATGGAGAAAGTTGTACTCAAGGATATCAAAGGTCTCTTCCAACTAAAAATGTCCTAGAATCTTAGACTCTCTTTTAGTGGACTCTGAGTCATAAGGCAATCAAGCAAAGAAAGAAAGCAGAACACTGAACCCATCAAACAACCCTCACTTCTCAATGGAGAGCTACGCAAAGGAAATTGCCCTGCCTCATTCCTGCCCAAGTTCTACTTCATCCCACTTCTTCCCCTTCCGTGGCTTGGCCTTCAGCTCCCTCCCTTCCCTCTGCCCTGTCTCTTGTCCCTATGACTTCTCTGTCTCTTCCCCCTGTGCCTGCCTCAGTCACCAGTCACTCAAACCCTCTTCCTACTTCATGTCCAGACCATCTTGTTCCTCTGGCCAGTTTCTCTTCTTCCCAACTCCCTGCCTGGACCACCTCCACCCCGGCTTATACCCCTGCTCCTCCCACCACCTGCCTTCCTCCACTCCCTCTCTCTTCCATTTGCTGCCTCTTCCAACTTGCTCCCCTCTTCTCCCACACCCCTCCCTTTACCCCTGCCCCACTTCCTCACCCTACTTCTTCCACCTGCTGCATGAGCCTTGGGCCCAGATAGGCCTCTTCTGCTCCTGCTAGGACATCTGCCCCAACAAGCCCTCACCAGGCCTGGTGATTCCCACACTCCACTGGGCATGCCCTCTGTCCCTACCAGTGAGAACCTGGCTTGTCCCAGAGCTCCTGGGAATGTGATACCCAGCATCCTGGTGACCCAGTGAACATGGAAGACACTGGATGATGACCAGCAGACATACAGCGTGGAGGGGCATCTTCCTCAGATAAAGGCCTCTTTTCCAAGACTGGGTTCTCAGCCACCACCATGTCTTGGTTATCTTGCTGCCTGAGGTTAGCGTGTGCCTCCATTCCCATTCCTTACATCAAATTTAAGTGGAGATCTTATTATTTGTACATGACAGATACTATAGGGATTAAAGTGCAGGAAAAATTGCAAGTAGACTCTGAATTCTGATTATTCCTATTCGTTTCAACAGTTAGGTCATGGGCACTCTGATAACACACACAGACACAGACCATCTTGCACAAATGGTTCACTGTTGCTGTCAGTGAAACAACCAGGTTTCCATCCAAGTCCTGGGGCTTGCTTCACAGAAAGCCAATGACTAAGACAACAAGTACTGACAGGGAAGAAGGCTTTTAGGCTTTAACTGGGTGCTGCAGCCAAGAAGATGGGAGCTCAATCTCCAATCTATCTCCTTAACTGGTTAAAATTAGGGGTTTATATAGCAGGGAAGAAATACAACAATTTGTTGGAAAACAGGAACTAGGGAGGGGTAAGGAAACAAAACCAGGGGTCTGGCATCTCATTATTTGGATGAGGCAATCTGGTGAGTTTCAGTTCTTTGATACTTTCCAAGAGGCCTCAGGGTCCTTTCTGGAGGAAGGAACTCAGATAAAAGGAATATAAGTTTCAAGCTTTCAGACCAGAAGGGTCAATTTCTATGTTTATCCAAGGTCGATTTCAATTTTTTTTTTTTTTGAGGCAGAGTCTTGCTGTGTTGCCCAGGCTGGAGTGCAGTGGCACGATCTTGGCTCACTGCAACCTCCGCCTCCTGGGTTCAAGCGATTCTCCTGCCTTGGCATCCCAAGTAGCTGGGACTACAGGTGCACACCACCACGCCCAGCTAATTTTTTGTATTTTTGGTAGAGGTGGGGTTTCACCTTGTTAGCCAGGATGGCCTCGATCTCCTAACCTCGTGATCCGCCCACCTTGGCCTCCCGAAGTGCTGGGATTACAAGCATGAGCCACTGCGCCTGGCCCAATTTCTATGTTTATCTCAAAGAATTGTCTATAGGACTGTGGGATCGGTTTCATTACCATTACCCAATACAGAGGGACCAGCCTGGAAATGTCAGGCAGCTGTAGCCTGATGGTGGTGTGAATGGAATACTCCTAAGAAGTTGTGTTTTCCCTGTCCTTTTATATAATCCAGACAACTCGATTTGGATCGCTTGATTTACTTCTATGTCATATTTATCCAATAAAGTCCATTTGGCCATAGAACACATTTAATCTTGGGATGAGGAAACATTCTTATTTTAACCCCTTAGGAGCAGAGGACTGAGCTTATCATTTCCCCCAGTTCACAACCTACTTTTATCATTGGCCTGGGCAAGGCCTCTGTTTTGTTTTATTTATTTACTCACTTTCATACCCATTTCTCACTTCTACCACCTTCTTTTAAAAAAACTCTCAAAATATTTTGATATGAATTTGTATCTATTCTTGTAAAATATGTGGTGTCATTTTGTGGCCATATCTTTAGTTTTTGCACATATTATGCTCTAGATTTCATTTTTTCTATCTTGTCACCCAGCACTCTATTTTTAAGATCTGTCGATGTGTGCATATGTCATCTGTGCTTCTAACTTCTGCACTGCATCCTTAGGGTGTCTCCTCCACATTGTCCTCATTCATTTCCCCAGTGGTGGACACAACCTAGGTTGCCTTCAACTCTGACCATGATGGACAGTTCTGAACTGTATACATGCCCACTTCTGATACATGTGAGAGTTCTCTGGGGTAGGTACCCACCACTGGGAGCACTGGATTGGAGGGCTGAGTTAGAGAAGAAGGCAGGGGCCTACCCTTAGAAAGACCATCACTTGACTTTCTTGAGTAATATCCAGGTACTGACAGGGACAGGAAGCAGAGAAATTCTAGGCAGAAAAGGGTCCCCAGAGAAACCCTACCCTCAAACTGAAAAGCCTAAACCACAGCCAAAAGTGAGAACTTATATCCCAGTTTTCCTGCTCAAATGTTGCCTTTTCCTAAACCACCATGGCCCTGCCCTGCTCCATCCTGTGCATATAAAAACCCCAGACTCAGCCAGTATATGGGACTATGGCTGGATGTTGGAGAGAAGCAGCTTGACTTCAGAGAGACAGCTTGATGGTATAATTTCAGAGAAGAATCTGGCTGGAGACAGCTGGACTCCAGGGGAAGATTACCAATCCTCCATCCCCTTTTCAGCTTCCCTTCCCACTGAGAGCCACTTTCATTGGCAATAAAATCCCCCACATTTACCGTCCTTCAATTCCTTCGTGAGACCTCATTTTTCCTGGATACTGGACAAGAGCTTGGGAGCCACGAATGCAGATACAAAAGGCTGCCACACTGGCCCTTTGCTCTCCCTGGCGGAGGGCAGCCGCCCCATGTGACAAGGCAAAGGGCCCACTGAGCTGTTAACACTTAAGCCATCCACAGACAGCAGAGCTAAAAGAGCACTACAACACGCACCCTGGGGCTTCAGGGGTCACAGGCAGCCCCACCTGGAAGCTGCCATGGGGCCTGCATGGAATTTGCTCCTGCCGGTGCCAGAGTGGCCGGCCAGTTTCAGCCACTCTAGTCCACTCATGCACTCCAGTTCCACCTGGTTCACTTGCACGCTCCCTCCTGTGAGGAGTTGAGAGTGGCAGGCTGAGTAAACAAGGCATCCCTGTCACGAGTCCCATGAAGGGGTCAGGGAAATATCCTGCTTCTGTACCATCTCATTCATATCCCAGGAATAATCCACGAAAATCTATTCTGACCACCAAGGCTTTCCCACTTTGAGAATCCACCTCCCGCAGGAAGAGGGAAGGTTTCCAGTGTTTCCATCCAAGCTATGATCAAAAGACCCCTGCCCTGGAATTTATAAGGTAATGGGGTTTGGGAGGTGATGGTGGTCTAGATCCTACACAACTGTAGACATCTGATTTTCAGATGATATATGTTGTAGGTGATTAGTGACTGGGCTGGTGGCACGGATCGTAAGAAGAATTTACCAAGATAGTTGTAGGTAAAAAAGGCAGATTTATTAGAGAAAGTATGAAAATATGTTGCAAGGGTACAATGGGCAGGCCAGCCAGAAAGGAGCTGACTGCAAAGAGACAAAGGCTTACTGGGGATTTTATAGGATGGTGCTGTGTGCTGAAGAGGGCTTTGTACAGTATTGATAATGCCCTGGTTACAGAGAGCTCACGTGCAGGTGTCTGGTGATAAGTTGGGCGCAGGAAGATTGTGAGTTATTTGCGCTGGGCCATGAAGAAAGGCAGATGTATAGCTTATCTGCTTTTTCTTTTAACCTTCCCTCTGTCCTGCCAGCCTGATTCATTTTCCCTAATTAGGAATCCACAATATATTTTTAAATTTTTTTGTAGAGATAGGATCTCACTGTGTCACCCAGGTTCATCTTGAACTCCTATCCTCAAGCAATCCTCCTGCCTCAGCCTCCCAAATTGCTGGGATTACAGATGTGAGCCACCATGCCCAGTCTCAGATGATATTTTAAAAACAGACATAACTGAGGTATAATTTACATGAAATAGAATGCACCCATTTAAAGGGTACAGTTTGATGTATTCTGATAAATGTATACACCTATGGAGCCACCATTCAGATACAGAACATTTTCATCATCCCCCCAAACTCCTTTGTGATCCTTTGTAGTCAATATCTCCACCCACCCCAAATCCTCAGGCAACACTAACTGACATTTTGTCCCTATAGGTTAGTCTTGTGTGTTCTAGAATGTCATTTAACAGTATTTACCTTTTGTGCTTGATATCTTTCATTCAGTATTGTTTTTGCAATACATTTATTTTGTTGCCTGCAGTGCAGAGGATTGGTTCTCGGAAGCCACAGATAACAAAATGCTTGGATGCTCAAGTCCTTTAAGTAAAATGTCATAGTATTACATGTAACCTACACACATCCTCCTGTATACTTTAAATCATCACTTGATTATTTATAATACCTAATATAATGTAAATTCTATGTAAATAGTTGTTATACTGTATTGTTTTTATTTGTATTATTTTTGTCTTGTTTTGTTTTGTTTTGTTTTTGAGACTGAGTCTCCTCTGTCACCCAGGCTGGAGTGCAGTGGTGCAATCTCGGCTCACTGCAACCTTTGCCTCCCAGGTTCAAGAGATTCTCCTGCCTCAGTCTCCCGATTCCAGGGTGGACCACCATGCCCAGCTAATTTTTGTATTTTTAGTAGAGACAGGGTTTTGCCATATTGGCCAGGCTGGTCTCGAACTCCTGACCTCAAGTGATCTGCCCACCTCGGCCTCCCAAAGTGCTGGGATTACAGGCATGAGCCAACCCACCTAGACTTATTTGTATTATATTTATTGTATGTTTATTTTTTAAAACATTTTTTATCTGTGGTTGATTGAATCTGCGGATGCAGAACCTGTGGGTATGGAGGACTAACTGTATTATCAGAATTCGTTCCCCTTAGTGCTGAGTATTATCGCATTATTGTAATACACCACAGATTGTTTTTTCACTGCACCTATTGCTAGATGTGACAGTTTCAATGTGTGGCCTTTCAACTCCAAATCTACCCTTCATTGCCTGTTCTGCATAGTGGCATAGCCCCATTAACCATGTCTCCTTTGCAGTGAGAACAGTGTTGGGTTTTGTCAGTAGATGGCGCTGGTAGGACACTGCTGGAGGGAGAAACTTCTGGAGCCAGTGTGCTTCACTGAGAAAGAGAAGTTTTGCTTCTCTTTCTCCACTAGTGCGCTGCTGCGAGGGGCAAATGCATGGGGACATCCATTAGGGTTCTGCCCTGGCTGTGCGTCCCCAGCACGTTCATGCCTCTGAGCTCACAGCCCCAGCCGTAGCCCTGTGCCCACCTCCCACAGCCCTCCCCACATGGACTCTACCCATCTCAGGCTTTGTACGGAGGTGAGCGGCCCTGGCCCTCTGACTCCCTGTGTGCCAGCTGCCAGCATGGCCCGCCAGCTCCCTGCAGGGTTTCCATGCCTCCCAGGCCTTCGATGACTCTGCCTGCGAGTAGGTTCCTGATTCTGACTCTCCCTGTGCATACGCCTGCCAGCCTTGCCTGCCTGTACCTGGGGGTGTTGCCTTGCTTACCTGAGACTCTAGACCAGGTTTGGGCTGGGAAACCCAGCACACTTCTTCACATCACATTCATTACACGTTTTCCAACAAGGTTCGAATCCCAGCTTTAAGGAGAGGGCCTTCTTCCAATGTGTTCCTTTCTTGGGCACTCTCCTTCAGCCTTAGGATAGTCTTTAGAGTTCCGTTTACACCTTCAGAATTACTCCTCTGCTAGAATTAATCTTTTTTTAAAAAAATAAATTTTAATATATATGTAAGGTACACAACATGATGTTATATAAGATGCATATATATAGTAACATGGTTACTATAGTGGAACAAATTAACATATCCATCATCTCACATAGTTACTCATTTTCTCCCCTGTGGCAAGAACAGCTATAATCTACTCATTTAGCAAAAATCCTGAATAAAATACACTATTATTAACTAGAGTCCTTATGTTGTACCTTAGGTCTTTCCATTTGTTCATCCTACATATCTGCTGCTTTGTATCCTTCGACCTACATTCCCCATTTCCTTCCCCACCACACCGACCCTGGTAACCACCGTTTTATTCTCTATCTCTGTATATTTGACTTTTTTTTAGATCCCACATATAAGTAAGATCATATATTTTTCTTTCCGTGTCTGGCTTATTTAGCATAATGTCCTTCAACTTCTTTCACGTTGTGGCAAATAGCAGGATCTCCTCCTTTTTAAAGGCGAATAATATTCCATTATTCCATTATATATAACATATATATAACTGTTATATATATATATAACTGGTTTATATATATCAGTTATATATATATATATGTTTATCCATTCATCATTGTTTCTATATCTTACCTGTAAGATATAGAACATTATCTTATAGGTAAAATAATGTGAATAATGCTGAAATAAACATGGGAGTTCAGATACCTTTATGAGGTGGTGATTTTATTTCCTTTGGGTTTATATGCAGAAGAGGGATTGCTGGGTCATATGGTTTTTTGTTTGTTTGTTTGTTTTGTTTTGTTTTGTTTTGTTTTTGAGATGGAGTCTCGCTCTGTCGCCCAGGCTGGAGTGCAGTGGCGCAATCTCAGCTCACTGCAAGCTCTACCTCCTGGGTTCACGCCATTGTCCTGCCTCAGCCTCCCGAGTAGCTGGGACTACAGGCGCCCGCCACCACGCCTGGCTAATTTTTTGTGTTTTTAATAGAGACGGGGTTTCACCGTATTAGCCAGGATGGTCTCGATCTCCTGACCTCGTGATCCGCCTGCCTTGGCCTCCCAAAGTGCTGGGATTACAGGCGTGAGCCACCGCACCCGGCCCATATGGTATATTTTAATTGGGATCATATGGTTATATTTTAACTTCTTTAGGAACTTCCTTACTGTTTTCCATAATGGCTGTACCAATTTACATTCAACCGTGTATAACCGTTCCCTTTTCTCCACACCCTTGCCAACGCTTGTTATCTCTTATGTTTCTGATAACAGCTATCCTAACACATGTGAGGTGCTATCTCATAATGTTTCTGATTTGTATTTCCTTGATGATTAGTGATGTTGAGCACCTGTTCATGCACTTGGTAGCCATTATTATGTCATCTTTGGAGAAATGGCTATTCAGATTTTTTGCCCCCCCCCCTTTTTTTTTTTTGAGATGGAGTCTTGCTGTCACCCAGGCTGGAGTGCAGTGGCGCAATCTTGGCTCACTGCAGCCTCCACCTCCCAGGTTCAAGTGATCCTTCTGCCTCAGCCTCCCAAGTAGCTGGGATTACAGGAACGCATCACCATGCCTGGCTAATTTTTGTATTTTTAGTAGAGACGGGGTTTCACCATGTTGGCCAGGCTGGTATTGAACTCCTGACCTCAGGTGATCCACCCGTCTTGGCCTCCCAAAATGCTGAGATTACAGGTGTGAGCCACCTCGCCCGGCCTGGTTGTATGAGTTATTTATAAAGCTTGGATATTAACCCTTTATATGATATGTGGTTTCCAAATATTTTTCTCAATCTGTAGGTTGTCATTTCCTTTTGTTGATTGTTTACTTTGCTGTGCAGAAGGCTTTCAGTTTTAAATAGTCCCATTTATTTGTTTTTGCTTTTGTAGCCTGAGCTTTTGGTGTGACATCCAAGAAATCACTGCCAAGACTAATGTCAAGGAGACTTTCTCTTATGTTTTCTTCTAGGAGTTTTACGGTTTCAGATCTTACATTTAGGGCTTTTACTCATTTTGAGTTGAATTTTTTGCCTGGTGTAAGATAAAGGTCCAGTTTCATTCTATTGCTTGTGAAAATCCTGTTAATAATTTTTATATTAAAATTTTCTTCAAATTACTGTGTGGTTTCTATATTCTGATTGAACCCTAACAGATGTATTAGACATTTGTATTGTTTCCAATTTGGGGCTATTGTGAATGAAGGGTTATATGTTTTCTTGCTATTGAGTTGTATGAGTTCTTTATAAATCTTGACTATATGATTTATAAAGAAGCTGCCATAAACATTCTTGTCTTTGTGCAGAAATATGTTTTCATTTTTCTAATAAACACCTAGGAGTGGAACTTCTGGGTCATGTGACAAGTACATGTTTACCATTATAAGAAATTGTCAATCCTTTCCCAAAATTGTTGCACAATTTTATATTTCCATCAAAAATGCTGCTCCATATACTTGCCAACACTTAATATTGCCAGTCATTAATTTTAGGCATTCTGTGGATATGCAGTTTCCTGATGGCTAATGATGATGAGTATCCTTTCATGTGCTTATGTATATCTCCTCTTGTGATTGTCTGTTCAAATCTTTTTACTTCAGTTGTCTTGTTATTGTCATCTTGTTATGAGTCTTAAATGGTATATTTCAAAAAGGGAATAAAATTAATATTTATGATATCCAATATATCTTTTTAATTTTATTTTAGGGTCAGTGCTTTTTATATTCTCAGAAATTATTGTCTGTCATAAAGTTGTGAAAATGTTTTCCTATATTTTATTCTAGGAGTTTTCTAATTTTAGCTTTTATGTTTAGGTCTATGGGGTTCGTTTTTGTACATAGTGTAAAGTAGGATCAAGGTCTGTATTTTTCCATCTAAATATCCTGTTGCTGCACCATTTGATGAAAAGATTATTGGGCCGAGTGCAGTGGCTCACACGTGTAATCTCAGCACATTGGGAGGTGGAGGCGGGTGGATCACCTGAGGTCAGGAGTTCGAGACCAGCCTGGCCAACATGGTGAAACCCCGTCTCTACTAAAAATACAAAAATTAGCCGGGCGTGGTGGCACATGTCTGTAATCCCAGCTACTCAGGAGGCTGAGGCAGGAGAATCGCTTGAACCTGAGAGGCGGAGGTTGCAGTGAGCTGAGATCATGCCACTGCACTCCAGCCTGGGTGACAGAGCAAGACTCTGTCTCAAAAAAGAAAAAAGAAAAGAAAAGAAAAAATTACTTTGGCATCTTTGTTGGAAATCAATTGATCTATTAATCGATTTCAGCAATCTCTGTTCTGTTCTATTGATATAATGTCTATTCTTAGGCCAATACCATTGTTACTTTATAATAAGTCTTGCCATCAGGTAGCATAAGTCTTTCAACTTGGTTCTCCTTTTTCAAAATTGTTTTTACTATTGAAGGTCTTTTGTATTCCAAATATATTTTAGTATCAGCATGTCAATTTCTACAAAAAGCCTGCTGAGATTTTTATGGAAAGTGCATTGTATCTAGGGATCAATTTGGGTAGAACTGACAGCTTAACAATATTGTTTTTTTAAGTCCATGAACATGGTATAACTCTCCATAAAGTTAACTCTTTAGATCTTTAATTTCTCTCAGCAGTGCTTACTATTTTCCAGTGTATAGGTCTTAGATTTTGTTAAATTTACCCCTAAGTTATTCATGTTTTTACATGCTAGTGTAAAAATTATTGCTTTTAAATGTTATTTTCTAAAGTTATTTTTAATAGTATATAGAAATAACATTGATATTTGCTTATTGGCTTCATTTCCTGAGTCTTTGACAAATTTATTTTAGTTTCTTTCCCTTAGACGTTTCTGTGTACACAATCAAGCCATCTGTTAATAAAGGCAACTTTACTTCTGTGTGAATCTATATACCTTTTATTTATCTCTTATACCCCATTACCATATTGACTAAGACTGCCAGTACAATGTTGAATAGAAATAGTAAAAGCAGACATTCTTTTCTTATTCCTGATCTTAGGGGGAAAGTGTCCAGTTTTCATCATTATGTATCACGTTAGCTCTAAGTTTTTCATAAATGCCCTTTTGGGGGTTAAGGAAGTTTTTTCTATTTCTATTTGTCAAGAGTTTTTTTTTTTTTTTTTCATTATAAATGAGTATTGAATTTGGTCAAATTCTTTTTTTTTTTTTTTTTTTTTTTTTTTTTTTTGAGATGGAGTTTCGCCCAGGCTGGAGTGCAGTGGCCAGCTTACTGCAACCTCCGCCTCCCAGGTTCAAGCAATTCTCCTGTCTCAGCCTGCCGAGTAGCTGGGACTACAGGCTCCTGCCACCATGCCTGGCTAATTTTTTGTATTTTTAGTAGAGACAGGGTTTCACTGTGCTAGCCAGGATGGTCTCGATCTCCTGACCTTGTGATCCGCCCGCCTCAGCCTCCCAAAGTGCTGGGAGGCCCGCACCTGGCCTGGTCAAATTCTTTTTATGCATCTATCGAGATGATCACATGCTTTTCTCCTTGTTTTCCATTTGTGTTATCATTCTTTGTTCCTTTTTTCTGCTTTTCCTACCTACTCTTAGATTGTATATTTTTAGTATTGCAACTTATCTCCATTGTTTGACTAATTGTTTATTTTTTTCTTTTTATTTCTAGTGTTTGTGCATTTTAACCACAGTCTACCTTTCAATATTATATGTAACTTCAAATACAATGTAAAAACATAGTATACTTCTGTTTTTCCTGTCCCATTCCTTATGTTATTGTTACCATACAGTTTTCTTCTACATAAGTTATTCACCCCAAAATAAATGGTTGTTGTTTTTTATTTGTTTGTTTTTGCTCAAAGCAATTATCTTCTAAGAAAATAAAAAGTATTTTATATTTACACATGTATTTCTGGTGCTCTTCATTCTTTTGTATAGGTCTGAATTCCATTTGGTATCATTTTCCTTCAGCCTGAATAATTTGCTTTAATATGTTTTAAAGTGAAAAATTATGGCAACAAATTCTCTCAACTCATCCCCAGCCCCAAGCAATCACTAATCTACTTTTTGTCTCTATAGATTTGCCTTTTATGGACATTTCCTATAAATGGAATCATACAATATATGATTTTTTTGTGACTGGCTTTTTTTGCTTAGCAAAATGTTTTCAAGGCCATCCATGTTGTAGCATGTATCAGTACTTCTTTCCTTTTTATTGCTAAATAATATTACATTGTATGGACATACCATGTGTTTAGCCATTCAACAGGTGATACACATTTGGGATATTTCCACTTTTTGGGTATAATGAATAATACTGCTAGGAACATTCATGTACAAGCTTTTGTGTGGACATATGTTTTCAATTATCTTCTGTATATACTTAGGAGAAGAATTGCTAGGTCTTATGGCAACTGTACGTTTAACCTTTTGAGGACTGTCAAACTGGTTTCCATAGTGGCTACATCATTCTACATTTCCAAAAGTTTCCAATTTCTCCATATTCTCACCACCACCTGTTATTGTCTTTTTATTTTTATTTTTTTAGACGGAGTCTCACACTGTCACCCAGGATGGAGTGCAGTGGCATGATCTCAGCTCACTGCAAACTCCGCCTCCTGGTTTTATGCCATTCTCCTGCCTCAGGCTCCCGAGTAGCTGGGGCTACAGGCGCCCGCTACCACACCCAGCTAATTTTTTGTTTTTTTAGTAGAGATGGGGTTTCACCATGTTAGCCAGGATGGTCTTGATCTCTTGACCTCGTGATCCGCCCGCCTCAGCCTCCCAAAGTGCCGGGATTACAGGCGTGAGCCACCATGCCTGGCCGAGATTATCTAACTCTTTTATTAGAATTTGAAAGTTATCTCCATAGAGGCATCACATATTCTTAAATAGTCCCTAGATGTTTAATGACTTTTATTGTTATTGTGGATAATAACTCATACTTATTTTTCATTGGTTTTGGCTGTTATAGAAAAATGCAATTGATTTTTGTAGGGTTATCTCATAGCCAGCAACCTTGCTGAATGCTCTTATTAGTCCTAATAATTGATACTGGGGTTTTTTGATAGCTTAACAATCAATCAGATGTTATTGCTTTATTCATGTGTTTTTGCAAGGCACCGTGGTATGGACTAGAAAAGTTGGAATGACACATGAAAGACAATAGGAAAGTCATTGTGAGGCAGGATGCTTTACTAAATTTTTTAAAGAGACAATAAACGACTTGCTCTGTCACTCAGGCTGGAGTGCACTGGCACAATCATAGCTCACTGAACCCTTGAACTCCTGGGCTCAAGCAATCCTCCTGCCTCAGCCTCCCAAGTAGCTAAGACTACTGGCATGTGCCACCATGTCTGGCCAATTTTTAAATTTTTGGTAGAGATGAGTTCTCACTATGTTGCCCTTGCCAGTTTTGAACTACTGGCCTCAAGTGATCTTCTTGCCTCAGCCTCCCAAAGTGCTGGGATTACATACGTAAGCCACAGTACCTGGCCTATATTTTACTAATATTTTAAAACCTATTACTTTGCTCAGTTTTCCTTCTTGTATTTCAGCCTCTCCATCCAGGATCATTTCCCTTAATAACAAACATGTAGGATTGATTGTGTTCCAGGCATTGTTCTTAGATATGTTTGTTCTATCTGAAGAACATCCTTTAGAATTTCTTTGGATCTCAGTTTTTGTTGTCTGCTTTTTGTTTTTTAGGGGGTGGGTGGGGGAGGGTGCAGTTGTTATTGGAAGGAATTGCTGGATAGAAGCATAGAAGTTCTTAAACTCATGAGAGTATAAGCCATGTCTCAGGGAGAGAGCAGCAGTGGGAAAGAGGGAAAAGACAGAATCCTGGGGGGGCCCAGAGCTCACATATTGATCTTATGATCCTTCCTTCAAGAGATGGTGCTCATGGGAACTGCAAGGCCAAGGGCCAGAGACAATGCAGTGGAGGTAACCTGGAGGGCTCTTGGGAGGAGGGTGCCAGCCTTGTGCCAGCAAGCACATGCCATGATGATGCCACACTTCTTTTATCCATCTTCTGTACCCCCCAAACCCAACCCTAGGAGGACAATGGATCTGCCCAGAAATGACTAAATATTAACAAACTGTTCTGCTCCACCAGGAGACAGGGAAAGGAATGGGTGCTCCAGGCATCAGTGACTGATGGAGGGTGCAGCACATAGAAGTCAACCGCTATGTTTACTGCTGGTATCAGGTGTGGCTGCAATAAGCAAAGCCAAATGCCTGAGCAGAGCTGCTGGACCCAAAAGCTCAGAAAGAAAGGAACAGTGGGTCGACAGCTGCGGCCTTAGCTCCATCTTACCTTCCTCTGTCGTTGGATATCCCTTGTGGAGTCTATGGAAGTAGAAGGCTTTGAGGGCCTGGAAGCAGAGGACCGGGGAGACAGAGCCAGGAAGCTGCCTGGACCAGTCAGATTTCATGGCTCAAGAACACTGCTGTGACCATAGAGTTCTCAAACAGGAGTCAGAGGCCCAGGCCATATCTTTCATGCTCTTTTTCTGAAATGTACTGCTCTCCCCTGCCTCTCAACCAAGGCATCCTCCTCCTCTTTGTAGCCACCTGGAACCCTGTTTTCTTCCTTCTAGAATGAAGAACCATCTACAGAAAGCAACACATGAAACCATTTTCAAACTGACTTTAATCATGTTTTGCTGCCCAAATACTGTACATGCAGAAGCCATGTGAAGAATTTTCTCCTCAAGGGAATTGGCAAGAATGTTGTACGAAACAGCCGGCAGTCCCTCCCAGCTGTGCACCTGCCACCCGGGAACCACAACAAGTTAGGAAAGATGCTGCACATAGAAAATGTATAGAGCACAGATATAAAAGGCTAATTGCTTCTTATCTAAACAGTGTGCTTGTCAGTCCCTATCAGCTATCTCTCTCTTTGCAGGATGCATTTGGAAAGTCTAAAAAAAGGGGTTCTTGCCTTCTGTGAGTTTACATGCTAAAGGAGTTGGTTGAGCTATCAGGCCCACTCTTCCTAAGGAAGCAGCTGCCCCACCTTCTGAAATGATGTCTGGTTAAAGACATTCTGGAGGGAGGAGTGGTCTTAAGAAGCAAACTACTTTGAAGGGAAATAAGTTCCCTCTCTCCTCCCATCAGAGAACATTTCCTTTAGAATTCTCAGATCTTCAACTCTCCCACTGATGTCATCCCAGAAGCAGAAATGAGGAAAGACCCAGCCTCATCTGCTGTTGGGGACACTGACTTACTCAGGATGTAGCGGAGGTTGTGACATCACATCAGCACCTTGAAAATTGTCCATTGTAGATGACCCTTAATTATGTCTCATCATTACACAAGAATAAAAGAGGGAGGACAAACCACGAAGAGAGGAAAGCAGAGTCTGTTAGGATTCCCAGAGTTCTTGTCTGAGGCAGCATCTGGGCATGGACCAGATGAGAGCCTGCACCCAGCCTGGGCATCAGGGGCTGAAGGAAACCAGCCCACGGAGACAGGAACCAGGTGCACCAGGCTCGCAACCCTCATGTGCTCCAGATCAGAGACTTTTAATTAAAACTGGGAGGGAATCATGGGGAGAGCAGCTAATGCTCTGATTTTGCAGATGAGGAAGTTGAGGCCCAGAAAAGTGAGGAGCCTTACCCAAGGTCACAGTTTCTGGTAAAACTGTACAGAACAGCCTTTGATTCCCTGTAGCCAGCTGTCCCTGTCCAGATCACTGGCTAATGGGGTGGATGCTCAGTTGCCCCTGGAATTCCCAAGCCCCATTCTGTTAGCCAAGCTGACTGGAACCCAGGCTCAGGGACCCTTCCTGGCATCATTGTGAACTCCTTGGGAGGCCCAAGGCCCTGTCCTTACTGGCCAAGTTTCCAACCAGAGCCCTGGAAGGGTTTCCCAAAGCAGAAACACTCATGCTTTTCAACAAGCACCTGCCCCAAGCCAATCTAGGCCCCTGAGAGAATGCAACTTTCTCTCACTGATGTGGCTTCCCTCACAGGCACAGCCATGCTGGGCCCACACAAGCCCAAGCTCAGGGTTCGGGGGGAGGGGAGGGAGGGAAAGTTGCTTTGCTACATGGAAAGATTAAGCCCTTTATCAGAGAACAAGGTCCCACCATCGGGCATGCCAACATCTGAGCCACGTTTGTGCAACTCAGCCATCAGAGTTGGTGCCCAAGGAGGCCAAGTTGCTCTCTTTGGCATCACTGACATTGCTCTGAGATGCTCAGGCACGCTTTTAAAAGAATCCTTTCCCAGCCAGACCAGGCCAGTCCAGCCCCCATCAGGGCTCACCTGATTGTGTGGGCTTCCCCTGCTCTTCAATCATGCTTGTTTTGTTTTGCCCCAACCTCTTCTGACGTGAGTGAAAAGGTTGAGGGAGAAGGCGGGGGGATGTGTCCACATTTTCATCTCCTCCCTGACTACTCAGTGAAAGACAGTCCAGTAGAAGAAGCAGCATTTTAAAGAATCTCTTTACATGTCAGGATACTGGAGAAGAAAACTCTGAGGAGTGGAAGAGAAAGGTAGGAGGAGGCAGGGAAGCAGGGCTCTTCTTTTCCATCTCCCTGCAGCCACTGCAGAAACACTGCTGGACAACCTTCTGGCCCTGAATGATGTGCCATCTCTCCAGCCAGGTGGAGGGCAACTCATCTACAACATCAAGCAAAGGCAGCAATTTCTTGCAGAGTTTGCACAGTGCTAGAGGCAACCAGAGAGACACAAAAGAGGAGCATCACTAAAGCCCCATTGCTTTCTGGGCTGAGGAAGATGGGGAATATGAGGTATTAGGAGGGCTGGAACCCCAGGGGAAGAGGAGCTCAGCAACTCCTGGGCAGCAGGGCATGGAAGAGGGACCCTGGTTGCATGTCAGGGCTCCTGGTAACGTAGGCTAAGATTGTGCTACATTTCATTTCCAAAGAAGTACCCTTGGAGGTCTTTATTGTCTTTAAAAATGGAGGCTTCTGCTCTCCTCAAGGCTGGCAGTAAAGAAGAGATCAGGCATGCTTCCCTGGTGGGTGGCATGACCATGGGAGGACTGGCTTGACCTCAGTGTTCTAACCGGCAGTGATTCCACAGAGGATGAGCTCTATGGGTGGCCTTTCTTGGAGCTCCTGGGTTCTGCCTCAGCCCCCATGAAATGCTGGCATTGCCTGGGACTTGCTGCATCCCAAGAGCCTCCTAAGTGCTCCTTTCCTAGTAGAATTGGGTGGTAGAAGAAACCAGATGGGGAGTCATTTTGGAGATGATTCTTCCCTGAAGGATCAAGTTCCCCTTGTCAAACCAAGACTTGGCTCCATTTACTGGAGCCTTTTTCATACCAAAAACCCATTGCAGGGAAAAGGAGTCTATGAAGAAAGTGGGACAGAATGAACAGAGCAGAAATACAAAGACAGACGCTCTGAGTCATCCATCACTGTCCCTGCCCACAACCCAACATCACTGCAGGGCCACTCCTGTCTCTGCCATATGCACAGTGAACCTCGCCTGACCAGAGGAGGTGGAATGACAAAGAGCTCCATTCCTGTAACCACTGCAGGGTTTCATCTGGGCAAGGGGGCATTTGGAGCCGGGACACTGAACATGGCAGTGAGTTGGCCCCAGGGTGGGAGACTTCTGGAGGGATCATGTTCCTTCCTTCCCCACCCCCCGTCCTCAAACAGCAGATGCTCCCCCACCCCAGCAAACAACCAGGAGTTACACTTGTGCATTCTCCTCTTCTGGGACAGGCTAGGTCCAGAGTGGCTTTTCAGACAAGCCCCTGCATCCATGATGCTGAGAAACAGACCCTTAAGTGCAGCCACACTGCATCACACAGACGTGTCAGCCTCACACAACTTTACCCTCATGGGGTAAAATCCAGGTGGGGATGAGTAACTTATTTGGTGCAAAGGGTTAAAAGAATAATTCCCCAAGGTCAATTTGGGGAGGAAATTACCTTCTTTTAGAGAGGTGGAATAGTGGAGTGGCCCAACTGCTGAGCAGTTTTGGCAGCCAGGGACTGTAGGTAGGTCAGCCCAAGTTACCAGCACATCAGACCCCTCCTCCAGCTAGAACCTCCCCTGTGCTAACCCTTCCCCAGAGGCAAGGGTCACCACGGCCTGGAACCCCCAGTGGCAGGCCTCTCTGCAGGCAGCTCCCCACCAGAGGAATGAGGGTATGGGTAGCCCCCACTTCCTGGGGTGACTGCTGGTCTGGGTATCACCACTCAGTGCTACATCCACAAACATCTATACTGTCCTGTGGGTCACTAACAACCCTATCATCCCAAAGGTGTAGAGTATTTTCGCAACACCCTGACAGTGACTGCTCTAGAGGTGAATATATCATAAACAGGAGATTAAAATACCCTTTTGCAACGGAGTTTCCTTCTTGATCCCCCACTAGGGTCGAGGAGGACAGAGCCCTTTGTCCATTTCCAAGAACTTGACGAACGCAATGGGCCTGGGGAGAGCATTTCCGCCTAAAGAGAAAATTCAGCCCAGTGGCCTCCTCCCCATCTCTATGCACCCAATGGTCCCTTTCTCTGATAATATAAGAATAGAGGCTCAGGCAGAGATAGGAGCCTGGGAGCTAACTCCGTTCATTTCCTTCCTGCCCTTACCCACTTCTTGTCCTGTGGGCAGGCCAGGTGGGGTTCTGGCTTCTTCCCCTATCTTTCTTGGGAGGTGTTATAAGACTCTGGCTTCAACGTAACACAGAACCATGCCAGCCAAGGAGGCCCTTTGGGCTGAGATGACCTATCCATAAGGCGCCACTGCCTCCATGCCCCTACAACTTTGGTTATGAATGGAGGCCCCAAGTCATTCAGACCCCAAGACCTTTCTACTGCTACCCCAGGTAGCGTACCCCTGCCTCAGGTGCTGGGGCCACAGCCATTTCAGCACCTGGGGATAATGCCTGGAGAGAGGTGGAAAGAGTGCCTTCCACACACCTCCACTGTCCTGCTGCTTTCTCCCCTACCAGATACAAACCCAAGGGCTGCTCTGTCCATGTCCTGTGCAACCTCTCGCCTTTCACCCTAGAGCTGAGGAGGGACAGGGACAGGTCTGGGCATTCCTGAGTCAGACTTCAGGATTCCCACGGGACAGATTTCACAGGGTCCAGTTCAGGCACTGGTCTCCACCAACAGGGCCCAGTTGTCAAATCAAGTCAGGGTTTGAGTGGCTGTGAGAAGCTCCAACCAGACATGGGTGAGAAAGCAAGCAGAGGCAGGTGGGTGCCTGGAGCAGATGGCTCTGCAGAGGGCAGCAGTGGGGCACAGGAAAGCAGGGAAGCCCGGAGGGGTAAGTATTGCTTAGACAGAGCTGGTGATGGTGGCAGACGAGAGTCCGGAGCCAGGCTGCTGGAGCCCAGCTAAGTCTGAGCTCCCAGACAGGGACCCTGGTCTGGAAATGCACAAAAACTGGAGCCCCAAATGAACAACTTCATGCAGTGAATCCCCAAATGTCAGATGGGATCCTCAACAGTGGCGGGGAACAACTCAGCCTCAGCCCTCCTTATTCCAGCAAACAGCCCTACCCACAGAACCTCCTTACCGAGTCATGCCCACCAGGAATGAGCCCTGAGGGGGTCAGGGCCACCCTCAGGGCCTCAGGAGGACTGTTTGCTTTAGCAGATAACATGCCCTCTGTGGCTGCCTGCCCAGGCCCACTGGCAGAGCTCCTTCGGCACGGTGGAGTGGGGAGGCTTGAAGAGACAGGAGATGAAGAACAAATGCTAAGGGGGCACCTGGCCAGGAACCCTGGAACCAAGACCTCGTGCTTCACTGGAAGAAGGAGGAGGTTCCAGCCTCATAGAGAAAGTCATTTCTAAGCCCTCAGTCCCCTGGGTACCCTCTGCCTCCCCAGGGCCCTGGCCAGGGAGCTAGGTGGGCATGCTACATGCTGCAGAACGCATTCAGTGGCAGGAAGAGCTGCCGGAGCGGCTCCAGTGGGGTGGGGTTCCCAGAGGGCCCTCAGTGTGGCCAGCTGCAGCGGATGCTACATTTCTCAGAAAACAGTGGCAGAGCCGGGAGAGTCAAGAGTGGAACAAAAGACAAGACAGAAAACAAAGCAGAGACCACCAGGAGCAGGCACAGGTGAAGAACACACAGGCTCTGCCCCAGGCCAGGACCAGGCAGCACCGACCAGTGGCCGCATGCCCCACCTCCATCCCTGGAGACTCCTCAGGGTGAGTCATGTCCACACAACACTCCTTTGGGTTTCTTTTCAACAAGACACAAAGAGACGTGGAGACATTTCAGCCCATATCATCACCAGGAGTGACTATACCCAGACAAATGAACAGATAGAACGTGGTCACGTACACACACACACACACGCACGCACACACGCACACACTACAGTCTCCACTGCCAGCTGGGATGAGCCCAGTAGCCAACAGGCATGCAGCAGGACAAGGGGTCCAGAAAGACACGAAGACTATGTACAGGGGAGGACATGGGGCCAGCAGGCACCCCTCCCCACACCACCATCCTGGCCTCTTCCTGACATCCTTAAGAGCATGAGGGGCTGGTGGCACTCTCCAGGGAAGACTGGGACAGGCGCCTGGTGAGGGATCCGAGTGTGGAGTCTGCCACTGAGGAGGTGGGGAAGAGTTTGTACCAGCCGGTGACCGCGGCGCTGAGGTCCAGCTCGTCCAGCATGATCTGGGCCATGCCCATGAAGCACTTGTGGTCCATGCGGCCATAGTCTCCCCAGACGATCACCTGCCAGGAGGAAGAGAGGGAGGGAGTGAGCCACCTCCCTGACTCCAGGACTGTGCAGCAGGCCTAGGAACCTACACGTTTCAGCAGGGCACAGATGGAGCAGAGGGAGCCAGAACTCAAGACTGATTTCACACAATAATTTACTGAGCACTTGAGGTGTGTTAGATACGATCCTATGGATTTTACCTAGATTCTTTCTTTCAATTGTTATAACAAGCCATGTAGGTAGGGGTGCTCTGTATCATTATTTCCATGAAGGAAACTGTAGCTCAGAAAGGTTAATTAGCTAACCTAAAGTTGCACAGTAACTTGTGGCAGAGCTTGGATTAGGACCTGGGTGTGTGACTCCAGAGCCTCCCAGCATTTCAGATAACAGCCTTCCCCAGGAAGGGGCAAACTGAGAGTTCAGGACTTGGCCATAGCTCTAGCTGTGCTGCTGGCTTGCCGTGGGACTTGTGTAAGCTCCATGCCCTCACTGGACCTCAGTGTTTCCAGCCACACCACTGGGAGATTTTTTGAGATGGAGTCTCACTCTGTTGCCCAGGCTGGAGTGCAGTGGCGCAATCTCAGCTCACTGCAAGCTCTACCTCCTGGGTTCATGCCATTCTCCTGCCTCAGCCTCCCGAGTAGCTGGGACTACAGGTGCCCGCCACCACACCCGGCTAATTTTTTGTATTTTTAGTAGAGACGGGGTTTCACCATGTTAGCCAGGATGGTCTTGATCTCCTGACCTCGTGATCTACCCGCCTCGGCCTCCCAAAGTGCTGGGATTACAGGCGTAAGCCACTGTGCCCGGCCGTTATTCCTTTTCTAAGCAAACACCAAAGATTATTCTTCCCACTCCCCAAAGCCTAGGGTTCCGCAGTTCTTTTTTTATTTTTAATTTTTAAGAGACAGGATCTTATTCTGTCACCCAGGCTGGAGTGCAGTGGCATAATCATAGCTCACTGCAGCCTTGACCTCCTGGGCTCAAACAATCCTCCTGCCTCAGCACCTCGAGTAGCTGGGATTACTGGCACGTGCCACCATGACCAGATAATTTTTTTTTTTTCATGTTTTAGAGATGGGATCTTGCTATGTTGCCAGGCTGGTCTCAAACTCTTGGACTCAAGTGATCCTCCTGCCTCAGTCTCCCGAGTCTCTGGGATTATGGTTGTGAGCCACCATGTCTGGCTCTGCAGTTTAAATTTGCAACTCCAAGGCCCCTTGCCACAGAACCATCTCAGCCCAGAGGAGCAGCCCTAGATGAGAAGTTGGATGGCCCAGACAGCCCCTGGCTCTAGCCTCTTCTCTCTCACCTCCATGGCCTCAGGCAAGATCAGCAGCCACCACCATGATTGTTAATACTTAGTGAGTAGCTGTTTATGTGGCAGGCCCTATGTAAGGCTCCCTACATGCAATCCTCTGTTTAATAGTCACATCTACCCGCGGCTAATGAGTGCTGAGCTGGAATCTGAACCTAGGACTGAGCCCAGAGACTGATCCACCACTGTGCTTTATCCCCACGTGACCTCAGGTTCTTCATCTATGAAACGAGCATGAAGATCCCTCCCTCCCAGGACTGTTGAGAAGGGCTAACAATACCAAGTGTGCAGAAGGCCTTTGTTGCTCTCAAGTAATTGGGATGACAGTCACCTGGCCTGGGCTCACCCCAAGCAAGTGACTTCATCTGTAAGAGACTCGGTTTCCGTAAAGTGAAGAGAATCACACCTACTCCACAGGATCATCTGCAGGATGAAATGAGGTCGTGTTTGGAAAGCACCTAACACAAGGCTTGGCACTGAACTGATGTGCAATGAACATTAGCACTAGGGGAAGGAGGAGGCAGTGGTCACATGTGTCCTGGTTCTACCTACCAGCTGTGCAACCTGGGGAGCAATTTGATTACCCCCAAAACCTTGGTTTCCTTATGAATCAACTGGGGACAGTAATACCTCACAGGGTTGTGAAAGTAAATGAGTAACGCAAATTAATGCACCTACCACAGCACCTGGCACAGGATGAATCATAAATGAAAAACTTTAAATTACAACTTCCAGTCTGTGAGTCCACCCTGCCCTACTTGCCCTGTGACACCCACCTGCAGCACCTTGCCCTGGGGTCCCTCGTCAAAGAGCAGAGCCTGCTGGTACAGGGGATCACAGGTCTTCTTGGTCATCTTTGTCTTCTTCTTGGCCAAGCAGGCCCCATTCTCCAGCAGGTAAACCTTGATATAGGTGGCTAAGGGAGGAGAGAATGTATGACAGGGAGGGGTCCAGGACAGACAGCTTTGGCCTGCCCATCCCCTAACTGCCAGGTGATCTTGGAGGTGAGCAGGATGTGTGGAATGAGCCAGCCAGTGGACAGCAGGCAGAAGAGGTGACTCAAGTACTGATTCCTCCATCCTCCCTTACTCCCCCACCTAGTCACTGGCCTTCCAGGCAAGCTGTGACTCCACTGTAAAGAATCCCGATTTAGGCCAGTGGGAGCTGAGGACCTGCTAGACCCAGAGCTCGGCTCTATGCCCCTCCCTGTCAGGACCCCATTTCCAAAATCCCTCACCTGGGAGGGATTTGGAGCCTGGTTTGGGGGTCAGGCCCCGAGCTTCAATCACTTCCACCTCCAGCTGGCCACTCCGGTCCATGATGGCAATGTGCACATCTCCTGAAAGGAAGAAGAGGGTGAGTCCAGGCAGGGCCAGACCAAGGGGCAGGCCAGCCAGCTGCTGTACTGAATGCCAGCCTGTGGAGGAGGCTACATCATCACTAGAAAGGGAACAAGATGGCACCAACCACATGGGCCAAAACTGCTCTCGGAAGACCACTTTAAAGCAGCTGAGGGACCCTTTGATAGGTCCCTTGGGGTGGGTTGGGGTAGGGGCATGATCTTCAGGGGCATGACTGGGTAACAACAGATGGCTGCCAAACCCCCATTTGTGTCTGGCTAACTGAGAGGCTTCTGTTTTACTGAGCAGAATAGCAAACTTGAGGACAGAGCTTCCTGTGTCAGGAAGACAGGGGAGGCTGTGGGCTCAGTGGCTGTTCTTCACCTCCCCATACATCTGTGTCAAAAGAACATCCGTTTGAGGCCGGGCGCAGTGGCTCACACCTGTAATCCCAACACTTTGGGAGGCAGAGGCGGGCAGATCATGAGGTCAGGAGATCAAGACCATTCTGGCTAACATGGTGAAACCCCATCTCTACTAAAAATACAAAAAATTAGCCAGGCATGGTGGTGTGCACCTGTAGTCCCAGCTACTTGGGAGGCTGAGGAGAATCACTTGAACCCAGGAAGTGGAGGTTGTAGTGGGCCAAGATTGCACCACAGCACTCCGGCCTGGGTGACGAGGAAGACTCCGTCTCAAAAAAAAAAAAAAAAAAGAAAGAAAGAAGAAAAGAAAGAACATCTGTTTGAAAAGGCTCTGAGCTAAAAACCTGCCCAGGACACGAGGCACTACCAGACAACAAGGGCCTACTACTGCATTACCAGTGGAGGGAGGGAAGGCCAGCAGACTTTCTGGGTGTGGACGGCTGAGAAATCTTCACTGTACTCCCACAGAATGGATTATCCAGCCGGGGCAAGGTCTGTGTGTGGAGTTATGTCAGTTACCTGATTTCTAGGAACTCTTAGTTTTGTTCAACATTGGTTGGCAGAATTTGGAATTATGTAGTAGTCAGTCACTCAGAACAAAGTGAAGTCTTTTACAGGGGTGCAGAATCATAAGCCTGGTCCACAAGAATCAAATGGGCCAGACTTTGAATTCAGTCACCCATTTTTAGATTATCTGAGCCATCATGAAATTGTTTGTATTTGTGTACTACGGAAGATGGGGATTTGCTAATTTCAAGAGACCTCCTGGAATTCATCCACCTCCATCCAGCTATTCCTGACCTCCTTGTGGGGAAGGGAGAAGGGAAGGTCTTAGGAATTAATCTCCAGTAACATCACTACCGAGGTGAGCAAGGCAAACCTGTCCTTCCCTGGTCTGACACCAGGGGGTACCACACACGAATGGTCCCGGCTGCCATGGCGCATTAGCCTTGTGGAAGTGGCTGGCTCCTCTCACTGCTGCCCAGCCTGTGGCTGGGTCTAGGGCTGGGAAAAGCAGGCTCCCCAGACCCTTAAGAGACTGAAAACAAGGGTCCAGCCCTAGAATTGGATTTGGCTAATTCCCAGCCTTTGCTTTCAGCTGATCCTTGCCCTCTGAGGGTCCCCATCATCTCCTGTTCCAGCAGGCAGGAGCTCCTGGGCAGGAGCTTTTGAGGGCATTGCAGTGGAAGGAGTCCTGGCCTGGAGTGGAACCCCAGCTCCACTGCATGACTCACAGCAGGACACTGCACTTGGCTTCCTCATTTGCTGGGAGGGTCAAAGGTTGAGCACTGTCCTGATGGGGGCTGAGTGGGGACGTGTGGGTCAGGTGCTGCTCAGGTCAGACTGATGGGAAAGGAGTGGAGGCGAGGAGGCACCTCTGGAGGAGCTATCCTGGGGAGGAGCTGCTGGAAGCCAACACAGCCAACACCTAAGAGAGGGAGGGGGCAGGGAGGTTCTGTCTGAGAGCTCATGAAATGGGCCAGACTGAAGCTAACAGGACCAAGCGTAGGCTTCAGGTAGTACCGTCATCCCTCAGTATCCATGGGGGATTGGTTCCAGAACCCTACCTCGCCCCCACCCAGGGATACCAAAATCCTTGGATGCTCCAGTCTCTAATATAAAATGGCAGCCAGGAGGCCAAGGCAGGCGGATTGCCTGAGTTCAGGAGTTCAAGACCAGCCTGGGCAACATGGTGAAACCCCGTCTCTACTAAAATACAAAGAAAAAAAATTAGCCATGTGTGGCGGTGTGCGCCTGTAGTCCCAGCTACTCGGGAGGCTGAGGCATGAGAATTGCTTGGACCTGGGAGGTGGAGGTTGCAGTGAGCTGAGATTGTGCCATTGCACTCCAGCCTGGTGACAGAGCGAGGCTCTGTCTCTAAATAAATAAATAAATGGCAGCCAGGTACAGTGGCTTATGCCTGTAATCCCGGTACTTTGGGAGGCTGAGGTGGATGAGGTCAGGAGTTCCAGACTAGCCTGGCCAATACAGTGAAACCCCGTCTCTACTACAAATACAAAAAATTAGCCAGACATGGTGGCACATGCCTGTAATCTCAGCTACTCAGGAGGCTGAGGCAGGAGAATCACTTGAACCTGGGAGGTAAAGGTAGGTTATGGTGAGCCAAGATTGCGCCAGTGCACTCCAGCCTGGGCAACAGAGTGAGACTCCATCTCGAAGATAAAATAAAATAAAATAATAAAAATAGCATAGTGTTTGCATATAATCTATGCACATCCTCCCATATGCTTTATTTTATTCAGTTTTTGAGACAGGGTCTCACTATATTGCCTAGGCTGGCCTCAAACTCCTGGGCTCAAGCAATCCTCCAGCCTCAGCCTCCTGAGCAGCTGGGACTACAGGCACAGGCCACTGCAACCAGCTTCTTCCATATACTTTCAATCATCTCTAGATTATACTGGTGTGCCGCATAATGACATTTCAGTCAACAATGCATCATATACATGACAGTGGGCCCGTAAGATTATAATGGAGAATATATAGAAACCTGATATATGGTACTTGATATTGGCATTGCAGATCAAATAGGGGACATGATTGATATTCAGTAATGGTGCTAGGATATACGGTTTTCCATATGAAAAAATACATATAAATTTATATATATATATATATATATATATATATATATATATATATATATGCCATCTAGGTTTGTGTAAGTACACTCTATGATGTTCACACACTGAAAATGACTGTACTTATAATACCTAACACAATGCCTACATATCACTTCCTTTGCATGGATTCAGGGTAGTACTCGGCACACAGCAAATCAAATTTTGCTTTTTGCAACTCTGTGGAATTTTTTTTCCCTGAATATTTTCTATCCAAGGTTGGTTGAATCCACAAACACAGAACCCATGGATACAGAGGGCCAACTATACTTCCTAGCTGCAAGGAAAAGCGATAAGAAAATTACTAAAGGGCCTCTAGGTGCCAGGCGCTGTTGGGTGTAACAAGTCAAATAAGCCACAGTTCCTACACATTAAATTGAAATACCTCATGCAAAGCATCTAATAGGAGCTCAGTAAAGTATTGTTAGAGCATAGAACTCAAGTGGGTATTATTATTCCCATTTTAAATATGAGGAGACTGAGGTTCAAAGAAGGGAAGTGACTTGCTTAAGATCACAGAATTGGTGATAGAATAAACTCTACGATGGCCAATGCAGGGCCCCCACTGAGCTCACCCTTCCTGTCGCATGGTCACCATTACCCCACTCAACCTGCCCTTAATAAGACTCACCCATGGGTGGTGTTGCCAGTGTCTGTCGCCCCACAATCTGAGCTGGTCCCAGCCCATCCAGGAAATCGCTGAACTGGCTTTCAGCCCCTAGCCGGGTAGTGGGGAAGATGAACCTGCAGGAGGAGGCAGAGGGACGCGTGAGGGGGTCAGGGCAACCTGAGGATGAAAGTATAGCTGGCAGGCTGCCATGCTCTGGCCCTGGGGCCCTGGGCACGTCCCTCTGTGCCTCAGTTTCTCCTCTAAACAGTATGATTGCACTACTCTGGGAAAGGACAAACAGAACTGTTTATTTCTGCATACTGAAGAAAAATACTTTGATGTCACTTGAGAAAATAAACTAATAACAATACATAATGATGCTATTTAATCCTTAATGTCCAGGGACTTCTGAAGTGACCCTTACAAGGCAGGGCTTGCTGGACACCTGTGTCCTCACCAGGGCATATCAGTGCTAAGAACCAGAGACATAGGTCAGAAATTTCAATGCCTGGAACAAGTTACAAGAACTGAGGTTTGAGTTGACTGCAAGTTTGAAATCCAAGTCAAACATGAGGTGGTGCCCAGAACAGCAGCTAAGACCAAAATAACACAATTACAGGGTTGAGGTGAATGGCAAGTGATGGTGGTTGGTGGTTGTTCCATGACTGTGTGGGGGTCTAGAAACAGTAACAAGAAAAGCTGACAGTGATTGACAACTGGCCAGGTGCCAATGGTACATTAAAAATTCCACATGGGTTATATCTTTTAATCCTTACAACCACTCTGTGTGGTAGGAGCTATTATCCAGTCTTACAGATGAGAAAACAGAGGCTCCAAAAGGTAAAATTGCCTTGCCTGCAAAACAAAATTCATAGGGTTTTATATGTTGAGGATTAGGGCAAATGAAAAGTTCCAGACAAACAGAAAGCACTAAATGATAGTTCCGGTTGCTGCTGTTGTTATCATCAAGGGAAAAGTGCTACTTCTCTTTTGTGCTCCAGTCTAGATATTCTGGGTGTGGCCAGCTGAGAAAGGACAGATGAGGGAGGGTTGGCCCTGCCAACCCTCAGGGGCTATGATAGAATAAAGTTCTAAGATCTCCTAGAAAGGCCCAGGCTCCTGGCTGCAGAGATAAAAGGCTGTCCAAGGAAGAATCTCCTACTAGATAGTTTGGCCTTGAGTCCCCCTTGGCTAGCGGCCAGCAGGGAGGAAAAAGTAGGCTGTGTATGCTTGTCAGAGAGAGCCTGTGTCTCTCCCTGACTAGGCCCAGCCTCCACCCCACAGGGAGGGGCTTCAAGGCCCCACTTTTATTGGCCATGGTCAACAACAGCCTAATATCACATTCTTAGGACAATGATATCTGAGAAGGTTAAATAAAGAAACTTAGACTCTCAAGGTCACAGAATTTTAGGAGCTGGATATAGTGTGGAGATTGTGAACAAAGGTCATGGAATCAAATGGCCTTAATTCCAATTCTGACTCCATCACCACTTAATAGCTGTGACCTTGGGTAAGGTGGCCCACCCTCTTCCTCTCCCTGTTTCTCCACTTGTAAAATGGAGATAATGGTAATACCCACAACCCTCAGGGTTGCTGTAAGTGTTAAATGATCCCTGTTAGGCCGGGTGCAGTGGCTGTAATCCCAGCACTTTGGGAAGCTGAGGTGGGCGAATCACCTGAGGTTGGGAGTTCGAGACCAGCCTGACCAACATGGAGAAACCCCATCTCTACTAAAAATCCAAAATTAGCCAGGCGTGGTGGTGCACGCCTGTAATCACAACTAGTCAGGAGGCTGAGGCAGGAGAATCGCTTGAACCTGGGAGGTGGAGGTTGTGGTGAGCTGAGATTGCACCACTGCACTCCAGCGTGGGCAACAAGAGCAAAACTCCATCACAAAAAAAAAAAAAACAAAAAAAACAACGATCACTGTTCCTGGTCTGATCACAGCCAGCAGATTCCAGTGTAAGAATCACCTATCTGAGATGCCCAGGCATGCTCTGCACCTGGGAAGATGTAATAAATGCTTGAGAGCACTCGCATTCATGGAAGTAGGTGCAGCAGTGAGACACACAATCACTGAATCTCAAACGAGGGAGCCACAGAATCCTAAGCCTGGAAGTCACTAGGCCTTGAAGCAGAAGCAGAAAATCTTAGTCATACAACTATAATTTCATAGACTTAGAAGAGATCTGTGGGAATATCTAAACCAGTGACTTTCAGATTTTTTAATGCAACCTACATGTAAGAAAGGAGATTTAACATCATGACCCAGGACAGACCTGTGTGCATCTATACATAAAAAATGGAAACAAAAGTTCACGAGGCAATTTATTCTTACTTCATAAGATATGTCTATTTCTTTTTCTAATGCTGGTTTTGACCCACTAAACCTATTTTATTTCCTGTCTATGAGTCACCATCCATGGTTTGAAAAACACTGATCTAGTCCAATCTCCTTCCCTCAGCTCTAAGCAAGCCTCCTTGAGAAAATTCCACTCATCTGGGCCACAACAATGGTTTTAGATTTAAAAGGATTTTAGGGCCACATTTTCCTTTCCACCCTTTCCTCTGGAGCAGGGCAGTGTGTGCGTGGTGGGAGGTGGGAGGTGGGAGGTAAGGGTCCCTTCCTGAAACATACAGAAGGAACTGATAGCTCCTGGGTATCTGGATATTCCAATGGGAGCAATGGAAGACCTGAGGTCCAGGCACAGAGTGTTGAGGGGAGGGGTATGAAGGAAGGCAGAGACACAGAGGACCCAGACATTTTAGCTGGAAACAAAACAGGGAGGCTTTCCCACCCTGCCCAGTGGCTCTGTGACTGGAGGACCGAGGAGGAGGGAGGGGACCACAGCACGGGGCTGCACGCACGTGCCGTCGGAGCTGTTGCTGTTGGTGCTCCCATCGGTGGACTCCCGGCTGCCCTGGCGTGTGACCCGGCTCCGCATCTCCACCGCGATGCCTGTCTCCGTGCTCCGGCGGATGTTGCTGCGCAGCTTCTTGGTGGCCCCTTCTGTGACCCCCCCAACCCCAAGCACAGAGAGGGAACAAGGTCAGATTATGAATGGGGCTTCTCTAAGAGTCCTGCCAAAGTCACTCTCTTGGCATGGGGGGTTGATGGGGAGGATGAGCAGGGCTCTGACTGGAGGCAGGGGCATGGCTGAGCTGACCTCAGAGCTGGTCTGCAGCCTGACACCTGGCCCTGCTCCGGGCAGTGACACTGACAGAGCAGACTAGAAAGATGGCTGCAGGCAGAGTCATGATGGCGCCACCACGCAGAGCCGCAGATCCGCAGCTGGGGCCCTCGCCTCACCCTCATCAGGCTCCCCTGACGCCCACCTTCCCACTCGATTTCAGCCCTTGCCCCAAAGGTTAAGTGTGCCTCTTCCCACTCTCTTCTGGAAAGTTCATCTTCTCTGGGATTCTCAGACTGACTTTCCCTCTTTCAGGCACCCTCAGACCCTATCACACCCAGACCTCACAACTCACCTCTGATACCTCTGGAGGCTCTATAGGAAAGCCCCCATGGGAAGCCTGGCCACTCTCAAACAAACCCACCTTCTCTAGGTGGGGCTGAACATGGAGAGGACGTGTGTGGAGAGCTGGAGAGGCCATTAGGAAAACAAGACAGAGAGGGACTGCTGGGTTGACCCAAATTGTCTTTGGCTTTGAGAAAAGGTCTGCAGAAGAACCCCGAAGCTGGCCTGTGAGAACTTACCCGTGTCTCCGTGCCTCCTGTTCAGAGGCCCTCGACCCCCATATCCTGGCCTCCCCCTCAGCCTTGCAGGGAACATGGGACACTTTCCCTCTCCCAGCAGCACACCATCCTGCCTGGGTTTCCATGGCAACCTCCTCGGCATTGCAGTGTGGTCCCTCTAGACACCCTCTCCTCCTGGCGGGGGGCGGATGGGGGAGATGGCCTGAGGGTTTGCAGGGACTTCCCCCGCTGAAGCTTGGCAGCTGGAGGAACTTGATGGGGAGGGAACTGGCCCTCAGATGGGAACTGCACCAAAGGAACCATTTGCTGTCACTGGTTAGAGGCCAAGCGAATTAACAGTGGAGTTGCCTACAGGGAGGGGGAGAGGCCAGGGCAGGACAGGCAGCACAGCCCCTGAAAACAGTGGGGAGCAGGGAGCTGGTTACCTTGGCAATTCTCTCCCACCACACCCAATGGTGGGCTGGGGAGGGGATGTTCAAGACCCCAGCCTGGGAAAAGGAAGACTTTATTCCTCCTGCTTCGTCTGCTTATCTTTCAGAAAGTCCCCACTGGAGGAGGGCAGGCAGAGAGGTCTAGGATCACTAGTGGATGGAAGGGTGGGTGGCGGGACAGGCTGAGAACAGGGTGCAGGGTGAGGAGGAATGCCTTCTCTGAAATCATCCCAGCTTCTGGGATACTGGAATAGCATATTCAGGAATCCATGACACCATCAACATGTCAGTCTGTCTCTCTCATACACACACACACAGAGTCACATTAGCTCATACATATTTTTTTCACAAAGAGAGGCATAGGCAGACATGCACGAGCAGCAGCAATCACATATATGAATACAGTAATCTCATACACAAGGCTACATGCAGGTTTATATCACAGTCACACAGTCACAAATGGTCCTACCAGGTCTTGGTCACATGTACACATGATGGACTCTGCCACCTTCAGTCAAGTCACAGACACATGATCTTCACATGTAACACTTGGAGTTGAACCCTCCCATTCAATCACATATGTTGATGAAAACCCACAAATGGTGTCTGACTCACCTCACACACAGAGGCCTGGGTAAAAATGCTGGTGTGTGGGGCCTCTCCCTGTCCGTGGCTCCTAACTCTACATCCTCTCTAACACAATTAGAAAACAGATGGGTCTGTGGGGGCTCCCTCGCCTTCATATCTCTACCCCACAACACACAGCCTGAGTTGGGGTCACCTCCTCATGACCCCAACCCTCCTCTTTCAGAGTTTAGGGAAACTTTGACCCATTTGGGAGCAAATTTGCCTTTTTGATAAGACTTGTCCAACCCAATGTGAGACCCTGAGTCGGGGAGTCACAGAATCCTGAAATCTTAGAGATACTTTGGCTACCCCTCCCCCAAATTTCACAGATGGGAAGCCTGAGGTTCAGGTGCCGAGAGAGCTGGGACTAGATCAGGCCCACAGACTCCCAGTCTGCTGTCATGCTCTTTTCACTCCCCTCCCAATCCCCCATCTAGCTGAGAGGTGATTCAGCAGAGATTAAGTTCCATGACCTCAGAGGGAGGAGAAAGCTCTTGCAATCTCAGAGACGATCCCTCCACTGGCTTCATACATGTCCATACGATCCCTCCACTGGCTTCATACATGAATAGTCTCAACCCCTGCTGATTTAAGGAATAACTTTATATAATCTCTCTCTCAGTTGCTTGCAATAATTCTATGGGCTCCAGAGACCAAAAGACTCCAGGAACCATCCCATCTGTCCCATCACAAACAAAGGAGGGGCACTCACAGCCTGTACCACCACTCCCTATGGCATCTTCTGGAATGGTCCTGAGCCCTCTCTCTACCCTGACCCAGATCCCAGAGTCCAGAAGGGGAAAGCCACTGTCCCTGGTACTGAAAATACTAGCTCCGTTTGGGCAGGGGCTGGGACAGCCCAGGATGGTCCTGTGTAGACCCAGCCAATTGCCAGACCAGAACCCACCTGTGTCCTGGACCCAAAGCTCTGACCCCACCCTCCTCACTGCTCCCACGACTTAGTGAATGTCAGATCCAGAAGGAAACTGGGAGAGAGCATTTTAGCTCCATTTTACAGAAGAGGAAACTGAGGCCCAGCGGAAAAGTAAATTTCCCGAGGTCCCATGGTGAGTTACAGAGCCAGGACTAGCCCTCTAAAGTGAGTTTTTGTAAGTCCACTCTAGGGCAACAAGAGGAATAAACTGGAAGAAGGCAGGCAGGAGGCAGGAGAGCTAGAGAGGAGGGTGGTGCAATCGTCCAGGCTAGATATTATGGGTCCTGTACTAGGGCAGGGGCTTTGAAACAAAGAAGGATGGGCAGAGGTCTAGCCATTGCACAGTACGGACACACCAGGAGGAAGGAGGCCCTGGGAAGGGCAGACCTGAGCCCAGAAGACAGAGTCCAGGAGAGGAATTCCTCCCCACTTCACACAGCCCAGCCCTGCAGGGAATGGAGCCATCTCATCTGTCAGGAGTGGGGGCACCCTTCTAGGTCTTTCCCAGAACAGTTTCCAGAGCCAATGCCCATGAGTCTGCCTCATATATTCCTCTGGCACCAGATGCTCCCACCCATGAGGTGGGTCCGAGCTGGGATACTGGCATCCTCAAGGCATGGGGGCAAAAAATGGAGAAGGAATTCTAGATGGAGAGGAACGTGCTACAGGGAAGGAGCAGAGGTGTGGAGGCTGAGAACTCACTTCTCTTTTGGCTTTATGGTACAATGGCAGGTAATAATAACAGCATCAACACTTCACTGAGTGCCTATACTATGTGCCAGGCATGAAGCTGGGTGCCTTTGCATACCCTATCTCACTTAATTCCCTGGATAACTCTGCAAGGCATGTATCATTGCCCTCATTCTACAAACAAGGCAGCAGGCTCAGAGAGGTGAAGTAACTTGCCTTAGTCACCCGGCTAGTAAATGACAGGGGATGGATCTGAACTTGAGGTCGTTCTCCAGGAACATGCTTTCTCCCCAGGCTCTGGATGCCTCATCAATAAAATAAGTACAGCGTACTAGATGATCTCAAGGGACTCTCCTCACTCACATTCAGCAATTAGCTGATTCACAGAGACCTTCAGTTAGAAGGGCATCTGGGCAGTTCCCCTAGCTCCAGTCCTTTAGCCATGCCCTTGCATACCAAGGAGACAAGGGATTCAGAAGCCCCATCATCATTCATCTCTTCTCAAGATGAAAGGTCTTCCTGGTATCTGCTCCAATCCCTGCCTGCAGCCTGTAAAGTCAAGGCAGACCACTAGAAGGTTCTCCCAGTGACTCAGGTCCCCATCCTGGCCTTGGAAGACTGTCCCCCCAAATCACTTTGGGCATGAAGAAGCCTTTGGGTCTGAAGCTGAATCAGCTGGATTTCTGGGCTTGGTCCCCTGGAGCCAGACTCCCGGGGTCCAACACCTCCACGACCTTCTAATCTTAATCTCACTCCTTAGTCCTATCTCAGCCCCTTCCTTGTCCCAGCCCAATTTCTAGATCCCTAAGTCCCCATCTCCCTGACTCTCTAGTACCAGGCCTAAACTGCATATTCACAGAGGCCATGCCCACTCTAGGGCTCTGATAACCTCAAGCCCCTTCCCCACCTATAATAGCTTTCCCCAGCGAGAAACCACATCACAGCTTGATTGCTGGAAAAGACCAGCCCACGTGCTACTGTCGACGGCTTTGTATAAATCTATTTTAAGGCCTGGAAAAGTCCCCCACCCCCAGCCCCAACTGGGAGCCTTGATGAGCATTCTCCCTGGATCCTCCGGAGCCCCCGCCCCCTCACCATCCCATCCAGCTGCCTATTTGAAGGTTTCTGGGGAAGTTGTTACTCTGAACAAAATAAGCCGGAAGAGATTTTAAAACAAAACCAGCTGGTGTCTGGGCTGATACCACAAAGTGAGGAGGTCTTGGTGGGGAGGGCTGGCTCCTCTGTGATGTGGGGTCTATGTATGTCACAAGGTGGTCACCCACCAGGCTGAACATAACTGAGATTCTGCAGCTAGGTGTCTGAAAAAGGATACTGTATTGATGAGGATGGAGCTGTTAAGGTGTGTGTGAATGTGGCTTTGTGATGTACACCTGCACACATGTGACATGTTTCTGTGATCTGGGTCTGTGCATGTGTAATCAGAGGGCTGTGTCTGTGTGGTTTGCATGACTGGTTTTATCTGTGACCATGCGCAGTGTGAATTACTCTATTATGCTTCCCTGGAAATACGGGCAGCTTACCAGAGACACTGAGCGTTCTATTTATGTAACTGCACAAGTCACACATCTTTGTGTGTGTCTCCCTTGTGCTTTGTAACATATACATGGGACTACAGAACTGCATTTGTGTGGCTATTTGTATTTAGGAGACTAGGAGATTACAGGCGAGACTGAATCTTTTTTGTTTTTTAAACCAGGGGGTCTCACTATGTTGCCTAGGCTGGTCTCAAACTCCTGGGCTCAAGTGACCCTCCCGCTTCTCCCTCCCAAAGTGCTGGGATTATAGGTGTGAACCCTGCACCCAGCACTTGAGACTAAATCTTATGGATGTGTATGTCTGTAAAACTGTGGTGTCACTTACACAGTGCCAGGATCATAAGGCTGTTTAATAAGTAATTACTGGTTAATGTCTGTGTGTGGAGACAGTGGAGTGTAAAGGTTAAGAGCATCAGCTAGGAAGCCCAACTGCTAGAGTTTGAATCCAGGCTCCACCACCTACTAGTTGTGCAGTTTGAAGCATCTGACCTCCCTTTTCTGTTCTTTGGTACCTGCCTCATAGAGCTCCATGGAGATTTAATCAGTCCATACACCTACTGGACCTAGAACAGCACCTGGTGTATGGGAAGGGCCACAGTATAAGTGTCTGTGGGCATGGAAGTGCAGACCCATCAGGGCAGTCCCTGGGTAGTCTGTCTTTGCGAAGTGTCCCCCACCTCTACCCCGTGATGTCCCATGCCCCCTCACCAGGCTGCGGAAGCTGGAGTGTGCTCTTGCTCCACTGAGTCAGGCCCACGATGGCCACCATCTTGGCACCCAGGCTGCTCCGCCGCTTCTTGGCGGTGGTGGTCCCAGCCCCGCCCCCGGCTTGCTGGGATCCGCAGATTTCACCGCTAATGCTGGAGCTCCGCACCACATTCCTGGAGGCCCCAGATGAGGCAGGACCTGGCTCCCCGTTAAACATGGTCCCCGGGGTGGCAGGGCCTCAGGCAGCTCTGAAGATGGGCAGGAAACAAAAGGATCCCACATCAGACCTGGATGAATCTACTGCAGTCCCACCACTTCCTAGCTGCGTGACCTTGGGCTAGTCACTTGACCTCTCTGAGGCTATAAGGTTAAATGCACAAACAAATGTCAAGAGCATGCACAGGTTCTGGCTCAATAAAAGAGACTATTCCTATTAGCACATGGCTATGAAAAACCTTGCAGGTGACCGGTTTGATGGAGAGGACCGAGGCTGTGGAGTCACATGGCCCGGGCTTGAATTCCAAAGGCCTCTACACACTAGCTGCGTGGACTTGTGACCAAACAAACATCCTGAGGTTTCAGTGAACATCTCAGCAAGATGTGAAATAAAAGCACTTAGCTCATAGGATTGTTCTAAGGATTACATTAAATAATGCACAGGAAGTGCCTGTCAGGCTTAGGGGAAATATTCAGTAAGTATTGGTGGTTATTATTTTCATAGCAAATAATAACAGGGAGAACAGAACTGGCTCCAGCCTGTGCAGACTCTGGTGGGGTCCTTCTATGTGAAGGGGATACTGCAGAAAAGTCCAAAGCAGCAAGAAAATCACCCTTTATCGTACTCTTGAGAGGCATTTTAGCCTATTCCCTTCCAGCCACCCTTCCATGCAGTTTTTAAAATAACTGAACTCATACTGCAAATATCATTTTATATCCTACTATTTTTTCATTTAACATTATATCATGGTCGGGCACAGTGGCTCATGCCTGTAATCCTAGCACTTTGGGAGGCCGAGGCGGGCGGATCACCTGAGGTCAGGAGTTCGAGACCAGCCTGACCAACATGGTGAAACCCCATCTCTACTAAAAATACAAAAATTAGCTGGGCGTGGTGGTGGGCACCTGTAATCCCAACTACTCAGGAGGCTGAGGCAGGAGAATCGGTTAAACTGGGGAGGCGGAGGTAGCAGTGAGCCGAGATCGCACCATTGCACTCCAGCCTGGGTGACAGACCGAGACTCTGTCTCAAAAAAAAAAAAAAATATTATATCATAAGCATTTCCCAATGTCATTAACACTATGTATGCTACCGTGATATTCCATTGTATAGAAGTAGCATAATTGATTTAAGTATTTCAGTAGAGTTACCGCTTAGATCAGGCCCAAGTTTATCTCCTCTTTCTCTCTTTCCTCTCTTTTATTTGTATTTATTTATTTATTTATTTTTTTGAGATGGAGCCTCACTCTGTCACCCAGGCAGTGGCACAATCTCGGCTCACTGCAACCTTTGCCTCCCGGATCCAAGCAATTCTCCTGCCTCAGCCTCCCGAGTAGCTGGGATTACAGGCGCCCGCCACCAAGCCTGGCTAATGTTTTGTATTTTTAGTAGAGATGGGGTTTCACCATGTTGGCAAGGCTGGTCTCGAACTCCTGACCCCAGGTAATCTGCCTGCCACAGCCTTTCAAAGTGCTGGGATTATAGACATGAGCCACCGGGCCTGGCTTCTTTCCTCTCTTTTAAATAAGCATGGCAATAAACATCTTTCTCTCTTTTTTTTTTTTTTTTGAGATGGAGTCTTGCTCTGTCACTCAGGCTGGAGTGCAGTGGCACGATCTCGACTCACTGGAACCTCTGCCACTCAGGTTCAAGCGAATCTGGTACCTTAGCCTCCCAAGCAGCTTGGATTACAGGCGTGCGCCACCATGCTCAGCTAATTTTTTTGTATTTTTAGTAGTGACGGGGTTTCACCCTGTTGACCAGGCTGGTCTCAAACTCCTGATCTCAAGTGATCCACCCACCTCGGCCTCCCAAAGTTCTGGGATTACAGGTGTGAGCCACCACGCCCAGCCTAAGCATCTTTCTACATGGATTTTGTCTGCTTATTTCTTTAGGACTGATTCCTCGAAATGGAACGACTGGATCAGGGGGTACAAATACTGCTAGGAGCTTCCCTAGCATCCGCTCCCCCTTTCTGCTTCCTCACAGAGGGCTGGTTTTGTCCAGGTACCACCCACCCCTTGTTTTAGAGGCAGATCTTGATTAATTTAAGGCAATCTGTGAATGGCATTCACCTTAGCAACTCTTACTTGTCCAAGGGGGGGAAGATTTGGATCCCATGCTTACAAGAAAGGTGGGGGGCTCTCTCTCTTTCTCTCTCTGTCCTTCTCTTTCCTACACCCTAGAGAGGGCTAAGCCCTAGGACAAAGCCAGTGCTACTGTGAACAGACAGCGCTCAGACAGAAAGTACCTCAGGCCATACCTAGGGCCCGCCCTGCGCTGGCCTTCCAATGATGTGAGACAATACATTTTCCATTGCTTAAGCCAGTTTGAATCAGAGTTCTCTGTTACCTCCAAAAGCATCCTACCTGATGCCAGGGTCATAAATGTCTTTTGGATTCTTAGAATCTATTGTCAAATTCCTTTTTAAAATATAGACATTTACTCTCCCTGTTAGCTGCATTCAACAAATATTTAAGCCCCTAAAATTCCCAGGCCCATGTTGAATGCCAAGGATACAGCAGTGAGTCAGGCCAACTTGGTCCTGCCCTCCCAAAGCCTCCAGTCCAAGACGGAGACAGACAGTAAGTAACTAATTCTACAGTTAAAGATTTAATGATGGTTACACTAAGTGCTAGGGAAGAGGACAGAGGGCCCTGAGAACCACTCTGGGGGAGGGGGCTGCAGGAGTCCATGGCTCTGTTTTTAACAGAGCTGGGATCTCCAGCTGTTGGCCTCCACAGTTTGGCTGCAAAGTCCCAAGCTGAAGTCAGTATCCTCTGCTCAGGAAGAACCCAACAAGGCCAGCCTCTCCAGCATGCTCTGCACCCAGCACCCTACTGGCTCTGTCCTAGCCCACAGTGGTTTTCCTGGGGCAGCTGACCATGCCAGGGTTCAGGGCACTTCACTTGACCCTGGGCCCCCGGGCCTGGAACACTGAGAGAGTCTGCCTATTCAAAAGGACACAGAAAGGGGAGGGAGAATGGGTGAAAGAGGAAAAGCACCATTGTGGCAAATAAAGGAAGACAGTCCCCAGACAGCTGAGAATGGTCACCTGGTCAGCATGGCTCCTGCCAGCCTGGCAAAGTATAGCTGACAGAGTGGATGAATTAACGCCTCATTTTGCCTTCTCTGTGGCTGCCTGGACCGATCTCATTCGCCCTGTGACGTGTGCAGAGTCCTGGATTGTATTTCTCTATCCCCCATCAACCCTGCAGCTAATGGAAAGTCCCCCTGGACTGGGGCCTATGATGATCTCTTCGAGTTTCCAATTCTAGTGCCAGTGTGTGTGTTTTTGAGGTATCTGCACGGTGTTTTGGTGGAAGGTGGGAGAAGGCTTATCTGATCCTGTGACTCTGCCACGGTGTAGGTCTAATTTACTCCTTACAGTATTTCTGGAAGGCATGTGGTTATCTCTGTATTGTAGATAAGAAAACTGAGTCTCAGAGAAGTAAAGGACTTGTTCATACTAGCCAGCTAAGAAGAGGCAAGGCCTGGACTTGAACCCAGGTCTCCTGTTTCCACAAAGAGACAGAATGCTTAGCATCCCCTGTCCCTTCAACCAAAAATGGAGGCCCGGCCCTTAAGCTCAGACTCTGCCCTGGGTCTCTGGGCCCTTTGAGAAAACTAAAAGGAAAGTGTCTATATGAGAAAAGCCCCTCTGGCCCAGGTTCCCACAGCTGTCATGAGCATCTAAGTTAGGGCAGTAGAAATCCCAACCGGACCATAGCTGGAGAAGCAAAGTGCTTCCCTAGCACAGCCTCTGGGAAGCAAGAGAGTACCACCCCCAGGGGGTGAAAAGGGAAGGGGGTAAGGGACAAAATTCCTGACCCTGCCAACCCAGGGGCTCATGTTTCCTCATGAATAATAAATGGAATTGACAAGCAGTTGGTTTGGCATCAAGGTCTCTGCACCATCCAGAGCTATTTTCTCATCTTTAACCATCTAGGGATCAACCAGGGGGGCTGGAGAACTGAAAAATGCTTGGGAGGGCCCAGCCTGCAGGCCACTCCCCAAGGGGCAGGAGGAGCCAGACCCAAAGCACTGGACCCAAGGTCCTAGGACTGACCTTGTGGGTCAGAAGTCCTGGGTAGGGCAGCTTAGGAGGATTAGGAATCAGGATGTGGGATTCGAACGTGAACAGATTCCTTATGTGAACTCCTCTGGGCCTCGGCTGTCTCATCTGGGTGTAAAATGAAGGGGTCAGGTTAAGTAATCTCTAAAAGTCCTTTTGACTGGGAGAGTTGAGTCTCTGAATGCACATTGTAGCAGAGGTCTCAGAATTAGAGATCTAGTTTCTTCTCCGGCAGCAGGTCTAGCTCAGGAAAGACATGCCAAAGTTACAGATAGGGAACCTAAAAGGAGGGCCATCCACTGCATAGCAACCCCTGAGCCATCAGACCACAGGGATGGAAAAGGGAAGGTGGTGGAGACTGTGGCAGAGTGGTTAGGAGCAGGCAGGACACAGAGCACACCGTGTCACATGTTGGTGATTCCAAACGATTGCTAAATAAACTATACCCTTCCCACGCAAGTCCCTTCACCAATTCCCTGCTTCTGAGCAGACTGTCCCTTTCTCAGCCCAGGTCATGGCACCGCAGGGAAGGAAACCGTCCTATGATCCCAGTGAGTCACAGAGACCTCACTCTGAAGTTCTTCCTGCTGACTCCCAGCTATTGCCACAGCAGCACAGAAACTTTGATCTATCCTCCAGGGAGACAGCTACTGCCCCCACTCCTGCCAAAACTCCATGCCAAAAGAGACCTGCCCAGCTCCCCAGGAATAAGCTTTGTGTTTTCTTTTTAGCCCTTGGATGTTTGGCCTCTACCCTGGGGTCTCAGTACCCTAAAAGGGCCCTCCAAACTCTCTCCTGAATCCTGACAACAGCAGGTCTCAGGGCCCTACCAGGCTACCCTGGGCCCCTCAGTCCCTTTAACCGTGGGTCTAACCAGATAACTTTTTTTTTTTTTTTTGAGATGGAGTCTTGCTCTGTCACCCAGGCTAGAGTGCAGTGGTGCGATCTCGACTCACTGCAACCTCCGCCTCCTGGGTTCAAGCAATTCTCCTGCCTCAGCCTCCCAAGTAGCTGGGACTACAGGCGCCCACTACCACGCCCAGCTAATTTTTGTATTTTTAGTAGAGATGGGGTTTTGCCATATTGGCCAGGCTGGTCTCGAACTCCTGACCTCGTGATCTGCCCACCTCGGCCTCCCAAAGTGCTGGGATTACAAGTGTGAGCTACCGCGCCCGGCCCAGATGAGAATTTTTGGTAGTTCAAGGCCGCACAAAAGCTCAAGATGAACCTAGCCACCCACCTTTCCAACAGTAAAGACCAAGGAATGCATCACAGGGTGATGGAGTGTTAGGCTGGAAGGGACTGCAAATAACTGAGGCTCCCACCACCCCTCCCCATCCTCTACTCACAGTGGACATCATTAACCTCTCTCTTTCCCATCAAGGTCAGACTTAGCCTCAGAGTCCCTCTCAACACAGGGCACCAGCACCAGCTGATGAGAAACAGCTCATGAGCTAAAACTGACTTGCTGTCTCTATTCTAGCCTGAGCCTTTTATTTTGCAGAACAAGAAATCAAGGCCCAGAATGGGGGAAAGACGCACCAGGGTGACATAAAAAATTGGTGGCAAAATCACTGCTTCAACCCTAAGTCCCCTAACTCTCAGGTCTCACATCACCTATTGGGTGCTCCCTCCCCACCCTTCACCTGGAAGAAAACCCAACTCACCGAACTGATGAATCTGAGCCTGGTGTTCCGCATCACAGGGGGCTGCCTCCCAACAGCACACCCCTAGGGCATTTGCACAAGGCTTCAATTGACTTCTGCCAAAACACCAATTTTCAAGAAATGAGGTGAAGGCAATCAGGGCAGGCTCCCAGAGGAGGCGATGTGATAAAAGGGTCTGGAAGGGAAGAGAGGAGCTTAGAGGAAGGGCTAGGTAAAGCATCTACCCTCAAGGGCTTCCAGTAGATTGTGGCATAAAAAGATAGACTTTGAAGAAGCTGTGTGACCTTGAGCAAATCATTTAAACTCTTCAATTCTCCATTTCCTCTTGTAAAATTTTTACAACTCATGGGCCCCCTTAATGTTCCTTTAGGTACTTGGATGTCAAGCTGCTGAAGACCCACAACTTTGAGATTTTTAAATACATGTACAGAGACTTGGCCAGGACCAACTGCTAAGGAGCTCTAGACCCTATCCTTCCTTCCTCCAACCTCCCTCTGATTAATGGGGTCTGTGTCCCTCCCCAGACACTCTGTGACATGCCAAGCAGTTGGGGGACACACTCCTGGCTCTACCCCCAGCCATGTGATCCTGAGCAGGTCCTTCAGCTTCTCTGAACCATTCCCTCCATTCCCTCCTCTACAAAACGAGTCTAATCACCACCTGGGCCCTCCCTGACTCTCCCGGCTGGACTGGGGTCAGATGAGACAAAGAGGAGCAGAAAGGCAGAGTGAATGAAACACATGCTCTGCAGGCAGACAGACTTAAGTGCAAAACCTAGATCTGCCACTTACAAGCTGTATGATACAGGGCTTCCTTAACAAATCCCCTGAGCCTAATGCTCCTCATCTCTAAAGTGGGGACGATAATGCCTGCTTTAGGATTCTTACATAAAACATTATAAAACAAGGATTGGGATGTGGTAAATGATCATCAGTTGGGCAATTACATTATTATTACTAATAAGATTCCTTTATAAATCGTAAAGGATTGTCCAGTTGTTAGTTCTTATTGGTCTGGAGTCCACACCAGGTGCAACCATTGCAGGGGAAGGCCCAGAGACTAGGAGCATCGCCTCCTACCACAGCCCTGAGTGCTCCAGAAGTCTGGGATCAGGGTCCCTGCACTTTTCAGTTGAGGTGAGAGGTGGCGCATGAAGCTGTGCCAGCATCTCAGCTCCTGACCCCTTGCTGGATGCTGGGTCTGGCATCTAAGACCCCTGGCCCAAACCTAATCCAGCACCAGGATGGCCCATCGCATCACCTGTGCCAATCTGTGCCCCTGTCAGAGGCCAGTGCCTGCATTCACAGAAGGGGGAAAGGGGCTCCTTCGGCTCTAGTCTCTCCTGTCCCCACTCAGGGAGAGGTGGGCGGGTGATGAGTTGGTAGGTGGTTGTGGTGGGGAAGGCAGTCTGTGCCAAGGAAGCACACCCAGCCAGCGTGGGCAGCACACAGCGGCGGCTCCTCTCCTAGTTGTGCAGACCTTTGTCTCCCCGAAGCCAGGCTGGCACGTGCATGCACAGACACACACACACACACACACGTGCACACACACATGCAGGAAGAGACATGGGGCACAGAATTCCAAATGTGTGATCACACAGACTTATGTCAATGATACACACTTAAAGACGCAATCATATGTGCACACCACCCCCCACTAAGATACTCATACACACAGAGACACACAGAAGCAGCCACGACAGCCATAGTCGTTCACAGACTCACATGTGTACACACCTGCAAACACCCACACACACCCTCCCCATTGGGCCCCTGCCCAGTCCAGAGAGGCAGGAAGAGCCCCATGGCTCCGTGGGCAGGGAAGCAGGAAGCATCTTACCCTGAGCCGTGGGCTCCCTTGGCTAAGGCACACACCCCACCTCTGAGCAGGTGTGTGCGAGCTTGAACACGTGCACAAGGTGTGTGCAAGCTTGAACACATGCACAATCATACACACCACAGCCCCCAATCTCACTCGCCTGGCCCCCATCCTCGCCAGACCGGACAAAGGAGCTCATCGGTGAGGTTTGTGGTGAGGAGAGGAGAAGGCTGGCAGGGAGCAGCTGCTGTCACCATGGCTACCAGGCTGACCCACTTCTCCTCCACCCAGCCTGGCCCACTCAGCCTGGGCAAGGCAGGGACAGGCAGCTTTGGGCAGGGTGGGCCCTCTCCCATCAGACACAGGAAACGGGTAGCCCTCTGAGGGTATGGTAAGGGATGGGTTGAGAACCCCAGAGAGGCTGGATACTGTGTAGGAAGGCAATACAGACTCCAGACATACCTTGAGGGGAGTGGGGTGCTGAAGGCATGGTCCCTGCAAGACCTACAAGACTGAGCCCCTGATGTTCCCCCAGGGCCTCAGGGCACCACATGGGCCCTAGATACATTCTCAGTCACAGTCCTCATGGCAGTGCAGGGGATGGGGTGGTCGGACTCAAACCACAACTCTAAGGACTCAGAACACACAAGGGTAAGGCAGACCCAGGGCTGGGTGAGCCGTGTCTCCCATTCAGAACAAGGTTCCTGAAGGCTCCACTAGGGGCCGCTGGGGTCACCCAGCAGCCATGCCCCCTTCCCAGGACAGGGTCACCATGGGCCTTCACTGGGCTGGGGGCTCCTGAGGACAGGGCTGTGTGTTCTTCCTCAGAAGCAGGGACTTGAAGGAACAATACCGCCTGAGTCAGTTTTGGGAGGAGCCAGCCTACAAAGCAGAATGAATCTCTCCTGCTTGACAACCTCCCTTAGCTTCCCATTTCCTGCAGGACAAAGGAGAAGGCCCTTGCCAAGGCCCACAAGCCCATGTGAACTGGGGACTGTCTTCCTCTCCTATCTCCCAGCCCGTCCCATGCCTCTTGCCCCTACTCTGTATTCCAGCCACACTTGCTTCTTTTCAGTCCTCAAAAGTACCACCTTGGGCCGGGCGTGGGGCTCATGCTTGTAATCCCAGCACTTAGGGAGGCCAAGGCAGGTGAATCGCGTGAGCCCAGGATTTTGAGACCAGCCTGAGCAACACGGTAAAACCTCATCTCTAAAAAAAAAAAATACAAAAATTAGCCTGATGTGATGGCACACACCTGTAGTCCCAGCTACTCGGGAGGCTGAGGTGGGAGGATGGCTTGAGCCTAGGAGGCAGAAGTTGTAGTGAGCCGAGATTGCAACACTGCACTCCAGCCTGGATGACAGAGCCAGACTCTGTCAAAAAAAAAAAAAAAAAAAAAAAAAAAAGAGCCACTTAGCCACTTTGTCTCCTGTCTGCCTGGCATACCTTCTCTGCCCCCACCCCCATGATCTGGTGGCCCCAAACTTGTCTGTCCTGCCACCTTTGCCTGGCTAAACCCTATTCTTGGCTCAATCCAAGTTTGAAGGTCATTTCCTAGGACAGTCTTCCCAGATAAGGTTAATCCCCATAACTCCCTTTGTACTGTCCCTGTGTGTTATAAGTTGAGTTGTGTCCCCCCAAAAACTGTTGAGGTTCTAACCTCCAGTCCCTCAGAATGTGACTTGGTTTGGAAACACGGTCGTTGCAGATGTGACAAGTTAAGATGAGATCATGCTGGAGAAGGGTGGGTCCCTCATCCAATATAACCAGTGTCCTTATAGGAAGGTGGCCACGTGAAGACAGACACGGGGAGAGCGCCATGTGCCGACGGAGGCAGAAATGGGAGTGACGCGTCAATGCGCCAAGGAACGCCAAGGATTGCCACCTGTCACCAGAAGCCAGGGGAGGGGCACGGAACAGATTTTCCCTCACAGCACACAGAAGGAAGCAATCCTGCCAACACCTGATTTTAGACTTGTAGCCTTCAGAACTGTGAGAGTCTACATTTCTGTTGTTTTAAGCCACCCTGTTTGTGGCGCTTTATTGCAGCTTCCCTAGGCAATGAACACACTGCTGTTCCTAACTTGTTCCGTACTTGTCTCCCACACCCCGCCCCCTGGCTGTGAGCTGGTTAAAAATAGGAACCTTGTCGTCGTCTTCACCCTGAACCCCTAGTACCTGGCACAGGTCTGGCATATAGCAGGACTCAGTAAATATTTGTAGAATGAATGAATGGCAACTTAAAACATTAAATTAGCAGTATTTATAGCACTGTGAGTCATTTTTATTTTCTCCATGTGACATACTGTGTTTTCTAAAGTTACTACTTAAGAAACTGTATTAATGTTATAATAAAGAAAAAAACCAAAACCACATATTTTTCTTTTCAAAACATACATTAAAGTAACAGGCATTTCCACCAATGTGTGTTTTGTGAAGAGGGAAAAGTTCTTCTATCTGCTTGATAACTGCTTTTTTATTGATTAATTGATTCCTCCTCGTGTCACTAAAGTGCTTTCTGGAGTCAGATTTACAGAGCTTGAGCTCTGGGGCCTTGCAGGGTATAGATTATGGGTGGGAAAGGGCCAGCCAGGGTACACATTCTTCTCAGCCATCTCCACCATTCGCCTCTCCCTTGGCTTGTAGGATGTGGCTAGATGTGGCACCTGTCTCCTTACAGGGGCTGCTAAACTTGGCACTGGAGAATACCACTACTCCTGGCCAAAGGTGACTCCCCAAACGGAAGCAAGATTCCGTCCTCAATGACCACACCATCCAGTGCTTATCAAACTGCAATGTGCAGGTGAATCACCTGGGGAGCTTGCTCTGATCCATGGGTCACAGGTGGAGCCTGAGACTCTGCATTTCTAAGAAACTTCCAAGTGATGCCCAAGATGCTGGTCCATGGACCACCCAAGGCACTGAGAGGTGAAGAGACATTGCTCTGGTTGTTCTGCAGAAACAGTGAACACTTCAGGGTGGGGGAGACCAGAAAAGGCATTACCCCAGTAGTTGCACCTCAAAAGATAGGTGAGGTTTTGGAGAGGAGAGGCAGAGGTGGCTCTAAAGGAAGGAGGCGGCAACTACTGGGAAGGCCCAGGGAGAAAACGTTGTGTTCAGAGGCTGGCGAACACAGCAGCGCAGTTGGAGAGGAGGTAGGTACAACTGCGGAACAGAGGGCTGGAAAGATAGGCTGGGAGCAGCCAGTGCAGGGCTCTGAATGTGGGGCTAAGAAGCTTGGCTTTCATCCTGTAGGAGTGAAATCTGACATGATTTAGATGTAATGCTTTACAGAGATCAATCTGAGACTGAGTGCAGAATCAGAAAGAAGCCTGACAGCAGGAAGAGCAGCCAGGAGGCTGCTACATCCATGCAGGAAGAAGGGCTGCACTGCTTTAGAAAGTGAGGTGCGAAGAGGAAACGGGGCCAGGAGTCGTGGGTGTGGTTAGGGGATTGCCTAGAGTGAGTGAGGGGACAAAGTAGGGAAAAGGGAAAAAATGAAATCCAAGGTGATTTACAGGAAGGATGGGGGTGAGAGGTGCCATCAGCAGAGCTTGAGGTCCTAGCGGAAAAAGCCTGGCTTAAGGAGAAGATGAATTCCCAGTTTAGTCCCGATGGGTCTGAGATAATGCTGCAACTCCCACATTCAGGTGTTGGCCAGGTAAGCTGATTCACGAGCGCTCAGGAGAGCAAGGTGAGTAGGCAGGATTTGGGTGTGTTCTCCAAAGAAAAAATGGGGTGTGGAAAGGAAGGAGAATGCCCAGAAGAGAGCAGAGAGTGAGGAAAGATTGAGAGGTAGTACCCACAGTTAGAGGTAGGAGGAAGATGGAGCCAACTGAAGGAGGGAGAGTCCATGGTGAAGAGTAGGAGAGGAACTCACAGAAGATGCCATGAATATACAGATGGCCAAGCTGGAAGGCCTACAACACCCTGATATTGAGACCGAGAAGAGGCCTGCCCAGCTCAGGATGCAGGAGGGAGGCTAGGGCGGCACCCTGACTCCCTTTCTAAGGCACAGGAGAAGCCCAGGCCTGAAAGGAGCACAGCTGGAATGGAAAGCAGAATTTGGACTGAAAGAAAAGGGGGCTGGATGCATTGGGGAGGGTTTGGGCTGTGGCGGGAGCCCGGGGCTCTGAAGCACTTATTCCAGCTCAATCCTAGTACAGGAAGGACAATTTCCACACATGCAACTACACACACACTTACATGTCCACATGGCTGGGGAACTCCCAGGGCAGAGCAGAGGCGACTGGGAAAAGGTCTTTGGATCAAAGCCTTATTACCGGTGAGCACATAATTTATCATCCACCTGGGACCCTTGTGAGAATGAGCAGGGACAATACTCACAATCACACTGGACCGCAGATGAAAATGAGGACTGTGCCAGGCAAACCCAGTCGTATAGTCACCCTAGCTGGTGGATACTGGATCCCAATAAGATACACATTTGGTTCCTCTGCTCCCCCTTCCTAGATGCGGGATAGCAGAAGGGAAAGGCAGGCTCATCCTGAGAGGCAGGGGCCCCAACAAAGGGTGTTGGTGGATGGGACAATCTCTCCCCCTCCCACACCCTCGCTGGGGGAGACACGGCAGTACCACGGACAGCGGCTGGCGACTCGCTCCCAGTCCCTCCCCCGCCTGCCCTCCCATCTCCTCCCCTCCCCTTCCCGCCCCTCCCCCTCCCCGCCCCTCCCCCGCGCCGCTGACGAGGCCGGATCAATATTTCATGGGGGGAAGGGGCTCCAGTTACCAGCCCCGCACCAAGCCGGAAGGCGCCGCCCGCGCCTGCTGCCCACCCTGGGGACCCTCCTCAGAAACCCAGCACAGGCTCGGCCCCAGGCCAGACAGACACCGCCCAAAGAGGTGCACGCATTCCCTGCAACCTCTCCACCCCCGGACCCTTTCAGGGCACAAAGACCCGCACGCAAGCCATACACCTCCGGTTGGCCACTCCGACGCGCCACAGAGCGAGATGCACGCTGTACAAAGAAGATGACGTACACAAAACAACAGGCACACACCACACCCAGCAGGCAATCCACCTAGACAGGCACTCACAGAGCACACACATGCACACAAAAACACACCTTGTGCACCACAGACTCACATGGCATGGAGATGCAGCTACCACAGACTCACACACATCACACAGACCCACAACACACCCTGCCACACACACACAAACTCGCACGCTGCAGAAAAACTCCCTCGCAGAGAACTGCAGACATATCGCATGAAGATACATTCACCACAGACACACACACACACAGTGCACACACAATATGCCCTCAGAGACCCTCAGACATATCTGTGAGTTACCTAGCTACATTTGCCAGGGACATACACACACACTTAAACTCTCTCATACATACACACACACATTATGCCTTCACAGAGATCCTCAAACATTCACCATGGACACACAAGCACACACCCCACACTCTACCCAGGCCCTCCATCCTCCTGGTGCCCAGGCCACCCTTCCCACTGTGAACATGGGACTAGGGAGGGGGCAGACAGGACTTCCCTCCCTCCTTGCCATCTGCCTTCTCTACTTTGGCCCTGCTCATGGGCCCTGAGGATAAATCCACTGTGTCCTCCGAGGCCCCCTGGGGTCTGCTGCGAGGTCCCAGGGACAAGCAGTCAGCACAAAGCGGTGGACAAAGCGGGGAGTAGGGGAAGAGGGACCTATGAGACTCCGAAGCCTTCTGCTTCACTGTCCCTGAGCCCCAAGCTCTGGGACATGAAGCCCCAGGGGCAGCCTTGCCCTTACCTGTGGCTCCCAAAGCTTCACTGCTCCCTAGGCCTCCCTGAGGCCTGTGTTATACATAGGAAGCAGAAGAACTGTAGGGTATGCAGCCCCTACTCCCCCCAGGAGGTCTCAAGTCCTGGCCTCAGAGATGAGGGGGCATCCTACCACATCCAGACACCTTATCTCCATGAGCCCCCCTCCCAAGCAGGTTGTGAAAACAATGGCACAAATTCTCCTGTCTGCAGGGAAATCATGGCAGGATCCTCCAAAAGAAGCCCAAGCCAGGGTTCAAGGTGAGCAGAAGAGAGCAGGCCAGCGCAGCAGGGGGAGACCCCTAGATTTGTTGGGCAGGTGGAAGGGACCTTCAAAATTATCTAGGTCAACAGTGCACATTTCCGACATCCCCATACCACTTCCCAATTTTGCATTAAGTGCATAACACTGTGTGTCACCTCAATGATTTCTGCCAAATCTACAGACTCCTAGGCTGGGCACGGTGGCTCACGCCTGTAATCCCAATACTTTGGGAGTCTCAGGCAGGCAGATCACTTGAGGTCAGGAGTTCAAGGCCAGCCTGGCCGATATGGTCAAACCCCGTCTGGATGGTCAAACTAAAAATACAAAAATTAGCCGGGCATGGTGGCACGCACCTGTAATCCCAGCTACTTGGGAGGCTGAGATAGGAGAATCGCTTGAACCCAGGAGGCAGAAGCTGCAGTGAACTAAGATCGTGCCACTGCACTCCAGCCTGGGCGACAGAGACTCCGTCTCAAAAAACAAACAAACAAACAAAACAAATCTACAGACTCTTGTACTGTTTATTACTTATTTTCTTTAAATTGACACTCTGGCTAGGGGCAGTGGCTCACACCCATAGTCCCAGCTATTTGGGAGGCTGAGGTGGGAGGATCACTTGAGTCCAGGAGGTCAAGGCTGAGGTGAGCCAAGAACAGGCCTCTACACTCCAGCCTGAGCGACAGAGTGAGATCTAGTCTCGATAAATAAACAAACAGATAAAAATAAATTGACACTTTTAACTTTAATGCAACTATTTTCAATAGAAACCATGTTATTACTATAAATGGAAAGCCAGTATCACTTTTAATAAATAGAAAATGACAATAAAACAAACACAGTAAAAACAGTTATGATATTATGTTTTAGCTATATGGAGTTGCCAGGCAATGTTCTGAGCCTAGCCTGAGAGCTCTCTGTTAAAAAGGGAGGGCAACCAGTGTTGGAAAGTTGTTAAAGACACATTAGAGGCCGGGCGCGGTGGCTCACGCCTGTAATCCTAGCACTTTGGGAGGCCAAGGCAGGTGGATCAACTGAGGTCGGGAGTTCATGAACAGCCTGACCAACATGGAGAAACTCCGTCTCCACTAAATATACAAAATTAGCCGGGCGTGGTGGTGCATGCCTGTAATCCCAGCTACTCGGGAAGCTGTGGCAGGAGAATCTCTTGAACCCAGGAGGCAGAGGTTGTGGTGAGCTGAGATTGCGCCATTGCACTCCAGCCTGGGCAACAAGAGCGAAACTCCGTCTCAAAAAAAAAAAAAAAAAAAGACACACTAGAAACTACACTGACATGTTCTCCCTTGGACAATCTTGGACTTGATATCGTTGAGAGGGAACCAACTTTCTCACTACGTGAGCTAATGTTAAGAAATGGCACTGAAAGTCATCCCTGGTCCCACTCCACATATTGGGAAGCTCTAGGCTTGTCCACCTCTTGCAGGAGTTCGGGCACAGTGCCCCGCTAGTGCCCTGTTGCTACAGCCTATTCTGGTAATAACAATCTTTTAGAAATTCCTTGGTCCTTTCCTATTCACAAATTGTCATAACGGCCACCATCTAATATGAGCCTCAGAGCAGGAATTATCTTCCCCGTTTCTGAATGAGAAATGTGAGGCTCAGAAAGGATGAGACGTGTCCATAGTCACAGAGCTAGCTACACAGGGGAGATCCACACGTCAGAGACTTGACGTCCACCCAGACACCTTTTCTACTCTACCTGCATCCATCTGTTCCACAGTTGGCAGCCCTTGCTGGGCAGTGGGGAAAGAGGCAGGATGGTAACCTGCTATCTGCCCGTGAGACCTTCACAATCCCAAACAGCAAGCAGACAAATCAGCAAATCACCGAGATTAAGAGAGGTGAAGAGCTTTAAAATCTAGCCTGTAAATGCCTAAACTGCAGTTTCCTTGTCTGTAAAATGAGATGACAGACTGGGTGTCGTGAATCACACCTGTAATCCCAGCACTTTCAGAGGCCAAGATGGGAGGATTGCTTGAGCCCAGGAGTTGGAGACCAATCTGGGCAACAGGGTGAAACCCTGTCTCTACAAAAAAATACAAAACTGAGCTGGGCATGGTGGCATGAGCCTGTGGTCCTAGCTACCAGGGAGGCTGAGGTGGGAGGATTACCTGAGCCCAGGAGTTCAAAGCTGCAGTGAGCCGTGACCCAGCCATTGCACTCCAGCCTGGGTGACAGAATGTGACAATGTCTCAAAAAAAAAAAAAAAAAAAAAAAATTAGCCAGGCATGGTGGTGTGCACCTGTAGTCCCAACTTCTTGGGAGGATCATTTGAGCCTAGGAAGTTGAGACTGCAGTGAGCTGTGTTCAAGTCACTGCACTCCAGCCTGGGCAACAAAGTGAGACCTTGTCTCTAAAATAAAATAAAATTTATATGTTTTAAAAAAATAAAATAAAATGGGAATAATAATAGTACCCATCTTATAGAAGTGAAGATTAAATGAAATGTGTGAACACAATGTCTGGCACAGAGTAAGTGCTTAAAAAAAATGTTTATTACCAGGGAAGCACAAAGAACAGAATCAATACAGGTCAAGAATGAGTGACAGGGGGAAGGTGAGGTAGACATGGTTTGGTTTTTCACTGATGAAAAGAGTTACATCTTGGAGGATGAAGATTTTCGTGGGGAAAAACTCTTCTGCCTGTTCCTGGCTTCCTCTTCCCTCTCTCCTCACTCCAAAGCAAGGTGAGAAAATTCAGGCTTTCTTCTCCCTCTCTCTCCTCAGGCCTCTGAATGACATTTGACAGGTTCTTCAGAGCCTGTCCTGAGCACTGCTGCCCAGGAAAAGACTCTCCTTTAAGTCACAATTCCAGGCCTTTTTTCTCCAGCTGCTGTCCAGATGGAAGTTTGGGGCTCAGGCCCAACTGCCTGCACCCACATCGGCACTCTAAGAATTCCAGGAGATGTGTTTGGAAGCTAACGAAGATCCCCCTTCTCTGAGCGGGGCACTGAGAACCCTGTTTGCATGTCTCTTTGATCCTTCCCAGTAGGCTACAGATGACTGGACCAGGGTGGGCACCTGCCTCACTCTGAGCCAATCAGATCCTCTCCTGGGAGTTTGGGATTGGATCTGCCAAGCCCCAAGTTCTCTCTCTCCATGTGGCTGAAACCAAGGGACACAATACAGGAACTATAGGTGGCTTGGTGCCTGAAAAGGCAGAGATATCCAGTCTGTGGATACAGAAAGGCAGGGTGCAGAGAATGGCTGCTTCAAGTTCCCTTGGCCCTCCAGGTCCCGCCTTCCTGAAGCTAATGGTTTTCCTTCCCCTTAGTTCCAGGGAATCCCTTCTGTCCTTGTAATAAGCCCTTCTTTATTACTGAAGCTGGTTTGAGTGGGTTTCTGTATATAAGCAAAGACCTAATTAAGACAAGAGAGAAGCTGGGAGCCGGAGGTACGCAGATGAACAATCCTGAAAAAATAATCACTGTGCCTACGTCGGAGAAGCCCAGTGCAGTGGGAGACAGCGAGTAAGAGATGTAGACTTTGCACAGATGTGGCAGAGGGAGGGTGGGCTAACTCTGCCTGGGGAGGAGCGGAAGGGCTCCACAGGCTTCACAGCGAAGGTAGCAGCTGAGCCGATTTTGAAGAATTAAGGACATTCTCCATGGAGACAAAGTAGGGGTGGGGAGGCATTACAAGCAAAGGGAACAGCAAGTGCAGATGCACAGAGACCCAAAACAGCCTGGTGTCTTAGAGGGACTGGAGTTCAAAGTGTGGCGGGGAAGCAGGGAAGACAGGCAGTCAGGCGCACATCATAAAGGGCTTTGAATACCATGATAAGAAGCCGAGGCCTTTTCCTGTCAGTGACAGGGAGCTATTGAAGTATTTTAAGTAGCAGGGGGTGACGGGGTCAGTTCTGTGTTTTAGAAAGATTGTTCTGGGGCTGCTTGGAGAAAGGGCTGGAAAAGGCAGGCCTGGAGGCAAGGACCAGTTAGGAGGCTGCAGCACTCCTCATCTAGTCCCTTCATTCATCTAACAGCTCACTGTGTACCTACTATGTGCCGGGGTGAGGCAAAACGGATTCCTGAGCCCACAGAGTTCACAGCCTAGCATGAAATAGACATGAGGGAAAAGCGATTTGAGTGTGCTGAATGTTATGAAGAAGTACAAGGTCCTCTGGAGCAGGGTGCTGTTTACTGTCTGGTTTTTAGGCTTCCCTGCGGAAATGACGTTCGAGCTGGTATCTATCTGAAGGATAAGTAGGAGTTAGCAGGGCCCCAAGAGGGGGCGTGCATTCCAGGATTGGGGACAACACGTGTGGAAGTCCTGCAGCTGAGGGAGAGTGGCAGAAGAAGACACAAAAAGGTAGGCAAGGACCAGATCCCACAGGGCCTCGGAGACTGCGTCAGTGCATCTGGCTTTCATTCCAAGAAGGCTTGGAAGGGTCCTAAGCAGGGAAATGACACAATCCAACGTTTATCCTAAGAAGACCATGAAAGAAAGCGGGGCAAGAACAAATGTCAGGAGACCAGGTAGGAAGCTGTCACAGTGGCCCAGGTGAGAGCCAATGGTGGCCTGGAGGGGGTGGTGGGCAGCGAGAGGGTCCACGGACTCAAGGCAGAGATTCAGGAGGACTAACAGGGCTTGCTGAGGACTGGTTATAGGGGTGTGGGACGGGAAGAGGGGCGTATCCAGGAGAACTTTCAGCTTTCTAGCTTGACCAGGTGGGAGGACGGCGATGCCAGAGATGAACCGGGGACCTTAAAGGCAGAGCAGGTGCAGGTGGGAGAGTCAGGAGCTGGGTCTGGACCTGAACTGAAGCTGATTGTGAGACATCTAAGTGTGGGCCAGGAAGCAGTCACACCTGCAGATTGTTGGGGCTTCTTTTTTTTTTTTTTTTTGAGACAGGGTCTCGCTTTGTCACCCAAGCTGGAGTGCAGTGGCATGAACATGGCTCACTATAGCTTCAACTTCTCAGGCTCAAGCGATCCTCCCACCTCAGCCCCCCAAGCAGCTGGGAATACAGGCAAGCGCCACCATGCCCAGCTAATTTTTGTATTTTTTTTGTAGAGATGGGGTTTCGCCATGTTGCCCAGGCTGGTCTTGAACTCCTGGGCTCAAGTGATCCGCCTGCCCCAGCCTCTCAAAATGCTGGGATTACCAGCACTTTGAGGAGGTGTGAGCCACCGCACCCAGCCAGACCTGCAGATCTTCAACCCAGAAGAGATCATTAAAATCAAGAGAAGTAAACGAGATTACCCGGGAGGTAGGGAGGGAGGGGGCAAAAAGGTGGGAAGAGGGGTTGGGGCAACTTGAGGAGCCATGGTAGCAGCAGGACCTAGGGGCAGAGTGACAAGGGGCTCTGAGCTTGGCAAATCAGGACCATGAAATGCAAAGGTTACCTTCTCTCAACCCCAGAAGGCACCAGGATTTGGCTCCCCATCTCCTGGCCAAGCATCATGCCCTTAGCCTGGACACTTCCCAGGTGAGAGAGTCCTCCCTTCTCCACTGCACTTCTTCCTCTTGGGCAAACTCCAAGTTATCCTCCAAACCCAGGGCAGGTGGTCGCTCCTCCTAGGTGGAGACTTCCCTGGTGTAAGCATTGCTCTGCAGTTGGACAACCTGGTTTTGAATCCCAGCTCTGCCACTTGATAGCTGTGCGACTTTGGCTAGGTCACCTCAGTTTCCTCATCTATACCACAGAGATGATAATAGTACCTACCTCATAGGACTGTTTAAAGATGAGCATGTAAAGCGATGGGCAGAGAACTAGCACACAGTAAGCACTAAATAAGTGTTATTCTTATTAACATCCCACCCACCTTGGGACAGTTAGTAATGCCCTCCACCTCATCCTTGGGAACCATTTGCAGATCCATGTCTCTCCCTGCCTCTTCCTACCCCTACCCGATTTGTGGGGCTATATAATATGCAGAGCCCAGTGCTAAATGAAAATGCAGGACCCCTTGTTCAAAGTTACTAAAAATTTTAAGACGGTGTCAGCAGAACATTAAGTGTGGGGTCCTTCTAGGCGCAGGGCCCTGCGTGACCACTGACTCTTGAAACCAGCCCTGCTCCCACCCCCAGCCAGCCCTGGGCCCGGCCCAGAGTTGATGTCAGCCCCCACACAACAGAGTAAAAATGCCAACTGACATCCAGATAGGGTTTATGGTTTCCATGTGGAATTTCACTTTATCGTTTTCCTAGAGATATCATCAACTCCATTTTATAGTTGAGGACACAGAAGTTCAGAGACGGGTATGCCTTCCCAGAGATTACCCAGCTCAGGAACTGCAGAGCTGGGATGTGGGCACAGAGCAGCCTGGTGCAAAACCCTGCCTCTTGCCCTCTGGCTCCCCAGGGAGGTTGGGAGAACCTGGCCCCAAGGGCTGAGCTTTGTCAACAAGGCCACGATACAGCTTAGACCAGAGAGAAGGAGCTGGAGGGACTGGGACTGGCTGTCCTCCCTCCTGGGGCCAGCCACATAAACAACCGGTTCCCTGGGACCGAGGCTGCTGCACAGGGAAAAGGGTAGGAGAGGGCAAAAAGTCACTCCCAAGAAGGCTCTGCCTGAGGGCCATAGACCCTAACATTCTGGGGAAATCTGATCTTGCCTTTTCTGCTTAAAACCCTTTAGGGGTTGCCATTGGCCTGAGGATAAATTCCCAAGTCTTTAGTATCCTGCTAGACTAGGAAATCGGGCCAGGCTGTCCTGGGCCTGCCCACACTGCCCTCCCTCTACCACGCCAAGCCTGTTCTCACCATCAACAGGGCCTCAGACACACAGTTCCCCTTCCTCATCCCTTCTTCGCCTCTACAATTCCTTGGCACCCTTCATGACTCAGCTAAGATGTCGCCACCTCCAGGAACCTTTCCCAGATTACAGACTGCAGGAGAGCAACTTCAGTGATAGGTTCCAGAGCCCAAGTCCCTCCTTTCTACACACATGCCATGTGTAATTACCTGCTCTGGGTCATGTCCCCACTAGAATGTCACCTCCGTGAGGGCAGGGGCCGCCTGGCTCATAGAGTCTGATACATCAGAGGTACCTGGTGGACTGAATGCATCCTTCTGCCACAGAGGCAAGAGGGCCAGGCATTCTTTCTCCTTTTTTCTTCACTCCTCCCGGACCCTCCTTTTCTTGTCCAGGCTTCTTGAGCTCAAGCTATGAAAAGCCCAAACTTGCAAAGGGAAGAGAACCATCATACAGTATGCACCCTCCCCCTGCCAGCTCTAGACTAGGTACTATACATCTGGTTACTACAGTTAATTCCCTAACCACATTCCAGATGGGGTGGAGAAGTATGGGTATAAATTATTCCTATTTTCCAGAGGAGACTGAGACTTGGTAGTTGAGGCCACCTGCCTGAAGTGGTAACAGGTTGGAAGCGGAAGGCATTAGATTTGAATCCTGTCTGTCTGATGCCCAAGTGCCTGGTCTCTTCTCTGCCCCAAACCACACAACCCCTGTGACTCACCATTCCCAGCAAGCTCACCTCCAACCAGAGAGCACTTGTTTCTAACCTCCGCCTTCAGTTCACACACACCCCAGCTGGTAAAGCTCTTCTGTGAGGTCAGTGATATACCAGTGTAGGAGACAGCCCCACTGTCAGTGAGGACAGTGTAGAAGTCACTCCTCCCCTGGGTCAACAAAATGCCAGTGTGGGAGAAACACCCCCATCGTCAGCAAAATGCCAGTACAGGAGACGCACCCTGCACCCCAAGTCAGCAGATTGCTAACAGGAGAGACAGTGCCACAGTCAGCAAAAGGCCAATGTGAGAGACACTTCCCTCCTCTTCTGGGGCCCATGACATTGACTGGGGGGTACACACAGAGACCTCTCCAAGGTGGTGCCCCTGGAGTGGGAGGAGGCACTGAGGCAGCTGTTGCCTGGGGGAGAAGGTTGTGGCTGGGGAGTGGGGCAGGTGAGAGTTCTCACATGGCACTAATGAAATCAACCACCAGCCTGCTCCCCCCTCCCCAGGGACCCTCCAGGCTCCAGCTGATGCAATGCCCAGGCCAGATAATTGTTTTCTTCCCTCCTTAAAGGGCCAGCTGCTACTGCAGCTGCAGACATCACCCAGACCCCTGACAGACCCCACAGAGCTCAGCACCTGGGCAGGAAGTTGGGAAGCCCAGAGAGTAGCAGCTTTAGGCCTGGGTTCTGCGCAGTAAAATCCAATTAAAGTCCAGAGACCAGAAGCGTCGTTGAGCAAGGAGGGAGGGAGAGAGAATAGTTAAGACAGTGACACAGACCACATGCCCTGGGAGAAGGGACCGTGGTCCCTGCTGGGTCCTCAGCACCTGGCTCCTGCACGCCCGCCCAGCAAGTACTTGGCACAGGGGTTGCTCATGAGTTCAGCAGTTAGCTGCTGAGCCCTCCTGAGTGCCAGGCACTGTGCTGCGCAGCTCAAATCCACCATTTCACTCACTCCTTCCTGCTACCCACATAGCAGCTGGGTTTGTTTTACTGAAAGAGTCTCAGAGAGGGGAAGTGATTTCCTCAATATCACACAGCCAGAAAGTGGCAGAGCTTGGGTTTGAAGCCAAGTTTAACCAACTCTGGGCTTCATACCCTGCAAAGGGTCGGATAAGTGTAGAACCCCAGGGCTGGAAGTCCCTAAGCAAGGCAGTCAGGAACAGAAGGCAGGGAAGGGGTCTGTGGGCCCTAAACAAACAACAAAGGGCATGGTGCTTGGTTTAAGCACAGGGCACATGGGTCACCTCCCCAGCACATCCCTGCCAACCCACCCACCCCGCCTCCCAACCAAGAATGCCCCATTAGGCTACCCACATGCCCCCAGGGACAGTTGGCAGCTGCCTGATTACAGACTAATTGGTGGCTGGCAGCAACTATGGTGGGGTGGGGGAGATGGCTCATTAACCCCTTGTTGACCAGGCCCAATCCTCCTCCCATGACTTCAGGCCCCAAACCCAAGGAACCCAGACTTAAGAAGTCATCATGGATAGAGGACAGGACCAAAGGAGCAGCAGCCTTCTTCCCTACATCCTGATAACACCCCTGGGGCTAGGGTTGGACACATATTCACCCAGGTGTCCAAGCCCTGAAGGACCACATTGAAACAGGCCCCAAGTGGCAGTGCCAGCCAATGCCCCCTGTTCTCCAGCCTTGATATGCCATTGCCCACCCCATTCCAGGATCCTTCCTGAGCCTTCAGGACCAGGACACTGAAGAAACCCACTCCTCAGGGCTGAGTTGTCCAGAGGTGATGGGGACATGGAGTCCAGGTACCCAGGCGGCCAGTCAGGGAAGAGCTCCTCCCTATGAATGAGAGCATGCCCAAGTTGCCCATCAAGGGTCCTGCCAAGCCTCCCTGAACCCTGGGCTCTGCACCATGCTGCTGACCAACTGCATTCCCAGCTTCCCAAAGCCCCCTCTTCCCACCCCAGGGCTGGAGTAAGCAGCACTCCTTTTCTTTTATGGGGTGGAGGGGGTCCTCTGGACACCACAACGGTGTCACGTTGAGGAAAAAGTGGCTGCTTCTCAACCAGGGCACAGGCAGAAGGGAGAAAAGCAGGCTGCCTTCCAGCTCCCTTTCCAGGAGGGATTTTAAGCACTTTCCAAAAATGCCATGCCAGGCAATGCTGTTGAAGACCAGGGCCCCAGGAGCTCTGAGCATCAGCAAAGAACTCAAGACTCTGGGCCCCCTTCCCCATTTTCCAGGCTTCCCCAAACACCCCACGTCCCTCTCTCATCCCTTAGTCCCCTCCCCAGAGCCCTCTCACACCCTGTGTTCATCCCCCCACCCCCGCCCCTGCACACTCACATACCTACGTTGCGCTTCATGGCCAGAGCCCCCCTCCCCCCGTGGTCCTCCAGACCTCTGCAGCCCCCTCCCCACGTCCACTCCCAGGCGAGCAAGGCCTGCTGACTTACCCGGAGGTGGGGCCGGGGTCCAGACAGGGAGGGGGCCTCCACAGGCCGAGGCGGCTCCGCAAGGCGGGGCAGGTGCTGCCCCGGGACCCCGCCCCGCGAACCCGGCAGTAGGCGCGGCCCGGCCCCAGGCTGGCGCGGACTCCGAGTGGATAGGCACGCGGGGCGGGGAGGGGCGGCGAGGGAGGCTCACGGGGGCATCGCCCGCCACCACGGGGGCAGCTCCGCTCCGCCCGCCTGCGCTGCCGGCTCCGCAGCAGCCACCGTTTTCAGTCGCCGCCGGGTGCAAAGCCCAAGCTTGGGCCGGCGGGAGGCGAAGGGGAGGCGGGGCCTGCCGGGGGCGGGGCCGCGTGGATGGGCGGGGCCAGTGGGCCGGACCTTGGTGGTGGGCGGGGCCTAGGGGAATCCGGGGAGTTTGGCTTGCCGGGTTGTGGTTGGGGGACCTACATTAATGAGGCTTCCAAGAAGCGGGGTCTGGGGAAGCCTCATTCCTCTCCGTGTCCCTAGGACTCTCTTGCCTCCTGCCCGGCCTCCCCTCTCCACCACCTACCCTATCTGTTCTTTCTCATCCTTCCTTTTCTTTGGGGCACCTCCCAGGACCTCACAGGCACCACGGCGCCCCCTGCCCTGCCCTGCCCTGAAGCAGTTCCAGGAACGTCAGATGGTAAGAGAAGAAACGACTTACAAACGTCAAGTCCATTTTACAGATGGAAAATCTGAAGCTCAGATAGGAGAAAAGACTTGCCCAAGTGCCTGGTATGAAGAGAAAGACTTTATAATGTCCCTTTCAGACAGAAGGAAGTAGAGTGGCCGGCCCTGAAGCCCAAGTTAACCTGCTTCCCCTGCGCTCTCTACTTCTAGAGCAATGGTTTTAAACTTGGGGCGATTTTGCCCCCCAGGGAACATTCGACCATGTCTGGAGACATTTTTGGTTTTCCCAACGAGGAGGTTGCTACTGGCGTCTCATGAGAAGAGACCAGGGATGCTGCTACACGCCTTCAATGCACAGGACAGCCCCTGCGCCAGAGAATTGTCAGGCCCGAAATGTCAGCAGGTTTCTGAGGTTGAGAAACTCTGTTCTAGGGCCTGGCATCTGCCTATATAAACTTCCAAATAGACTCCTGGAGTCCTGGGTTCTTCTGCAGCCCGGGAGGATACTGTATGAAGTCTTTCCTAGGGTCGTGCCTGCCCCAACTTGTATATTTAACCTTGCTTAGGACTGGTCAGTTCCACTCTTGGGCTCCAGTGTTTTGAATTCCACCCACTGACAGAGAGGACAGAATAATTAATATTTGCTGGAGGCATGTAAAACCAGTAGTCTCCCTGCTGAGGGCATGAATTAAAATGTAAATGGGAGCTGGGTGCGGTGGCTCATGCCTGTACCAGTGTTTTGGGAGGCCAAGGTGGGTGGATTGCTTGAGGCTGGGAGTTCGAGATCAACCTGGCCAACATGGTGAAACCCCATCTCTACTAAAAATACAAAAATTAGCCAGGTGTGGTGGCACACAACTATAGTCCCAGCTACTCGGGAGGCTGAGGTACGAGAATCACTTGAACCCAGGAGGCGGAGGTTGCAGTGAGCCGAGGTCGCACCACTGCACTCCAGCCTGAGTGACAGGGGGAACTCTGTCTCAAAAAAAAGTAAATGGGGAGTGGGAAGGTGGGGAGAAAAAGGAAAATTATTGGGATTAAAGGATCCTCCTGGGGATTGCTAGGAGGCATAGTCATCCTACGCCTTCCCTTCTCACCTGGTCTGTGAGAAGCATAAACTGAGGCCCTACAATGTGAAAAGCCTCAAAGTGCGTTCCATAGCTGGTCAGAGGTGGAGCTGGGGCTCCTGATTATATTTACATATTAATTAAAGCTTTGTTATCAGCTATTCTACCTCAGGCCTAGGCCTGGACTAGGGCCTGGGTGGTAGAATGGGTTACTCTGGAGCAGCAAGGGGGACTAGATTAGGGGAGGTGGGATGGAGGCCAGGGCAGGACCTGGAACGAGGGTGGAGGTGAGGGGTGGGAGCACAGAGAGGAATCAGGCTTCCTGTGTGCTCCTCCCTGGCCCCTTTCACAGAGACAGGTAAACCAGGGGTTCCCTTTGCACATCTGATGAAAACTTAGCACTATCTCTCTGGAGATGTGCAATGTATATTTTGCATATAATTTCAGTATCTTCAAAGTTCTATATTGGTTACCAGAAGGACTGGATGGGAGGTGGGTGGAGAGGGGGTTGATTCTTAAGTGTATATAGAAGAATAAACATACAGGAATAAAAAGTCCAGGAAGAAAAGTAATGAAAAGGGATTTGTCTTACCCGATACTAAAACATACTATAAAGTCAATGTATTTAAAGCAGTATGGTATTGAAGCAGGACTAGACCGATCTGTGGAACAAAATGGAGTATGGAAATGGATCCAGCCCCACAAGGGAATTCAATGTATGATAAAGATAGCACTTCAGGCCCGGCACAGTGGCTCATGCCAGTAATCCCAAAACTTTGGGAGGTTGAGGCGGGCAGATCACTTGAGACTAGCCTGGGCAACATGGCAAAACTTTGTCTCTATAAAAAAATACAAAACTTGTGGCCGGGGGCGGTGGCTCACACCTGTAATCCCAGCACTTTGGGAGGCCGAGGCAGGCGGATCACAAGATCAAGAGATTGAGACCATCCTAGCCAACATGGTGAAACCCTGTCTCAACTAAAAATACAAAAATTAGCTGGGTGTGGTGGCATGCACCTGTAGTCCCAACTACTTGGGAGACTGAGGCAGGAGAATCGCTTGAACCCAGGAGGCGGAGGTTGCAGTGAACTGAGATCGCACCACTGCACTCCAGCCTGGTAACAGAGCAAGACTCTGTCTCAAAAAAAAAAAAAAAAAAAAAATTTATCTGGGCATGATTGCACACACCTGTAGTCCCAGCTACCAGGGAGGCTGAAGTGGGAGGATTACCTGAGCCTGGGAGGTCAAGGCTGCAGTGAGCTGTGATCACGCCACTGCACTCCAGCCTGGGCAACAGAGCAAGACCTTGTCTCTAAATGAATGAATGAATAAAAGACAGCACTTCAGACAAATGGGGGGCGGAGTTGGTAGGGGGTTGTGGGCGGGGGGGGGGGGGTTGGTGGCGGAGATCAAATGGGTGGAATAACCAGCAAGTCTTTTGGGGAAATTACAAAAAGCTGTGCCCTTATTCGACACTGAAATAAATTCCAGGTGGACCACATATTTAACACCATAATGTATCAGAAAAAAGACATGAGTGAATATTTTAATAATCTTGGAGATGGAAAAGACTTTCTAAGCATGATGAAACCTAGAAGCCATAAGAGAAAACATGGAAATGTTTGACTACAAGGCTTCTATACAGAAGAAATGGCCATAAGTCAGTTTGAAAGACAAATGACAAAACGGAGGGGATATATCCTGGTTGCCCCCTACCCTGTCCCCTCCTGCCCGCCAGCCCCTCCAAGCCGAGACGGGGACGAGCAGGAGGGATGGCTGGGGCTGTGAGAGTCGAGACCGAGCACCTGGCAGAGGCTTCTCCTGCGGCGCTCTGGCCAGCGCCCACATGTTTAGGGGCCGGGAAGTCCCGGAAACCCCAGGCGGGCCATCTGGGTCCTCAGCAGGTGCCTTGGCACAGCCGAGCCGAAGTCCTCCTGGAGGCTGCTCACCACTTCCCTCGCGTGGCCATCCTAAGAACTGCAATCCTCTGTTCCTGCTCAGCCCCTTCTGAGCATCAAGGCGAGAATTTAAAAATAAATAAATAACAGCTAATTTTTTGAGGGAACTAACCATGTTCCAGGCATTGTGTTAAACACTTAACCTAGCATATTTCATTTTCCCCTCAAAACAGCTCTTCGAGGTAGGTGCACTGTATTCTTATCTCCATTTGATGGACGGAAACTGAGGCTTGAAAAAAGTGACTTGTCTTTCTAAGTGGTGGCACCAGAATTTACTGCCACATTCCTGGCCTCAGCTCTTAATGTAATAAAGCCAAACCTTTGGGAAAATTCAATAAAACAAACTTTTTTGAGGTTTACCTTTATCCAGGCCTTTTGCAGGTGCTGGGGATTCTGAATTGAGGAAAATAGTCATCAGAGGTGACAGCAGAGGAACACTCCTGATACAGCGAATCCTGATGGCTACAGAGGACTCATTCACCCCAGGAAGCGGTGGGGGCAGTGGGGAGGGATCCCAGAGGAGACGTCCTCCAAGCTGCATCTTGTGGAGAGAGAGTAGTGGGGTGGCACTTACTAAGGTGGGCTGGATGACAAGTGGGGCTTGGGGGAGGAGCAGTGATCTATATGCTCTGAGTTTGGGGGTAGACCACAGATGGGGCTGAATAAAGTACACCAGGACCAAGCTAAGGAGTTTGGGTGCAAAGATTTTTTTGAAAGCTTTTCCATGTTTCAGTTGCTTGGGTCTAGGGACAGCCTGCTCTGCCAACCCAACCTGCCTCCTTTGCAGATGCTTTCTCACCCCAGTTCAAGGTGCTCTCAGAAACTTGGGAGTCCCTCCTGATTCCTTCCTCTTCCTCACTTCTATCCACTTAATTATCAGAGCCATCCAGTTTGCTTCCTAAATACTTCCTAGGTTCACCCACTTCTCTCCATCCCTCTTGCCTCTCCTCTAGTCCAGCCTGCCTTCCTGTCACTCCTGAATTCAGCTGCTGTTGGTGACTTGGTCTCACCACCTTCAAACTTTTACACAAGAGAAATCCTTCTAAAACAAATCTGACCACATCCCCTCTCTTACTGAAAATGCTTTTCATTGATTCATTCAACAAATATCAAGTATTTATTATATGTTGAATATTCAAGATATAATTATGAGCAAAACATGGAATTTAAAGCCTATGGGGGTGACAGACATGAACCAAATCACCCCCTAAATAATTGTATAATAAAAACTGGGTTAGATGCTATGGGAGGGACTGGCCTAGACAGGGAGATCTTTGAATGCTCCCCAAGGCATCCCATCTGAAGCTTGAATAGCAGTCAGCCAGATCAACAAGCCAAGGATGGGTAAGAGCTTACACAAAGGCCCTGAAGTTGCTTCTCTGAGTTTCTGTTTCCTTGTCTGTATAATGGGAATATTTAGAGTTATGAGGATTAAATGAGTTAATATGTGTAAAGTTCTTAGAACAGACCTTAGGATATAAATTTTCCATAAGTGTTAGTTATAATTTTATATATATATATATATATATATATATATATATATTTGAGATGGAGTCTCACTCTGTTACCCAGGAGGCAGTGGCGTGATCTCTGCTCACTGCAATCTCCGCCTCCCAGGTTGAAGCAATTCTTCTGCCTCAGCCTCCTGGGTAGCTGGGATTACAGGCATGTGCCACTACGCCTGGCTAATTTTTGTGTTTTTTGTAGAGATGGGGTTTCACCATATTGGCCAGGCTAGTCTTGAATCCTGATCCACCCACCTCAGCCTCCCAAAGTGCTGGGATTACAGGAGTGAGCCACTGCGCCTGGCCAATAACTTAATAATATATATTTTTTTAAGTGGAGAGATATTGGAAATCTTTCAGCAAAGGAGTTAAAGGAGAAAGTAGCATTTTTTAAATGTCACTCCAGCTGCAATGAGGAGCATGGATTAGTACAAAGAAAGAGCAGATTTGGGGAAACTAATGAGACTTTTGCAGGGGTCCATTGAGAGCTATGGGGATTTGGGCTAGGGAGGCAGAGGGAAATTGGAGAGATTTTGTGGTTTAGGTAGTAGACACTGCTGGACTTGCTGTTTTATTGGTAGTGGGAGGCTGTAGGAGGTAGGTGGTCCCTACAACTGGTTGGGTGGTGATGTTCTTCACCAAGACAGGGAAGCCTGAATGATGCCTAGGCCTTGGGGGGGATGCTGATTCTGGATGTGTTTAGATGCACACACTGTGGGACATCCCAGATGAGGGCTGCATAGGCAGCTGATTCACTGTGGAGTTCAGAAGAGAAACTGTGGCTGGAGATACAAAACTAAGATTGTTGGTGATATGGTTTGGATCTGTGTTCCCACCTAAATCTCATGTCAAATTTGTAATCCCCAGTGTTGGAGGTGGGGCCTGGTGGGAGATGATTATACTAGGGGTGGTTTCTCATGAATGGTTTAGCACCATCCCCTTGGTGCTCTTCTCATTATAGTGAGTGAGTTCTCATGAGATCCAGTTGTTTAAAAGTGTGTGGCACCACCCGACCACTCTGTCTTGCTCCTGCTCCTGCCATGTAAGACGCGCTGGCTCCCCCTTTGCCTTCAGCCATGATTGGAAGCTTCCTGAGGCTTCCCCAGAAGGCAAGCAGATGCTAGTATCATGCTTCCTGTACAGCCTGTGGAACTCTGAGCCAATTAAACCCCTTTCCTTTCTTTTCTTTTTTTTTTTTTTTTTTTGATGGAGTCTCACTCTGTCACCTAGGCTTAGGCTGGAGTGCAGTGGCGTGATCTCAGCTCACTGCAACCTCCACCTCCCAGGTTCAAGGGATTCTCCTACCTCAGTCTCCCAAGTAGCTGTGACTACAGGCATGTACCACCATGCCCAGCTAATTATTTTTGGTAGAGACAGGGTTTTACCATGTTGCCCAGGCTGGTCTCGAACTCCTGATCTCAAGTGATCTGCCCACCTCAGCCTCCCAAAGTGCTGAGATTACAGGCATGAGCCACCGTGCCCAGCCTCCCTTTTCTTTATAAATTACCCAGTCTCAGGTATTTCCTTATAGCAATGCAAGAACAGACTAATACAGTTGGCAAATAAGTGATCACCTCAATCACCCCATCTTTGAGATGGTAGAGGTAGGAGATAGCTAGATGATTTTTTTTTTTTTTTTTTTTTTGAGACGGAGTCTCGCTCTTTCACCCAGGCCGGACTGCAGTGGTGCTATCTCGGCTCACTGCAAGCTCCGCCTCCCGGGTTCACACCATTCTCCTGCCTCAGCCTCCTGAGTAGCTGGGACTACAGGTGCCCGCCACCACGCCCAGCTAATTTTTTGTATTTTTAGTAGAGACGGGGTTTCACCGTGTTAGCCAAGATGGTCTCGATCTCCTGACCTCGTGATCCACCTGCCTCGGCCTCCTAAAGTGCTGGGATTACAGGCGTGAGCCACCGTGCCTGGCCGCTAGATGATTTTTAAGGTTTCTTCTGGTTCAAACACGCATAGGATTCCAAGTGTTAAGGTCAGTAGGACTCCAGAGACAGAGAGAAAATCGATGTGGTCTGAAAGACTTGGCAGAAGCTCCTTGGAGGCTATTTGTTATTCATTCATCAGTCTTTTACTGAGCAGCTACTCTGAGCCACATGCTCTATTGGGGGTGGAAGGGTAAATAAGACCTAGCCGCCAAACCAGTGTGGTGGCTGACATTTGTAATTTCAGCTACTCAGGAGGCTGAGGCAGAAGACTGCTTGAGTCCAGGAGTTCAAGGCTACAGTAAACTGATTGTATCACTGCACTCCAGCCTAGGTGACAGGGTAAGACCCCATCTCTGGAGAAAAAAAAAAAAAAAAGGCCGGGCATGGTGGATTACAGGCTGTGATTATGCCTGTAATCCTGGCACTGTGGAAGGCCAAGGCAGGTGGATTGCTTGAGGTCAGGAGTTCAAGACCAATCTGACCAACATGGTGAAAACCTGTCTCTACTAAAAATACAAAAATTAGCGGAGCGTGGTGGCAGGTGCCTGTAATCCCAGCCACTTGGGAGGCTGAAGCAAGAGAATTGCTTGAAACTGGGAGGCGGAGGTTGCAGTGAGCCAAGAATGCACCACTGCACTCCAGCCTGGAGACACAGCAAGGCTCCATCTCAAAAAAAAAAGCATCTCAGGGTCTCAGGCTTGTTAGACCAAGGAATGTTTCCTAAAGGAAGTAACAACTAAGATTAAGACCCAAAAGTCAGGTAAAAGAAAGCTCCCTCCTCTTGAATTTTTCACTTTAGACTTTACCATGCACTCTCAGAGTCCATTCCAGGAACAAAGGCCCAGGCAATAGCAGTTGCACTTCCTAGGTTCTGCTGAATTTTCCTTCTTCTCTGAGATCCTTCTTCTCAATGTTCCCTCTGGCCTCATCTTCACATTCTCCGCCAGGGCTAGGAATAGGGTCAGGGCAAAGGGACCGAGGGTACAGAAGTAGGGAGGCGCTCACTCATGGGTCGTGCAATGTGCTCCTGGCCCTCTTCCCACTCACACCCCCACTCTAGCTTTTCCCTGTACTCTGCTGGCATCTTGCTATTCCCACATGTGGCTTCCTCTGTTTACAGTGAGCCTTGCCAACACTTGACTGAGGAAAGCTTGCTCATGATGAGCTCAGATGTCACCTCCTCCTGGAAGTCCACTGCTTTCTCCAGTCGTCCCTGTCCTTCTACCTAGGCCAAGATGGTCCCCTGTGCTCTAACAGCATGGTGAAGACTGCACAGTGGTTAACAGAACAGGCTTTAGCATCAGAGCCCTGCTGTGCTGTTTATTATCTGTGGATCACTCTCTGAGCCTGTTTCCTTCCACATGTGTGAAATGTGGTGCTGGCATCACAGGGGAGTTGTAAAGATTAAATGAGAAAACATATGTAAAGTGATCAGCAGTGACTGGTATACGTACCAGTCAGATACATGATATAATAAAGATAAAGACAAGAAAATAATGAGAATAAATGAACACTTTAGAAGATGCATAAACAATAACAGTAGCTACCGCTTACAGTAAGTGGTTATTGTTTATACTTCTTCTAAAGTGCTCATGTTTTCTAATTATTTTCCTGCCTTTATCTTCATTATATCATAAGCTTCTGGGGGCAAGAAGGAAGAAGAGGAGGAGGAAGAAGATATTCATAATTGACATTTAACAAGCATTACGACATGTCTGCTGAATAAAGAAATGACAATTTCATGGGAAATGTTCTGGGCAGGAAATCTGGAATCCTGAGCTCCAATCACATGGTCCTAGTGATGGTACAGTTTCTGCCTCACTCACATTCACTTTAAGGAAAAGCTGCCCAGACCACAAACCCTGCTGGGGCCACGCTTTAAACCACCTGGCCCCTCCAGCCTCTAGACTTGAGCAGATAGGGCCAGCACCGGAGTCAAGGGTCACCATTTAATATATTAGCTGCTGTCCTCTGACCAATGGTGTATACTATGGTGTGAATGTGTTCCCCAAGGTTCATGTGCTGGAAACTTAATCCCCAAGGCAACAGTGTTGAGAGGAGGGACCTTCAGGAGGTGATTAGGTCATGGGGACTCTGCCATCATAAATAAATTAATGACGATATTGAGGGAGTGGGTTCCTGATAAAAGGATGCATTCAACCCCATTTCTTCTTCTCTCTCTCTTTCTCTCTCCCCTTCTCTCTGTCCCTCTCATGCTGTCTTGCTCTCTTGCCCTTCACCTGCTGCCATGGAATACACAGCAAGAAGGCCCTTGCCAGGTGTGCACCCCTAAACCTTAGACTTACCAGGCTTTAGAGCTGTAAGAAATATATTTCTATACCTTATAAATTACCTAGTTTCAGATATTCTGATATAGCAGCACAAAATGAACTAAGACAACCTAGCACAACAATCTAAGATGGGCTGATTCGAGGCTTTATTGAACCAAGGAAGAGAAAGACATTGTTGTCCCAGGCATGGCGCCTCACACACAAAACCCCAGAACTTCGAGAGGTCAAGGTGGGAGGATCAGTTAAGCCCAGGAGCTCAAGACCAGCCTGGACAACAGTGAGACTTTGTCTCTACGAAAGGAAAAAAAATTTTTTTTAATTAGCCAAGCATGGTGGTGCATGCCTGTATTCTCAGCTACTTTGGAGGCTGAGGTGGGAGGATCATTTGAGCCTGGGAGGCAGAGGTGGCAGTGAGCCAAGATCGTGCCATGCCACTGCACTACAGCCTGGGTGATAGAGTGAGACCCTGTCTCAGGAAAAAAAAAAAAGGAAAGAAATTGTCAGGTGGCAGAAGGAGTTGAAGTAGAGAAGTCAGAGACAGCCAGGTATGGTGGCTCATGCCTGTAATTCCAACCGGTTGGGAGGCTGAGGCAAGTGGATCACTTGAGTCCAGGAATTCATGACCAGCCTAAGCAACATGGCAAAGCCCTGTCTCTACAAAAAATATAAAAATTAGGCTGGGTACGGTGGCTCATGCCTGTAATCCCAGCACTTTGGGAGGTTGAGACAGGAGGATCACCTAAGGTCAGGAGTTCGAGACCAGCCTGGCAAACATGGTGAAACCCTGTCTCTACTAAAAATACAAAAATTAGCCAGTCGTGGTGGTACACACCTGTAATCTCAGCTACTCAGGAGGCTGAGGCAGGAGAATCACTTGAACCTGGGAGGCGGAGGTTGCGGTGAGCTGAGATCGTGCCATTGCACTCCAGCCTGGGAAACAAGAGTGAAACTCCATCTCAAAAAAAAAAAAAAAAAAAATTAGCCAGGCATAGTGACACATGCCTGTAGTCCCAGCTACTTGGGAGGCTGAGGCAGGAAGATTGTTTGAGCCCAGGATGCAGAGGTTGCAGTGAGTGATGATCGTGGCACTGTACTCCAGCCTGGGTGACAGAGCAAGACCCTGTCAAAAAAAAAAAGTCATAGACAAGTAGGTCTTGGCCAGGAAAGCCATGTGCAGGCCCAGAGAAGTAGGATCAGAGACCAAGAGAAGGCAGAAGCCTGACTGTAGGTAGAGGGGGAAGGAGCAATCCTATCCAGTGATGAGGAGTGGTGAGAAGATAGAGAATAAATAGACCAGTGAGTCCTAGACCTCTATCCTTCATCCTGCCTTTCAGTTCCAGTCTTTACAAGAAACTCCTTTGTACTTGAGCTAAATTGGGTGGGCTTCTGCAGCCCAATGAGCCTGACTCTACTGTGTTATCTTGGCAAGTCCCTGCCCCTCTCTGAGCCTCGGTCTGACTAGATTGTCTCTAAAGTCCTCTCCAGGTCAGTGTTCTTTCTGAACACTGTGTAGAGGGGATGGTTTTTAGGTTGTTGGCACCTGAGTTCAGTATTAGTTACAGAGTGCCCCTGACATCCTGGCTCCCAAAATAGCGTGGTGGCTGGTTAAAGAGCCTGTTAGAGGATCCAACACCCACCTGGCTTTGAACCTGAGACCCGCTGATACAATTCGACTCCTCCTTCGATTGTATCTTTTGTTGGATCACAAAGGAACTGAGGAACCAGGGCTGGTGTTTCTCCAGTGTCTTTTGGCTCCTGAATGCCCTACGTACCCCCTTAATACTTTTCTGGACCCACTTCAGCATTTCAGAGGATTTCAGTGCCAAATCTGCTCTAAAAAAAAGTGCCACTCCAGGAAGAATTTGAACAAAAAAAGTTTCCTTCTTTGGTATTAAGATTTCCTGCCTTCCAGCTGTTTGGCTCTGAGCCTGTGCCCTGCCTTCATCCTCCTAAGCTAACAACTATGTTGATAATAATACTCCCTTGCTTTTGTATGGTGTTTTGCACTTTTCAGAGCATTTTAACACTTATCATCTTACTTGATGAAAAAAACTCAGGCAGGATGGACAAGAAGGAGAGGCAGAGGATAATACCTGGATAATATCTATCACTTCTCCCATTCCCTCTACCCCCTTAGGACAATTTATTTTCAAATAATGTAAAATAAATTATTCCTATGCCTTTTTTAAAAACAGGTGGAATTTTTTTTTTTTTTTGAGATAGAGTCTCTCTCTGTCACCCAGGCTGGAGTGCAGTGGTGCAATCTCAGCTCACTGCAACCTCTGCCTCCCAGGTTCAAGTGATTTTCCTGCCTCAACAACCTGAATAGCTGGGATCACAGGTGTGCACCACCATGCCCAGCTAATTTTTTAAAAATTATTTTTAGTAGAAATGGGGTTTCACCATGTTGGCCAGGCTGGTCTCGAACTCCTGACCTCAGGTGATCTGCCCGCCTCAGCCTCCCAGAGTGCTGGGATTACAGGTGTGAGCCACCGTGCCGGCCTAATATAAGGTGGAAATATTGAGATTGAACTTGATTAAGTGACTTGCCCAAGGTCACAAAGCAGGTTGATGGCTCAGTAGGATCTATAAGGCTTACAATCAAGGATCACACTTGGCCGGGTGCGGTGGCTCATGCCTGTAATCCCAGCACTTTGGGAGGCCAAGGCAGGCGGATCACGAGGTCAGGAGATCGAGACCATCCTGGCTAACACGGTGAAACCCCGTCTTCACTAAAAATACAAAAAATTAGCCAGGCATGGTGGCGGGCGCCCGTAGTCCCAGCTACTTGGGAGGCTGAGGCAGGAGAATGGCGTGAACCCAGGAGGCGGAGCTTGCAGTGAGCTGAGATCACACCACTGCACTCCAGCCTGGGTGACAGAGCGAGATTACATCTCAAAAAATAATAAATAAATAAATAATTAATTAAAAAAAAAGGATCACACTTAATGTTTATAGTCATTTTCTCAAGACCTGCCCAACCCTATTTTGCACACTGCTAGCCAAGGCAAGGGACCTTGAAGAAAAGTCGTGTTCTTGACATGTATGCCCCTTTGGTGCCTGCAGGGATCATTCATAATCTTAACCTGTACCCTCTACAGAGACTTAGCTGTCCCACAGTGGCTTGCGAAGCACCAGGAGGTCACAGAAGTAAGCTAGGTTGGATGTAATGTTTTCAATACTGTTCCTTGGGTAATGGCAAGAATAAATTCTGTTGGAAAACACTGTTTTCTTGTTTTTCTTATGGAACACTTGGCAGAAGACAGAAAAGGTTGAGAACCATCAGTCTATCCCTCCCTCAGTATCTCTAAAAAAAAGGAAGCAGGGCCAGGTGCGGTGGCTTATGCCTGTAATCCCAGCACTTTGGGAGGCCAAGGCGGGTGGATCACTTGAGGTCAGGAGTTCAAGACTGTCCTGGCCCACATGGTGAAACCCCGTCTCTACTAAAAATACAAAAATTAGCTTGGTGTAGTGGCGCACGCCTGTAATCCCAGCTACCTGGGAGGCTGAGGCAGGAAAATCGCTTGAACCTGGTAGGTGGAGGTTGCGGTGAGCTGAGATTGCACCACTGTGCTCCATCCTGGGTGACAGAGTGAGACTCCATCTCAAACAAACAAACAAAAAAAGGAAGGTAATAGTCTCTTTCTCTCCTCCCTCCCTAAACTCTACTCTGCAGCAAGGACATCCTTCCCCGGCCCCTCTGTTTTGGGCCTCCTTGCCAACTGTGCTCATTGCTGCATTCCCACCTGGTCATTCCAGAGCCCATCCCTCTCAGCCACAACATGGAGTCAAGTTATCTTGGGAGGCAAGCAGTAAGCTCTCCATAACACAGTTCTAATAGCTGGGGACAGGTGAGGAAGCAGAAGGGAGTAGCAGCTTTCCCTGTGCTTGCTCCAGAGTCGGCGCTCACCCCTTGCCCAGTGCCTCAGCTGAAAGCTTAGCGGGCAGCTCTTATGGTACCACCCAGCACAACAACTGTAGATGCACAGCTGGGAAGTTAGTAATTGCAGTTAGCTCATCTGATGGCCAGAGGAACGCTGTGTCAGTCTGGGTGAAGACAAGAAAACAAGTGATTGGAATTTCAAACAGAGGGAATTGGTGTCAGAGAACTGGTTAGAAATCTGTTAGAAAGCCTGAAGGAGCAAAGCTGGTAAAGTTGGGTAGACTAGAGATTAATAGATGCAAGAAGTTCTAACACTCCAAGACCTGGAGAATCAAAAGGGAAAGTGTCGCTAGACCCCAAAGTGCACTTGTTGCTAACACTACTGAAGCACTGCTTTTGCAATTATGCTAACAGAACTGCCAGAGGTCACTGGGGCCTGCAGCTACCCAACTGCTGCCCCTCCATACCACCAACACTGCTGGAGCCTGGCAAGGAACCCACTACCACCACTGCTGGAAAGGCTGAAGGTCTCCAAGCCCATAACTACCAGCTGCTGCCAGAGCCTCCAGCAGAAGCAGAGAGAACAATGGCTTCACCTCTCCTCCCACCATCCCCTCCCCAGGCACACAATTTCCCACCTGTACTTCCCATTGACCAAATATGACAGGAAGCCAGCTGGCAAGAAGTGTCTGGGGAATGTAGTTTTCAGGGTCCAGAGTGGGAAAGATAGAGTGGAGCTCAAAGCAAATAGGCAAATGACTAGTGCAAATACTATTGAACCTTTCAGCTAATGTGGGTACCTTAAAGGCCATATGTATTGGACATTAGTTGAAACATTCAATAGTATTTGCACTCGTCATCTGCTTTATTTCTCCATTTTTCCCTTTCTATTTAACAATAGGCCCTGATTTCCTTTCCAGGATTCATGTATTTTCAGGAAGGTAACTTCCTTGGGTAGAGCAGGGCTGAGCCAAATCAGGGGACTCAATCCACTGGCCAGAATGATGGGTCAGAGTGGTCATGTGAACTCAGCCAGTCCAATCAGAATGAATCTCAGGATTTTTGCTGGGAAGGCGGGCACATGGACTCCCTCTTACTTACTAATCACAATTAAGAAAACATGCAGGCCCTGGGAGCTGTTGACAATCCTATTGGGACAATAAGGGGAATGAAAACCAAGAAGAAAGAGTAGCCTGGATGACTAGAATTTTTTTTTTTTTTTTGGCACATATGTAACTTACATGCTGTAGCCACTGCTTAGAGCTCCAGCACAGTTGATTGGGCTTATACTCCTCTGGGTATCTATTATCTATCAGAAAGCAAAACTGGAGCCAGGAGCAGTGGCTCAGGCCTGTAATCCCTGCACTTTGGAAGGCTGAGGGTGGAGGATCACTTGAGCCCAGGAGTTTTGAGACTCGCCTGGGCAACATAGTGAGACCCTGTCTCATAAAACAAACAAAAACAAAACAAAACAAAAAACCAACAACAAAAACAAAAAACAAGAACAACAACAAGAAAGCAAAACCATGCGAGACCAATTTACAAGCATCATGGAAAACTCTGGAAGAGAAAGAAAGTTCTTTCCCATTGTCACATCCTAGATAGTGGCTTTTAAATATTTTTTACTGTACTCTCAAGAGTAAATAGTTTTTTTTTTTTTTTTTTTAAGACAGAGTCTCATTCTGTCGCCCAGGCTGGAGTGTGGTAGTGCAATCTTGGCTCACTGCAACCTCCGCCTTCTGGGTTCAAGTGATTCTTGTACCTCAGCCTCCCAAGTAGCTAGAATTACAGGTGTCTGCCACCATACCCGGCTAATTTTTGTATTTTGAGTAGACATGGAGTTTCTCCATGTTGGCCAGGATGGTCTTGAACTCCTGGCCTCAAGTGATCTGCCCGCCTCGGCCTCCTAAAGTGTTGGGATTACAGGCATGAGCCACCATGCCCAGCAGATAAACAGATTTTACACTGTAGCCAGTACACATGTCTATGTGTATATGATTGAAACAAAAAAAGTTTCATAGTAATTTTCACAGTACCCTTGCTATGTGCAATTAATTCAAATTTTCAATTCCATTCCATTTTAAAAATAAAAGCTAGTTACAAACTTCTAAATAATTTCATGATCTATTAATTATTTATGACCTGCAATCATATTTGAAACACATTGTCCATATTATACCATGCCATTATCAATTGCTGTAAAACATAACTCTTGATTGTAAGCATCCTAACCTTTACTAACTTTTCTGCTTCTTTACCCATATTCTGTCTTCCTTTACTCTGAGGGAAAGCCACAGTGTGCCAGCTCCTATCAGAGGCCAACCTCTCCCCTGACCTGTGCTCAGGGTCCCAAGAACTTAACCTCTGCAGATACTCTCTTGTTTGCATTGTCTATTTCCTTCTGTCTACTGGAATATTTCATTTACTCACTTGCTCTAGAGTCTGTATCTTAAAACCAAAAACAAACCAACAAATAAAAACTTCCTCCTTTGGCCCTATTTCAACTCCTGCTTCCTTGAGTCAAACCAGAGTAGATATGGCTGAATGGGACAGGAAGCTGAACAGGGGTGTAGAGGTGAGCTCAGTAGAAGGGATGAGAAGCTTGGCAAGAAGGCAAGTAGTGAGTGTGGAAGGAAGAAGAGAAGGCATCGAAACTGATGTGATTGAATAGAAATCAGAAGTGGATTTTGACCCCAGAACTGCTTTCCTTAAGCCCCTCTCTTGAGCCTCCTTCTGCTCCCTGGCTCCCAAACCTCTGTTGGAGCCTGGACTCTGGAGTTGCGTTAAGCTTAGGTTCAATACCAGTCCTACCATTTCTGAGCTGGGCGACTTTGGAGAAATTACACGTCTTCTTTAAATTTTCTCATCTGAAAAAAAAATTATCACCTGTAAAATTAATCTAATAAAACCTGTCTCATTGAGTTGGTTTAAGGATTAAATGAGATCAACACATTTTAGCTCTTATTATTATCAAGGCCTTCCCCAGGCCATATACAAAACCTTACTCCCTATTTAATAATAATTATCATAGAGATCACTTGTTGAAGAATTCCTCTGTGCCAGGCAAGGACCTGACAAACAGAGTTTCCAGGTCAAAAAAGATTCCCTGGTAGCTTCTCAATACAGGGTTTTCTCCCTCTAATAACTTTTTATTTTATTATTTATTTGAGACTGAGTTTTGCTCTTGTCACTCCGACTGGAGTGCAGTGGTGCCATCTTGGCTCACTGCACCCTCCACCTTCCAGGTTCAAGTGATTTTCCTGCCTCCGCCTCCCAAGTAGCTGGAATTACAGGTGCCCACCACCCCACCCAGCTAATTTTTGTATTTTTAGTTGAGATGGAGTTTCACCATGTTGGCCATGCTGGCCTTGAACTCCTGACCTCAGGTGATCTGCCTGCCTTGGCCTCCTGAAGTACTGGGATTACAGGCATGAGCCACCATGCCTGGCCTCCCTCTAATAACTTAATGAACATTATATTATGGAATGTCTACCATGCACTAGAGAGTGGACTGGCTTACTTTCATTCATTCATTCATTCATTCAATGTTGTTGTTTAGGTACCTATTGTTAATTAAGTACCTATTATGGTACCAGGCACTTACCAGGGGCTGATAGTACCATCATACACTTAGCCCTGAACCTTAAAGGACTTACAGTCTAGCCACAGTGTAAGTGCTATGTAAAGAGGGTATGTATTTGAGGTGTTCTTTCCTTGTGGCTTCCTTGGACTAGGCAACCCCACCTTTGGCTTCACACCCCGTGACTGACCATGGTTCTGATTTTTTTTTTGGCTTGGAACCCCATCTTCAGGACACACTTTTGAGTTCTCGCTCCCCATGTGACCAAGAGGATTAAGAGACGAGGTAACTTTTGCATTCCCATTCTCTCCCTGCCTGGAGTCCCCCTCCAGAGGAAAGGAATTTAGCAGATGTACAAAAGGTAGATGGATAGCTGGTTTGGATTTTAAACAATCACACTTTTAATACTTCTCTGTCTTAATTCACTCATAGTCCCTTAATTGCCAAATCCAGCTGATTCTTTGACCCTTTGCAGATCTTTTTTTTTTTTTTTTTGAGATGGAATCTTGCTCTGTCAACCAGGCTGGAGTGCAGTGGTGTGATCTCGGCTCACTGCAACCTCTGCCTCCCGGGTTCAAGCGATTCTCCTGCCTCAGCCTCCCGAGTAGCTGGGCCTACAAGCACCTACCATCACACCCAGCTAATTTTTGTATTTTTAGTAGAGATAGGGTTTCACCATGTTGGCCAGGCTGGTCTTGAACTCCTGACCTCATGATCTGCCTGCCTTGGCCTCCCAAAGGCATGAGTCACTGTGCCTGGCTGAACTTTTGCAGATCTTTTGTCTCTTTCTCTCTTTGTGGTATTACATACAACTTTCTTTGCATCTTTCACCTCTCTAGCTCAGAGAGGTTAAGTAAATGGAATGGGGACTCGAACTCAGGCTAACTTCAAAGCACATGCTGCAGACAATATTCCATGCTGCTTCCCAAAGTAGACCAATAGTCTAGACCTATGCTGTCTAATATGCAGTCATTCGCTACATGCTATGGTTTGAATGTCCCTCCAAAACTCAAGTTGAAATTTAATTGCTATTTTAACAACGTTGAGAAGTGGAACACTTAAGAGGTGATGAGGTCACGAGGGCTCTGCCCTCATAAATGGATTAATGCATGGGAATGGGTTAGTTATGGAGGGAGTGGACTCCAGATAAAAGGATACGTTTGGCCCCCCTCCCTCTCTCACATGCACACTTCCTCACCATGTGATATCTTCTGCCACGTTATGGTGTGGCAAGAAGGCCCTCACCAGATGTCGAGCAAATGCTGGTGCCATGCTCTTGGGCTTTCCAGCCTCCAGAACCACAACCCAAATACATTTCCTTTGTTTATAAATTACCCAGTCTTTGGTATTTTGTTATAGCAGCAGAAAACTAAGATACTACCTGTAGCTATTTCAATGTAAACAAAATGAAAAATTCAATTTCTTGGTTGCACTAACCATCTTTCAAATGCTCAACAGCTACACGTGGCTAGTGGCTACTGTATTGAACAGCACAGATATAAAGCATTTCTACCACTGCAGAAAGCTCTGTTGGATAGTGTTGGTTAGATAAAGGTTCTGTCCTCTGACCTCTTTACCCTCTTTTCCTTTATTTATTCTCAGGAAGTGGACAGACATTGTTTAGTCTGCCTAATCCTTTACTCCTACTTTTCTGAGAAGTGTTACTCTATCCTCTACCCTCCAGCATACCTTCATTCATAGAGTTACAGTAGATACAACCATGTTTATGCATGACCCTGTCCCCCTTTCCATAATGATACTTGATTCAGTGGTGGACATTTGGCCAAAGCTAGCTCTAACAAGAGCTCTTCCTCCCAGAAATTTGAAATTGAGCCTAAGAATCTAGTCACCTGGATGATTTTTTGAATGGAGGCAACTTGGGACTAATTGGTTACCATGTTTTATATGACATGGATTGGGAAAACTGGTCTTCAGAATGATAAAGCAATGACAAAATGGTTACACATATTGGGGAAAGTTGGATCTAGGTGTTCAAAGGATGTCAGGACTCTGTCTCCCTCTCTGTCTGAATTCTGCCTTCCTCTGTGATGTCTTCATTCTTAGAAAGGCTCTTTCCATGAAGCAAGAATAATGGCTGCCCTCAGTTCCTCATAGCTCAAGATCTCCAGAAGAAAAATCCTGTCTTTCTTATATATTTCAAATCTTTAGAAGGGCTTTTCTTAGCTTAGTTTGGGTGATGTGCCCATCTCTTCAAAAACTGTGATCTGTTTTAGCAAGGTTTCCTAGAAAACAAAGCCGGAAGAAGGGATTAAGTGCTAAAGCTTTATATGAGGGGCACAGCCATGGAGTAGTGAGAATTAAGGATAAGAGAAAGTGGGAAAACATGAGAAGCAAGGGAAGGAAATGTTTGCTGGCTACTTCACAATGAGCTGTAGCTAGTCTCTTGACAGGCGCACCCACTTGGCCATGGAGAATGTCTCTCTAGACAGGTTGTATGGAGAAATTTTATCTTGAAACAGCTCATTAGAGGAAGGAAGGGAAGAGTGGATTGTTATAGCCAGCTCCTTCCTGTCTCCCATTGATCAGTTTGCTCTGTGGGTAGCTAAATCCTCTGTAGTAGGTTGCTTCACTGGCTCCTTCAGCAGCTGCTCAGGAAGCCAAATCCCACGCTCTGTGAGGTGGTGTTTCATCAGGGTCTGGAAGTTGCAGGAGAAGCCATAGACTCCATGTTTGTAACTTGATGGCCTCAAGCAACAGAACTGTGAGACCTCGCTTAGATTTGGTCAGCTATGTCTGTTGTTGAGGTGGACCAAGTGGCTAATTGTCTGGGAGCCAAATTACCCTGAGAGGCTATGAGGAGGTACTGGGCCAAGATGTGGGAGATCGCTGATTGGTCAGACTGGGTCATGTTCCTACTCCTGTGGCTAATGGGGTACAGAAGATGTGCTATGGTAGGATGCATCCTGTCCTCTTTCCCTTCATGTTAGTTCAGAGTCTCAGGAAATCAAACGCCAAGACAGAATAAAATGCAATAAATTTATTATGAAAAACATAATTTATTAATATATATATTATATATATTAATATATATAATTATTAATATATAATATAATTATATTATATATATATTATATAATATAATATATATTAATATATAATAAATAAAAAAATTTATTATGAGAGGAAATGGAAGGGGAAGACTGAGAGAGCCATCGCACAGTGACGCAGGCCTGACCCTGAGTGAAGGACAGAGGGAAGGTGTTCAAGGTGGAAGTGTCTCAGACTGCAATGAAGTTCTAAGGAAAGTTTGGCAAGGCCATTGAGGAGTCCTTGAGTCAAAGTCACCCATCGGAAGAGTATCACTTATCCCAGGAACAGTCCTGTCCTAAAATCCCCGTTGGGCTCAGTTATTGGCTATGAGCAGCGTATGGGAAGTAAGACCTCGGAGTAAAGGGCAATGGATTTCAAAGCTCAGGATGGATTTCAGAACTCAGCAGCTGGACTGCTGGTAAATTACAATTTCCTCAGTCAGAGATCTGAGAAGCACATTCTCATGGCCACACACCCTCCCAGCCTAGCCAATACATAGATGAAGAAGGATAAATTCTACAACCTTTAAAGAAAAAAAAAAAAAGTAGGCTGGACGCAGTGGCTTACGCCTATAATCTCAGCACTACGGGAGGCTGAGGCAGGGGGGCAGATCACCTGAGGTCAGGAGTTCAAGACCAGCTTGGCCAACATGGTGAAACCCCGTCTTTACTAAAAATACAAAAAATTAGCTGGGTGTGGTGGTGGGCACCTGTAATCCCAGCTACTTGGGAGGCTAAGGCAGGAGAATAGCTCGAACCTGGGAGGCAGAGGTTGCAGTGAGCTGAGATCACACCACTACACTCCAGCCTGGGTGACAAGAGCGAAACTCTGTCTCAAAAGAAAAAAAGTAGAGTGCCATTACCAGTTGAAAGGGCAAGGGGTATTCAGCAGGCAAGACAACAAATGTCCACCCCACAGCTTACAATGTGCCACTTGTAATTCGAACTCTATATATCCAAACTTGAACTCATGACTTCTCCATACCCTGACTCTTCATCTGAAGACTACCATCCTCCCAGGTGTGACACATGGGAGTCATATTAAACACCTTAATTTGGCCGGGCACAGTGGCTCACGCCTGTAATCCCAGCACTTTGGGAGGCTGAGGTGGGTGGATCATGAGGTCAGGAGATCGAGACCTTCCTGGCTAACACGGTGAAACCCACCGTTTCTACTAAAAAAATACAAAAAAATTAGCCGAGCATGGTCGCTGGTGCCTGTAGTCCCACATACTCGGGAGGCTGCGGCAGGAGAATGGCGTGAACCCGGGAGGCGGAGTTTGCAGTGAGCTGAGATTGCGCCACTGCACTCCAGCCTGGGTGACAGAATGAGACTCCGTCTCAAAAACAAAAACAAAAAAAACCCTTAATTTTCTTGTTCCCTAACCCCTCAATCGCCAGTCAATGGTCAAGTCCTTACAATCTTTCCTTGGCAATATCACCTCAGCATTTGTATCCTCTTTCCTCCATTCTCATTGCTGATGATGTGTTCAGGCCCTCGCCCTCATTATATCTTGCCTAAACCATTGTGGAAGTCTCCACATGGTCATTCTGCCACTCTACTCCATCTTACTCTCTTTTCCAGATTGCTTTTAATCATAGTTTTGATCATGTCACTATCTTCTGTAAAACCTTCTACCATTGGGAATGTAAAATGGTATGATGCTATGGAAAACAGTATGGTGGCTCCTCAAAAAAAAAAAAAAATTAAACATAAGAATTGCCATATAATCCAGCAATTTCACTTCTGGGTATATACCCCCAATAATTGAAAGCAGGGACTCCAACAGATATTTGTATACTAATGTCCACAGAAGCATCATTCACAGTGGCCAAAAGGTGAAAGTAGAATGGTGGTTACCAGAGGCTGGGGAAAAGAGAATAGGGCGTAAGCGTTTAACGTATACAGAATTTCAGTATGGGATAATGACAAATTCTGCTGATGGATGCACAACGTGAACAGGCTTAATGTCACTGAAATGTATACTTAAAGATGGTTAAATTTAGGCCAGGGGCGGTGGCTCACGTCTGTAATCCCAGCACTTTGGGAGGCCAAGGCAGGTGGATCACCTGAGGTCAGGAGTTCCAGACCAGCCTGATCAACATAATGAAACCCCGTCTCTACTAAAAACACAAAAATTAGCCGGGCCTGGTGGCACGCGCCTGTAATCCCAGCTACTCGGTAGGCTGAGAAAGGAGAATCGCTTGAACCCGAGAGGCGGAGGTCGCAGTGAACCGAGATTGCACCATTGCACTGCAGCCCCGGCAACAAGAGCAAAACTCCATCTCCTAAAAAAAAAAAAAAAAAAAAATGGTTAAACCTGTTTAAAAGCAAAACAAAAAACTTCTACCACTCACTTCCCGTATCAGAAAATAAAGCCCAAGAGCCTTAATTTAACCATAATAATGTATCTTTCCATGATTCTTCTTCCATTCCCTCTTACTCTGTGTTTCCTCAACTGATCCCTCGCTTCTTCTATTTGCTTTAGTGGCTGCCTACATGTCTTCCCTAATTTTACTCATTTTTCAAGACCCAGTTCAAATGTCACATCCTTGCAAATCTTTCCTGAACTCCTCCCACTATTTCATACTAAGTGGAAGTAAGCTTTCCCTTTTTGAACTCCAGCAGCACATGAACTATATCTTTTAGTGCCGCTTTTCTATTTTTTGAGACAGAGTCTCGCTCTGTCACCTAGGCTAGAGTGCAATGGTGCGATCTCGGCTCATTGCAACCTCTGCCTCCCAGGTTCAAGTGATTCTCCTGCCTCAGCCTCCTGAGTAGCTGGGATTACAGGCGTGTGCCACCATGCCCGGCTAATTTTTGTATTTTCAGTAGAGACGGGGTTTTACCATGTTGATCAGGCTGGTCTCGAACTCCTGACCTCGTGATCTGCCCGCCTCAGCCTCCCAAAGTGCTGGAATTACAGGTGTGAGCCACCACGCCTGGCCAGCGCTGCTTTTCTTTTAGGCCAAAGGTACACAATGAGATAGAGAGGTGTGGCTTAAGGAAGTCCAGCTGGCTGTCTAGACAGGTTCTGTTATACAGTGCTATAACCTTAAGGAATTTACCATGATACAAGAACTGATGTTTAACCTTGCAAACTCAGAAACCTAATTTTAATAGTAAGCAGAAAGTTGAACCATTTCCTGGGGGTAGGGGGTGTCTTGTATTTGCCAAGCTCACAGAAACTTTTATATAAAGAGGAATCTAACTGATTAGTTACAATGAAAAATACAATGATCAAAAGAACTAGAATACTCTAGGTGGCAGATCACTTAATTCTGTCCCTATCGCCAAGACACTTGCTGGGTGAACATAGAGGAAAGCATGTTGATCTTAAGAAGTATTTCTTAGCTGAGGCAGTCTGAGATATTCCCATCCACTACAGAGATGACACGGGCAAGGAAATCCTAATGCTCAGTGTGGCTTAATTGAGATGAGGCTTAGAGGGGCAATGGTAGTGCTAGCCTTTGTGACTGCCTTGTTTTGGGCTGCCATGGCTGAGCAAGCCCTTTTGTTCACAGAATCTCTCTCCAAACAGGGTACAGAATGGCTGACGAGATTGATTAGGTTCCATTTATTAAATTACAATATCTACCTTCTTCAGGTTCCTCCCATATGCCCTTTATCAGAGTTTGTTTTGTTTTGTTTGGTCATGTTTGTAAAAAAGGTCTTGGCTTACCCCCATGGATAGCTAATTTCATGGTTGTATTAGTCTGCTTAGCTAGCATGTTATGCTGCAGTAACAACGAAAACAATCTCAGTGGCTTACAACAAAGGTTTATTTATTGTTCACACAACATTACAGGTTATGTGTGTCAGCTGTCGCTCTGCACATCTTCATTCTGGGACCAAAGCTGAAGAGGGAGCTCTATTTAGGACATGCTGCTCTTGTGTCAGAGGAAAGATAATATGGCAAAATTGTAAGATAGCTCATAAATTTCTGCTCAGAAGTGGTTCATGCCATTTCTTTCTTTCTTTTTTTGAGACAGAGTCTCACTCTGTCGCCCAGGCTGGAGTGCAGTGGCGTGATATTTGCTCACTGCAACCTCCAACTCCCTGGTTAAAGCAATTCTCCTGCCTCAGCCTCCCGAGTAGCTGGGATTGCAGGTGCCTGCCACCACACCTGGCTAATTTTTTTATTTTTAGTAGAGACAGGGCTTCACCATCTTGGCCAGGCTGGTCTTGAACTCCTGACCTCGTCATCCACCCACCTCGGCCTCCCAAAGTGCTGGGATTACAGGTGTGAGCCACCGTGCCCGGCCGGTTCATGCCATTTCTACTCATATTTCATTGGTCAAAACAAGGCCAAGCTTGACGACATTAGGGTGAGAAGTCTTTCACCCTAATCTCCTAGGGACAGGCCAGATAGCAACGGCTTTAGAAAGGGAAGGGCGGAGGCTATTGATAATAAAGACTATAGCAAGGACTAATATTAGGCTTATATGTATCAATTGACTGTTATCAGTTATAACATTGACTATTAAAATACTGAAATACTCTAGTACTACCTGGTAAATAGCTGCTGTCCCAAACCTCCTGACCACTCCCTTCCCCTGGGATCCCTTGGGACCTCCTATTCACAAACCAGCAACTGAAGGGTTAACACCTAGCACAGACGTATACCTCCAGGATCCTAGCTGCATTTCTAATTCTGCTTCATCTATGCTTGAGCACTACTTGTTGTTAAATATACTTAATATCACTCTTAGCTAATTTCCTCTATGTAGATTTTTATTTATTTCTGAGGGCAACCCAACTTCCAGGCTCTTGGAAGGAAATAGACTGCAGCCCCTAAGTGTGATCAATACTTAATTATAACAATAATCACTAATAATAACTTGTGCTGCTTCATTGTAACTAAATGTACACTTTTACATTTTTTGGCAAGCATAGTATATGCAATAAGTACTCAATAAACATCTGTAGAGAGACTTATTTAGCTTTTTTCCATTAGCTACATCTGTCTCTACAATCTCAACATACTATTCTCTTGAATCTGTTTTTAATTTTATGCCATTTCTCATGTCTGAAAATGTCATTATAAGTAACTTTTTTTTTTTCTGAGACAGGGCCTCGCACTGTCGCCCATGCTAGAGTGCAGCGAGACACTCGTAGCTCTTACCAGTAACTTCTTTATAACACTTTTGCAATTTACGAAGCACTCTCACATTATTTCATTCACTCTCCCCAACATTACCAAAAGTTAGGAATTAGATCTTTTTACAGATGAAGGAATTGAGACTCCCTGAAGTCAAGTGTCTTATAGTTAGGTTTTGTTCATTCATTCATCAAATAGAGTGCCTGATGTGAGATTTATTGAAACTGGATTTGAAAACAATTTTCCTGAATTCAAGTCGAGGGTTTACTCCACTATTCTCAATTACTTTATCACCAGGGTTATAAACCCAAAGGAAGTGAGTAACAACAGTGTGATTTTATTGAGGACCCATGCAACACTAGTCTCAGAAAGGCTCCAGTGTCATTTGTAAAATTCAAGGTTACCATCAGCAGAGGCAGTCATTCCTCTCTGCGCTTGTTACCTAATGCACTAACTCTCACTGTAGGTAATTCCATTCAAGACACATTTGATGACTATACCTACAGGTTTTGAAGTTATTCGGATGGGGTTTTGACACTTACTAGCTGTGGGGACTTAGATCAAGTTACTTAACCTTTTTGAGCTTCAGTTTTATCATTTGTAAAATGGATACAATCCTGATGCCTTTGGACCAAGTGGTCACGGAAATGAAAGAGATAAGTATGAAAAAATCCATGCTCATAGTAGCTGTGGTTTCCAACTGCGTGATAAAACTTTAAAATCTGCATTCAAATAAGAACAACTATGTCGACGTAAGGTTACAAGCTAACTATTCTTGGTAAGTACTGTTCTTTATTCTAGAGGACATCACTTTACAGTTTGGTGCTAAATGCTCTTTTATGAATTTAAGGTGCCAGTAGCTGTCTACTTGAACGGCATGCTTAATCTGGAACGCCATGTCGACCTTCATCCCCCAGTTCTTTCTCCCCAAATTAAAAACACAAATACACACACACGCCCCTACTTAGTTCCTAAAACTCAAGGGCACGCGCACACACCTACTTATTTCCTAAAATTCAAGCTCGCACCAAGGAGATCCACAAGGATAGGCAGGGTGGTGGAGGTCACTGGGCAGCGCCTCCGGATCCCCCGAAAGGGGGCGGGGTCAAAACTCAGATCTCGAGCTCCCGAAAGGGGGCGGGGTTAAAACTCTCAGATCTCATTCCGCCTCCCTCTGTCGTCGCCCCTTCCCAATTCTCGCGAGACCTCAAGGAGCACAGCTTCTGCGCACCGCACGATACTGGGAGTCCAGGCGCCAAGGGAGGGGGAAGGGAAAAGGGGAAACGGTGCAAACGGCGTGGCCGCCATCTTGCTTGTGCCCCCGCTTCGCGCGCGCTCCGTTCTCCGTGACGCACACTTCCCCCTCCCCTCCGCCGCGCCTGGGCCTCTGCATTGCCCGACTCCGTAGGAGCGCGGGGGCGGCTCCTGCTCTTCCTGGACTCCTGAGCAGAGGTGTGTGAGTGTGCGGGAGTTTCTGTGCGAGGGTGATAGGGAAGCGGCGGCGGGGGGAGGGGCAGCGCTTCCCGCCTTCGCCAGAGACCTCACTTCCTCGCGCGGCCGCTGCTGTAGCTCGGTCCGTCCTGCCCGCCGCCATGTTGTGCTCTTGCCTGGCCCGCTGCTGTCGCCGCCGCCGCGCTCGTGGGGTCCGTGTGCCTCGTCGGCCCGGCCCGCGGGCTTTCTCCCATTGGCGGAAGGCGACGGCGGGGGGGCTCGCTCGTGATTGGTCGGTGGCGGGGAGGCCGCGGACCTGGCACCTTATTGGACGCGCCAGCTCCGGTCTAGGGGGTGATGAAGGAATCTGAGGCTGCGGGGATGCGCGCGTCTTGGGCTAGGGCGGCTGGGGCAATGACCCCCTGCGGCGCAGGCGTGGGGTTGCGGCGAGAGGGCGAGCCTAGAGGCTTTAAGGGGGAAGAGAGGGTGATGGCCTGGCAGGTACTTTGGGGGTAGCTTAGGCCATGGCCTGGGAATGGGGGACACTCACTTTCAGAGGTGCTTTTCCTGGTACATGCATGGCCCAAGATTGGGGTGTGCAGGCCCTCAGGGTTCCAGGCTTGGAAACACCGAAACCCAAGTGACAGGCTGAGAGTCTTCGAGATCCAGGGTTGCTAATGTGACCCAGTTTGGAAGTGGCCCTGAAGTCCACGGTGTGAGTGTATGGTGTAGGAAGAAAGGCATCAGGGCTAGGGGCATAGCTGAACGGTAGAATCGGATCAGGGATTTTGCTGGAGAGTGCAAGCATTCAAACACTGAGGTTTTGGTGGAGCCCTGGAGTCCAGAGTCAACGGACCTGGGATGTGATGTGAGGAGCAAGTAAACCGAGAGAGGAATGCTATTGAGAAGTGTGCTCTGTCCGAGCCTAGGAAGCACAGCATTAAGTAGTATCAGATTTAAAGTGACAAAATCTGATATAGGAAGCATTTTAGGGGACATTTTCGGACTTGGGAAGTGTATTAATAGAACAGTTATACATTATTGAGTCTCAGGACCATACAAGTAGTTTTGAGATGTTGTATATGAAATTTGCTGCTCTAGGAAGGATACAGGTCATGGCTGAGTTTCCAAAGCCACATTAGCAAATATTAGGTAGTTGGTAGTTATTTGTTGAGTAAATATTGTTAGGTTCCCCTTTAAGGGAAAGGGAGCTAGCCAGAAATTTTCGGTCTTGGTTTATTTCCTTGTATATGTGCCTAAAAAGTATACCCATTCCCATGTGTACTTTGAATTTTTTGTTTGTTTTTTCAAATAAGCAGCTCCAAACCAAAAAAAAGCCCATGCATAGCTTCTTAAGGAACAGGACTTGTCAACACTTTCTGGTTCATATTCAAAAAGTTTTTATTCCAATCCAGAGTCGTTCCAGTCAACTTGTTGGGAATATGTTCTTTTCCACTGAATCTGAATCGTAGTTACTTGTATTGCTTTACATTTGCTCGTCCCAGTGTGTGAGGGCCATGGAAACACATTTATGTTAAACATCTGTGTTTTCCTAATTTGTTTTTCCTTGTTTTTGTTAGGTAGTCCTTTTTAGCTTTAGATGGTACTCTTCTGTTTTCATACCAATTTCAAGAAACTCCTAGGGTTTTCAAATTTAGTTTTATGTGAATGCAACTACATTTTCTGGAGAAGGGAATTGATAAGTAGCAGAGGAAGAGAATTGCTATTTTGGGGCATATTTTAACTCCAATAGGTAGGCATTATCGTCCCCATATTGCAGATGAGGAAACTGAGGATCAGAGAGTTTAAGTAGCTTGTCTGGTGTCACTCAGTAAGTGGTTGAGCTAGAATTCAAACCCTGGTTGCCTGATGCCAAAGCCTGTAATTTTATCTGCTACATCAGCTATCAACATAAACCTGACTAATGAAACTTCCAGATAATTTTGTATTTCCAAGTGGATCATCTACTTTGATTTCTGGGTGTTTAGAGTGTATAAAATGGAAGACTATAATTCTTAAGAATTTCTTGTGCTGCTTAAGGATTCAGACCACAGAATTGTAACCATAGAGAATATGGGTTCTTCAGCTAGGTATTCAAATCATATCCCTTGGCTTCTATTGTGAAAGGGAAGATTTACCAAGTAAATTGCTGCATTTTTTCCTGAATCCAGGTAGATAATGGGGAAAAATATGTACAGAAACTTGAAGAATCTGCATTCCTTAAAACCAAGCTTCAGAATATTGCAGATAGTCTTTCTGTATGTGGAGGTAATTTATGCCAAATGGCGAGGAACTACCAAGTGCCTAGTGTAAAGAGCTCACTGGAGAGGTTTTTCAAGCATCACCAGTTCCTTAGGGTGTCCCCAAATACCAGGACCTATTCAAAGGCCTAGTGCTTTCTTCAGACTGTGGGATATTGATTCTAGGATATGCTTATCCTGAACAATGTGTAAAATTAAGACTGGATAGGACAAAATATTTGCAGTTCCAATTTTGCATGGAAACCTTTAAATCAGGGTTTGAGAGGAGACCAGTGAGTTGGAAATCTTAATTGCTTTATGTCTTGATGTGCTTAGGTGAAGCCCTCCCTCATTTTTGTTTACAATAACGTTTCACTGTGGAAGATAGAGGCAAAGCTACAAGTGAAAATAGGGTTTGCCATGTATTTTGTACATTGGTCATTTCAGCCTCATTTGGCTCAGTCATCAAGTTAACCAAATATGAAGAATGCTGTAGATCTATAACTTAGTTTCGTTTTTAGTAAGACTAGACAAGGTGATAAAAATGAGTGTATATGTACACCTTTTTTTTTTCAGCAGGCATTTCTGGAGCAACCTGCCCTTCAACATTGGTGACCACCTTCATTCCATGTTAGCCCCTTATACCCATGGCCACCTTGTTAAGATCTGGAATTGACCACTCTAGAAATCTTGAACTCTCAGGAAATCTCAGTAGATCTGAGTTTATGTTGAAAACTTGTGAACCTCAGCTTTTTCTTCAGGCAGAAATCATACTAAGATTTATACTTTATAGGCTGTGTTCATGGCATCTTATTTAATTCTTATGACAAATCTGTTATCTCATTTATACTTACACATTTTTTTCTTTGGTCAGAACTACTAGAGACTGGGCGCAGTGGCTCACGCCTCTAATCCCAGCGTTTTGGGAGGCTGAGGCAGGTGGTATTTGAAGTCAGGAGTTTGAGACCAGCCTCGCACACATGATGAAACAAAATTACAAAAATTAGCCTGGCATGGTGGTGGGCGCCTGTAATCCCAGCTACTCGGAAGACTGAGGCAGGAGAATTGCTGGAACCCGGGAGGTAGAGGTTGCAGTGAGCTGAGATTGTGTCACTGCCCTCCAGTCTGGGCAACACAGCGAGACTCAGTCTCCCAAAAAATAAATAAAAATCCCAAAACTGTACTAGAGAAGATTTTACAAGGCATTTTTATCCCCTTTTATTTTCAGAGAAATGAAGGCAAAGCGAAATGAGGATTCATACCACAGAATTGTAAACATATATGGGCTAAACCCATTCTGTGCTATGGAGCTATGCTGGGAGTCTTGTTTTGGGTTTTGTTTTGTTTTGTTTTTTGAGAGTTTTACTCTGTCACTCAGGCTGGAGTTGCAGTGGTGTGATCTTGGCTTACTGCAACCTCTGTCTCCCGGGTTCAAGCGATTCTCCTGCCTCAGCCTCCCGAGTAGCTGGGATTACAGGTGTGCACCACAACACCCAGCTAATTTTTGTATTTTTAGTAGACACGGGCTTCCACCATGTTAGCCAGGCTGGTCTTCAACTCCTGACCTCAGGTGATCCACCCACCTCGGCCTCCCAAAGTGCTGGGATTATAGGCGTGAGCCACCGTGCCCAGCCAGGCTATGCTGGGTGTCTTTTTGAGGTAATTTTGAAATTTATATCTTTTAGTTCAAAAGTACTGAGCCACTAGGATCTGTGAATCAAACACAGGGATAATATAGTTACTACTTTTATTGAGTGCTTGCTTACATTGTACCAGCTGGGATATAAATGTATTATGTATATTTATTCTCATACACTATGAGGTAGATAATATAGCCACCCTCATTTTTACGTGTGAGGAAACTGAAAAGTAATTTGCTTAAGTTCTCACAGCCAGTAAGTAGCAGAGCCCAGATTCAGACACGGATTTGTAATTCTGTTTTTTTTTTTTTTTTGAGATAGAGTCTCGCACTGTTTCCCCAGACTGGAGTGCAATGGCGCGATCTTGGCTCACTGCAACCTCTGCCTCCCAGGTTCAAGCGATTCTCTTGCCTCAGCCTCCTGAGTAGCTGGGATTATAGACGCCCGCCACCATGCCTGGCTAATTTTTTGTATTTTTAGTAGAGACGGGGTTTCACTGTGTTGGCCAGGCTGGTCTCAAACTCCTGACCTCGTGATCCGCCCTCTTCGGCCTCCTGAAGTGGTGGGATTACAGGTGTTAGCCACAGTGCTCAGCCACAGATTTGTAATTCTTAATTCTTATGTAAATGAAGCCCTTACTCTTAAACACTGTGTTGACACCATAGAATGTTATGGGAAAAGAAAAAAAGTCCTGGCTTCTTAGCTCAGGAAGCGAACTTCAGTTCTTTCAGGCGTGTCCTTTGTACTGAGGCTCCAAAAGAGTGAGATGACCTTGACAGGGTCACTTGGCTATGCAAGGGCAGAGCCAAATCTTGCCCAGATCACTGGATTTCCAGATAGGTGCTCATTCCACTGGATAGCATTGCCTCTCCTGTGGACGCATTGACTTGATGGCAGAGATGACTTTAAGTGACAGGTTTACTTCATTCACCGGAATGAGAATGGCAGAGGACATTACTAGGGTCACAAATGACCTTCTTAAGGTCAATCCTGGCCTCAGGCATACAACCAGGAAGAATATTCCTTTGCCAGTAAGTTGTTCTTTTCCATTCTGTTTCTTGTTCTCAGAGGAAACTGGTTGTGAGTTATCTGATGTCTTACAGTCTTTCTTTTCATTTTGTTTATTCAGTTTTTCATGCATGCACTGTCACAGTTTAGGAAGGCTACAAGGTCATTTTAGTGTTTTCCTGCAGAGACTCAAAGCACTCAATATAATGTAAGTAGATTAATTGCAGGAGGAAATGGATTTTTAAAACTTTGGCCAAAAAGTGCCTATGGGAGAGGACAGTATTAGTTGCTGATTGGAGTCAGACCAAGGGAAGAGTTCTGTCTCTGCAGTGCATTTACCCTCTGTGCTGGAGCAGGTTCTTAACTTGTTTCTTCTTCTGTAAAATAACGACAATAATACCTACCTGTAGGGTAATTATGAGAAATGAATATAATAGCGTGTGGTAGATGCCTATCACTTAGTGGACCTTAATAAGTGGGAGAACACATTTTCATTTTGGAACAGCATGAAATCTGTCCTTTCAGCCCGTTACAGCTTCCTTGATGAGGAGGGGTGAGGCCTTTTGTAATTGTCTGCTCTGCAATATACAGTAAGATTTCCAAATGGGAGAGCAACCACTTGACATGAAGTAACCTAATTTAGTTGTGCTGTTGTGGTTTAGGAGCTGATTTTCAGTGGACCAGTGTGAGGTCAGTCTTACTTTTGAATGCACAAAGTAGTAGGATCATTTGTTTCAGGGAAAGATTGTTTCCTGATCTCTTTTGTTCATCCCCAAGTGTTGAGTGGTAATGATTGCGATGCGATGAAAACTTCTTCATATTTGACAAATAGCAATGATGATTAAATTCGGAACAACTGGTGTTTTCATTCTGACCAGAAGGAGAGATTTCCATTATAGTCATTTAAAATTTTTCTAACTGTACAAATTATCAGTTGAAGTAGGACCGTTGGTTTGGTTTGTGTGATTTGTAGTCACTTGAGTAACGTTTTCTTTGAAGTAAGCAGTTAGACAGTATTGTGGAATGGTTCAGGAAAAATCTCTCTGCCTGCAGAAAATTTTGCTAGGTTGCAGGAATTGTTGCACCCTTCCCACACTTCTCCATGTGTTAGCAGTGATGTACCTGATAGCAGTGAGACAGCACCTGTACTCATTTTCAGTATTGGAGTTGTATTTTCCATTTTGTTATTTTCAGATCTCCAGATAGATTACTTCTACATCCAGTACTTCATGAGAGCTTTCTATTGTATAAACTTGTAGTTTAAAGAGTGGAACTAGAGTCTAATCTTTGCATTTGAATGTTTCCAGTAGAATACGTTTAAAATAAAGGTTGAAATATCCATGTCTGGTCAGGCACAGTGGCTCACGCCTGTAATCCCAGCACTTTGGGAGGACGAGGCTGGCAGATCACCTGAAGTCAAGAGTTTGTGACCAGCCTGGCCAATATGGTGAAACTCCGTTTCTACTAAAAATACAAAAATTAGCCAGGCATGGTGGCAGGCACCTGTAGTCCCAGCTACTCAGGAGGCTGAGGCAGGAGAATCGCTCGAACCCAGAGGCGGAGGCTGCAGTGAGCTGAGATCATGCCCCTGCACTCCAGCCTGGGTGACAGAACGGGATTCCCTCTTTGAAAAAAAAAAAAAAATTCACGTTCAAGGTACTATATATAAGGTGTCCTATTTAAATGAATGCCATTCATTCATTTATTTATTTGCTGGAGTCTTGCTCTGTCGCCCAGGCTGGAGTGCAGTGACATGACCTCGGCTCACTGCAACCTCTGCCTTTTGGGTTCAGACGATTCTCCTGCCTCAGCCTCCTGAGTAGCTTGGGACTACAGGTGCGTGCCACCACACCTGGCTAATTTTTGTATATTTTGTAGAGACAGGGTCTCATCTTGTTGGCCAGGCTGGTCACGAACTGCTGACCTCAGGTGATCTGCCTGCCTCAGCCTCCACTGCGCCCAGCCTGAATACCCTTCATTTAAAGCCAATAGTATATCCTTTGCCTCCCGGGTTCAAGTGTTAAAGTCAATTGTATATTCTTAATAAGATTCAATAATTGTCCTATTCTTAAATACATTCATGAGTATGAACCATAAATAGTGATCTTGAGCAGTGTTTCAAAGTGTTTTAATAAGAGGAATGAGATGGGCCGGGCGCCGTGGCTCACACCTGTAATCCCAGCACTTTGGGAGGCTGAGGCGGGCAGATCATGAGGTCAGGAGTTTAAGACCAGCCTGGCCAACATGGTGAAATCCCATCTCTACTAAAGATACAAAAAATTAGCTGGGCGTGGTGGTGGGCCTCTGTAACCCCAGCTACTCGGGAGGCTGAGGCAGGAGAATCGCTTGAATCCGGGAGGCAGAGGTTGCAGTGAGCCGAGATCGCGCCTCTATTGCACTCCAGCCTTGACGACAGGGTGAGACTGTCTCCAAAAAAAAACAAAACAAAACCAAAAAAGGAATGAGATGACTCATAGGAAATGATGTTAGAGTATAGAATATTTTGTATCATGTCATTGGCTTAAATCTGAAGTACTGAAGGTTTTCACAATCCCAAATTACTGTTGCCCTTGGCCTCCAGAGCTGTAAACTGTCCAGTAATCTCTATGAAGTTGAGATTCTTTGCCCAGTGTTAAGAAGATATATCCCTTTGACACTGGCATGATCTGTTCCTTTTAAAAGAGAAGAGAGAAGGGGCTAATAAAGTACACATTATCTGCACAGTTGACATCCTTGTCATTTTAAACTGTTTTAAAAATTATTACTGTACCCTGAAAGTAAGTAGCATAGAATTTGCTCATTATGAAATGACGAAGTTGGGGCCTTTTAAGAAGCCAAGAATGCTTGGTTGGCAATCACTTAGGAGGCAAAGGATTGCTATTTATGGTGGTATTTAATGTCATTTTCAGTAGTACTAAGTTAGAAAGGAAAACGCCATAATGTGTGTAAAACTCTAACCATTTTGGAAGGTTATCAGAATACAGTTGCCTATAGTCTTTTCACTCCACTAAAATTTGTAAGTTGGTTTAGAGTAGCATTTCCCAAGCTCTTCCACTGAACATTAGTTCTGTGTAGTGCTAATCAGTGTCCTTTGGGGATAAAAAGAGGATCCTTGACAAAAAATGGCCAAAGTGAAATGCCTTTCTTTACTGCAGAATTATTATTCAGAGCCTTGGTGCTTATTTGCCTATGACCCTTCAAGAGGGAAGATACATTACGCGGTGTTACTCAGACTTACTTGGTCATGGACCGCTGTTTGTGAGAACACCTAATAAACGTTTCATGCTATGACTGGTGTGTAGTGGAGCCCAGTTGAGCAGTTCTGGTGTAGTCTATGAATAAAAAAATGAATCATTTTGTATAAGATAGCTTGGTAATCGTGGGAAAGGACTTTTCTGAGAACAAGATACATCTTCAAGGTAACGTAGACTCTTAAGGATGAATGTGATTTCAAAGGTCATCTAATCCAATGCCCAATAACAATAATAATAGTAGCAGGTACCATTTTTTGAGTACATGCTTTTTATCAAGCACAGTGTTGTTATTCTACATGCCTTATTAACCACTGGGTCTTAGTGATTTTTGAATCTTCTTTATTTTTTATTTTACTTTAATTAATTTTTTTGAGATGGGGTCTCACTTTCTTGCCCACGCTGGAGTGAGGTGGTGTGATCATAGCTCAATGCAACCTCAAACTTCTGGGTTCAAGTCATCCTCTTGCCTCAGCTTCCTGAGTAGCTGGGACTACAGGGATGTAGTACCATGCCTGCCCAGCTAATTTTTTTATTGTTAGTAGTGAGGAGGTCTTGCTATGTTGTCCAGGCTAGTCCCAAATTCTTCAGTTCAAGTGATCCTCCCACCTTGGCCTCCCAGAGTGTTGGGATTACAGGTGTAAGCTACCGTACCTGGCTTATTTTTTATTTTTTGAGATGGAGTCTCACTCTATGAGGTTCAAGGCTGGTCTTGAATTCAAAAAAATTTGTTTTATTTTTTAATTTTTAATAAACTAATAAATGGACGTTAAGGAGATGACAAATTCTGAATTATTTGCTTTGTTGTCCAGGCTGGTCTTGAACTCAGTGTCTTCACTACTGCATCCAGTCACCAGATAACTTTAGCATCCTGTTTTCCACGTTAGTGGTCTAGAGTGCTGCCATCCTCCCACTGTGTCCCCTTCTCCAGCTTATTCTCCACACTGTACCCAATGGTAAGGAACTAAACAGTCTTAAACATGGGGCTGGGAAAATCAGAATTACACTTTAAACGTGGGACTGATTGTGCCAGTCCAATGTTTAAGACGCATTAGTTCCTTATCATTGTCCTTAGAATAAAGTTTTAGTATATTAGCTTTGTCCAACCCTGTATACCTTTCTTTTTTTTGAGAGAGAGTCTCGCCCTGTCACCCAGGCTGGAGTGCATTGGTGCAATCTTGGCTCACTGCAACCTCTGCCTCCTGGGTACAAGGGATTCTCCTGCCTCCAAGGGATTCTCCTGCCTCAGCCTCCTGAGTAGCTGGGATTACAGGTGCCTGCCACCATGCCTGGCTAATTTTTGTATTTTAGTAGAGATGGGGTTTCACCACGTTGGCCAGGCTGGTCTCAAACTCCTGACTTCAGTTGGCCTCCCAAAGTGCTGGGATTAAAGGCATGAGCCACTGCGCCCGGCCTACCTTTCTAACTCTACTTCTAGCTTCTTGCTTCTGGGCTGCTGCTATACCAAACAGGAATGTAATACTTTCTGTCAGCTTCAGGCCTTTGCACATGCAGTTCACTTTGTCTATCTTGGTTTTTATTCTTAGGATTTTAATTCTCCTAAGAAGCTTTCTCTGACCAGCCTAAAACTTACGTAAGCCCTGGGTTAGGTGCTATGCTTATGTCCTCCCATAGCATTTTGCATTTGCATGTGTTGTAACTCTTAATGTACAGCATCATGATTGCCTATTTTAACTTTCCTGTTTGTTACAGTAGACTTTAATCTCTTTAAGGACAGGAACTGTGTCTTGTTTAGAATCCCCAGAGCTTATTTAGTACAATGGCTATGCTTATAATTTAAGTATTTATTGAACAAATGAAATTTTCCTAAGCCCTAAAACCTTGCAAGATGTTTTAGTGCAGGAAACTGGCCTCGATGGAGTTGAATAACTAGCACGAGGTCACTCACCTAAAAAGTGGTGAGGAGGGATTAAAATCTAAATCTGTTTAGCTGTAAAGATTGGGCTTTTTTTCTTGCTGCTGCACATGACTGCTCTCTCTCATGTTGCCTTTACACATCCCTGTCAAGTGTTCAAACAGCCCGTGCCTAACAACCCCATCCATAGCTTCTGAGGAAAGTTGTGTCATCTTTGGACAGCTCTGAGAGCTGAAGCGAGTCTTTGCAGAATAATTTCCCATCTATTGGTCTTAATTTATGCTTTGGAGAATATAACTTATTTTCAAAAAACAAATAATTCAGAATTTGTCATCTCCTTAAGGTCCATTTATTAGTTTATTTCATTCCTTCATTCACTGATAACCATTTACTGAGCACCAGTGCAATGTTCCTTTATTCTAATGACGTGGTCATTGCTCAGAATGTTTCTGGGCCTTTTTTGGGGATTATCTTCAGAACTTTTTTTTTTTTTTTTTTCGAGAGGGAGTCTCTCTTTGTCACCCAGGCTGGAGTGCAGTGGCGTGATCTTGGCTCACTGTAACCTCCGCCTACCAGGTTTAAGCGATTCTCCTGCCTCAGCCTCCCGAGTAGCTGGGACTACAGGTGTGTGCCACCAAATCTAGCTAATTTTTTGTATTTTTAGTAGTGGTGGGGTTTCACCATGTTAGCCAGGATGATCTGGATCCCCTGACCTCGTGATCTACCTGCCTCGGCCTCCCAAAGTGCTGGGATTACAGGTGTGAACCACCGCACCCGGCCTATCTTCAGAACTTCTATCAGATTATTTTGAAGATGTGTGAACATATTTTTGTTTGTTTGTTAAACCTTGAAGGTGGATTGGATTTGAGAAATAGCTACTAGTTGTTCAAGACCAAGTTGGGTGAGAGATAATGGGTCAGAAATTATAATCTGGCAGTCCTCAATTTTCTTTGATTTGCTTATAATGTTTTTTGAGATGGAGTCTCACTCTGTTGCCCAGGCCGGAGTGCAGTGGCATGATCTCGGCTCACTGCATCCTCCACCTCCCAGGTTCAAGCGATTCTGCTGCCCCAGCCTCCCGAGTAGCTGGGATTACAGGCATGTACCAGCACGCCCAGCTACTTTTTGTATTTTTAGTGGAGACGGGGTTTCCCCATGTTGGCCAGGCTGGTCTTGAACTCCTGACCTCAGGTGATCCACCCACCTCGGCCTCCCAAAGTGTTGGGATTACAGGCATGAGCCACCACGCCTGGCCTATGTTTTGTTTTTTTTAAAACTTGAACCGAAACTTAAAATAGAAAGATTTGACATTAAAACAGTCTGTCTTTTACTTCTTAAAGAATCTGGGCTGGGTGCAGTGGCTCACACATACAATCCCAGCATCTTGGGAGGTTGAGGTGGGAGGATCACTTGAGCCCAGGAGTTTGAAACCAGCCTGGGCAATATGGGGAGACCCTGTCTCTACAAAAAAAAATTAAAAATTAGCTGGGTGTGGTAGCGCATGCCTGTGCTCCTAGTTATTCAGAAGGCTGAGGCAGGAGGATCACTTGAGCCCAGGAGGTCAAGGCTGCAGTGAGCTGTGATCATGCCACTGTACTCCAGCCTGGGCAATTAGCCCTAAAAAAAAAAAAAAGAATATGAAGCTCTTATTGCAGTTAACCACATTTCCTACATGGCCCTCTTCAGTTGGAGCTGTGTAGTGGTCACTCCTTTAGATGAGTCACACACTTGCCAGTTTTCCTCAATCCCTGCTACTCCGTTATTTCACTGACACTGTGGCTAAAATCGGATTTGATTTATATCTTTATGCTTTGGGGATATATGTAGATAAAAATAAAGACACTTGCTGCCTTCAAGAAGCCCTTCTTTGGTAATAGAGGCATGTTAAAAAATAGTTATGTGTACCTGCTGTATAATCAAGTGTATATTTAGATATTAATTGGGCACCTACCACATTCCAGATAATATGTTGAGTGCTTTCACTTATTTAAGCCTCAACACTCCTGTTAGTTGGTGTTATTGCCTCCATTTTACACAGGAGGAAGTGAGCTCAGAAATGGTTAAGTATCTTGGCCAATATGCAGCTAGTAAGCAGGTAGCTATGATTCAGAAATCATTCTCCCAACCAAGAGCAAAATTCTCACTTTACCTTCTTTGAGAGTATTAAAGCTTCAACCGTGTAACCAGAGTTACTGGTTTTGTCTCATAGTGATTTAAGTGTTTTTTTTTTTTTTGGAGACAGCTCTGTCTCCCAGGCTGGAGTGCAGTGGCGCGATCTCTGCTCACTGCAACCTCCACCTCCCAGGTTCAAGCAGTTCCCCTGCTGCAGCCTCTTGGGTAGCTGGGACTACAGGCGCCCGCCACCACGCCCGGCTAATTTTTTGTATTGTTAGTAGAGACGGGGTTTCACCGTGTTAGCCAGGATGGTCTCGATCTCCTGAATTCGTGATCTGCCCCCCTCAGCCTCCCAAAGTGCTGGTATTACAGGCGTGAGCCACAGCGCCCAGCCTGATTTGAGTGTTTTTTAGGGTAAGAAGATGCAGTTGTCTGGTGTAGAGGGCTGCTGAGATCCAGGACCAGGGAAGAATGTTAGCTGAAATCCTAGAGATTCTGTTAGGTTCTCAGTCCACAGTAATGACAGGTAGAAGAGAAAGCTATAGTAAGAGTGAATGGATTCAGCTGCCAAATGGAATTCAAGAATAATTTGGGTTCTCTTCCCACTGTGGCTTGAATTCTAAGGTAAGTGTTGATGAGAAGTAGGACTTGAGGTCTTTTCCTTGCAAACTGCCAAGAAGTAATAAAAACTACGCTGAAGACCTTCATAGAGTGTTAAAGGTCATGATTGGGTTAATCTGGTACATCCGAAGCAGAGTCGGAGGGCCAGCTTTTGGAACAGTGATCAGACATTTGGTGGGATTAGTGGTGAAAAACCTGGGTTTCCAGCATAAAAAGTGGAGAATTTTATGGCTCCTGGTAGTCTTCCCATACTGTCCTTTATGGCTAAGGAGTTGCTTTCTGCAGGCCTGCAGAATATGCTAGAGATAGAAGAGAGGTGTTTCTTCAAAGTGGCTTCAGGGCCTTAAGCAGGTCTTCTCCCTTTCTGAACCTTAACCGTCTATAAATCAAGGAAGTTGAATTGGATGACATTTAATACTTTCCATTTTTTCAATGCTTATTCAGGCATAGTACAATATGCTTTACATATATTACCTTGTTTAATCCTTAAAATGGCTCTCTGGTATACATGGTGATATCTATACATTACAGATAAGGAAACTGAGGCTCAGGGTTAGTACAGTGTCATATAATTAATAAGTAGAGTCAGAACTTGAAACTAACACTGCCTTCCAAGTGCTTAGTTGTTTTGCCATACTGGCACTAATTAGTAATCAGCGAGGTTGTGAACATGTTCTCCCTATTCTTCTGCTCCCCACCCCCACCCTTCACATGAGCTGCTTTTCCTTGTCAGCTGACTGGCCCTCAGGTGTTCTGGGGCTAAGAGAAGCTCCAGTACAGATAAGGCCTGTTGGCCTTCTGCCTTCTCTTCCCAGGATGGGAGTAGCTATTCAGAATCTGTAATCTAAACTTTTGAGAAAAGAATTACAGTACCTATAACACATCGTGTTAACATAACCAAACTCTTTATTTGGATGCCATTGTGAAATTGTCTCACAACCCCTTCAAATTTTAACAGTGTACTCTTGTTAATGATTTACCTAGTTGTTTCATGCTCTTATAAATGTGGTTTGTTACTGGTTAAATGGTCCTAATAATTTAGTAGTAAAATTTGTAACAATTTATAGGGTGATATTTGGTCATACCATTGGCTAGGTCTCTAACTGGCATATCAAATTTAACATTAGTCAGATTTTTAAATTTTAATATTTATTTATTTATTTACTTGAGGTAGAGTCTCACTCTGTCGCCCAGGCTGGAGGGCAGTGGGATGATCACGGCTCATTGCAGCCTTGACCTCCTGGGTCAAGTGATCCTCTGGTCTCAGCTTCCAAAGTAAGTGGGACCACAGGCGTGTGCCACCACACCTAGCTAATTTTTGTATTTTTTATAGAGATGGGGTCTCACTATGTTACCCAGGCTGGTCTCAAATGCCTGAGCTCAAGTGATCCTCCTTCCTTGGCCTCCCAAAATGCTGGGATTACAGGTGTGAGCCAACACGCCTGGCCCAGATTTTTAATTTTTAAATTTGTTGAAGTTGGATAATGGTTTATGCTATCTACACATATATATGGCACCTAAGAATTTCCATGGATGTGCCCTGAGGTGCTCCATGTCTTGGTAAGCAGTGTGGTGCAGCGGAAAGAGTACCACTCTCGGTGGGACCCAAGTTTGAATCCAGATGTATGGCTAGGGACCAGTTTTTGTAACTTCTTTGAACCTCACTCTTTCTCACTGGTAGAAGGGTATTGTAGTGAGAATTAGAGGGGTAAAGTCTGTAATATACCTAGCACAGAACCTGGCACTAGTAGGTGTTCAGAAATCATTTCATTTCATCATGGGAAATGAGTGGAATGTAGAGAAGTTAATATGGCAGAGTGATAGGGCAGACCACCTTGCTCCTATTTCGGGTCCCTGCTGAATCTCTGCACATGTCAAGGATGAGTTCTCATGTATGGTCAAATGAGGAGTTTCTAGAAAAGAGCTCGTCTACCTAGCAAAACAATTGTATTTTTCAGTCCTAGGATATTTAGCTTTGGTGGGAGGAAGCAGATCTAAGGAGATTGTTAAAGGCCTCAGGTAATGAATGGTGAGATGCTTGTATTTGAATGTGTTGCTAAAAAAAAATAATGAAAAGAAAAGAAAAACATGCTAATTGATTTTCACCACATTAGGAGCTGCCTCTTAAAAAACCGAAGCAGTTGGTCCAAAATCCATAAGAAAATCTTTGACTACCACTGGTAGACTTCAGCACCTTGGAATGTTTTCAATAACCACAGTGAGACTAGTAAGAATACTTATAATATCTCTTCTGAGATCAGCTCTGCTGTGCTTATTCTTAAAAATATGGGGCCGGGCGTGGTGGCTCATGCCTGTAATCCCAGCACTTTGGGAGACCGAGGTGGGTAGGTTTTCTGAGGTCAGGAGTTTGAAACCACCCTGGCCCACATGGTGAAACCCTGTCTCTACTAAAACTACAAAAATTAGTCGGATGTGGTGGTGGGCACCTGTAATCCTAGCTACTCGGGAGGCCGAGGCATGAGAATCGCTTGAACCCAGGAGGCAGAGGTTGCTGCGAGCTGAGATCGCACCGTTGTACTCTAGCCTAGGTGACAGAGGGAGACTCTGCCTCAAAAAAAAAAAAGAAAATTTTTTTATATATATATGGTAGAAGGCTGGGGTGCAGTGGCTCACTCCTGTAATCCCAGCACTTCAGGAGGCCGAGGTAGGTGGATCACTTGAGGTCAGGAGTTCAAGACCAGCCTGGCCACCATAGTCAAACCCTATCTCTACTAAAAATACAAAAATTAGCTGGGCATGGTGGTGGGTGCCTGTAGTCCCAGCTACTAAGTAGATCACTTGAACCCAGGAGGTGGAGGTTGCAGTGAGTCAAGATCACGCCGCTGCACTCCAGCCTAGGCAACAGAGTGAGACTCCATCTCCAAAAAAAAAAAAAAGAGAGAGAGAGAGAAAAATTTATCCTCGTCCAGGCACAGTGGCTCACGCCTGTAATCCCAGCACTTCGGGAGGCAGGGGCAGGAGAATCCCTTCAGCCCAGAAGTTCGAGACCAGCCTGGGCAACATGGTGAGAACCCATCTCTACCAATTTAAAAAAAGAAAAAAAAAAAACAAGAAAAGAAAGAAATAGAAAAATTAGCGGGGGTGGTAGCACACACCTGTAGTCCTAGCTACTCAGGAGGCTAAGGTGGGAAGATCGCTTGAGCCCAGGAGGCGGAGGCTGCAGTAAGCCGAGATCGTGCCTCTACACCCCAGCAACACCCCAGCTTCGGTGACAGAGCCAGACCCTATCTCAAAAAAAAAAAAAAAAAGAATGAAAGAAATAACGAATTTATCCTCTGGAATGTCAAACTCTGTGACTGCCCTAAATAAATCAGTTAGTCCATCAAATTATAATGTGCTTTTAGTAATACATCGTCAGCCCTCTGCATCTAAGGATTTAACCAACCATGGGTCAAAAATATTTTTAAAAATTGTGTCTGTACGGAACATATGCAGACTTTTTTTCTTGTCATTATTCCCTAAACAATACAGTATAACAACTACATATATAGCATTTACATTTTATTAGGTATTATACATAACCTAGCGATTATTTAAAGTATGGAGGAAGCTGGGCAAAGTGACATGCACCTGTAGTTTCACCCAAGTTGGAAGCTGCAGTGGGAAGATTGCTTGAGCCCAGGAGTTTGAGGCTGTTGTGCCCTGATTGTGCCTGCATAGCTACTGCATTGCAGCCTAGCAACATAGTGAGACACCATCTCTTAAAAACAAGTATACATGGGAATGTGCAAGTGTTTTATGCAAATACTATACCATTTTATATTAGGGACATGAGCACCCAAGGATTTTGGTATCCATGAGAGGGTTGGCTGGGGAGTATCCTGGAACCAGTCTCCCATGGATACCAGGGGATGATTGTATTCACTAATGTTCTAGCTTTTTTGTCATTCCCCCCAACCCCTTATCATTATATTTCCTTCTTAGGTTCCTGGTTGACTTTCTAGAAATGCCACTTCCATTGTCCCTGCCGCTAACTTCATACATTACCTTAAAATTTTCCTATTTAAATTAGTTTGTGTTTTAAAATAAAGTGCTTTGCCTTGATACCAGTCTGTGCCTTTAAAGTGCCACTAACATAATGACAGATGCCTTTTAGAAATCATGCAAACTATTGTATGGCCATTGGCATCACTCTGTTAGTGTTAAAGAAGCTGTATTTTCTTTGGATTAGCCCTACCCAGTTTTGTTTTTCTTCTGTTAATGCTCAACAGAAAACTGAAGATGGTCACAACTTTCCGACCTTGTGCACATTGCTTCTCTGGTCTATTGCCATAGGATACCGTAGCAGTATCTTACAGACATCTTTGATGGCCAATCAGAAGCAGTTAAATTACCTTAAATTTTTTAAATGGAACTCTGACAGCCAATAAGAAATCCCGTGGGTGGGAACACTAACAACCCTTTGGCTTGTTTTTAAGAACAATTCTAAATTTTCAATATTCTGTTTTAGAAGCACATGATGCCCTAGTGCAGCTGCTATGTGCATTTGCCAGACATTTCCACGCCTTAGAGTTCCCCATAGTTTGAAGTCTGAATCTGACCCCTGTTCTGCTTCTCAAGGTAACTTTAAAACAGGAAGTGTACAAAAGAGGTAACTGATGACGTGAACAGCCAATCGTGGCTTTGTGTTCTTAGCCGATAAAGCAGTTCAGCCAATGGGACCACTGTGGAGGCAAGGTTTGGTGTCAAATAGCATGCTAGATTGAATGCCTTTGACTGTTAAAGTGGAAGGAGGCTGCAGGGCTTCATTGGAGCCTCGGAGTTTTTCACTGAGGCAGGGGTCAGCTGAAAGACAAAGAAAAATGGCGAATAGTTTGTTGGGGGGTGGGAGGACAGCTGTTCGGGTTTTCAGTGGAGTGGACATTCCAGACTCATGTTTCTGCATCTCCTGCTGCCTTTTGTTTCCTCCGTCCTTTGGGGGGTAGGGATAGGAGTGACTTAAATTCTCCCAGTCGGTGGAGGTATAAATAACTACATGTAAAATTAATGCAGTTCCCGGTAAGTTTAATTCTTTGTTTTGTGTTGAAATGATAGAAACTGTTTAGCTTCAGAGAGTGTAGACAAGTTGCACTGTTCAGAAAATGGCCACTTTACATTCCATGCATACCTTTTGGTGCACCTAGAATACCTTGCTGTGTTTAGATTTTGCATGTCCTTCAACTAGGATTTCTTTCCTAGTTGGGTATCGACAAGATCAGGTACATGGAGAAAGGCTAATCATTTTTCAGGGGCACACAGAAGCAAAACACTTTTCTCTTTGCATTGGGTAAACTTAACTGTTTTCCAAATAATTTTCCTTTGTTCAAGTGCCCTGAAGCTTTCCTACGGAATAAGCTGGGTTGTTGTGAGAGTTTTTCTATTTCCATGCACTTTGTTGACATCTGTGTTTTCAGATATGGAAGCAACACTGTTGCTGTTAGAAATTTGTGTGAAAATACGATTTGCACTGCTGCAGGTTCTAATGGTGAAGGCCCACATGCCAGTGTGAAATTTTCCCATAACTTTCTTGATTTACCAGTCTACCTCTAGATTCTAATAAGTAGTAGTTAATGTAGTAACAATCTTTGTTTTTAATGCACATTTTAGCTTAGAATGCTGGTTAGAAATATCTTCACTTATATTGACAGTGATGAGCAAATATTTTTCCACAGATTTCACACATTTTGTCAGGTGTTGATTTAGTTCTTTAAAATGATGTGAGCAAAGTGCTTTCCATTTTTCCGTATTAAATATTTAAAATCCTGCAGTTTGTGAATAGGAAAGTTAAGAGTATAGGCACCCTATCTTTTGCCCTTGATATGTATATATTTTTCTCTTTATGGATATAAAGCTAATGTAGGTTGCTAATCAGTAACCAGCCAGTTCTCATGAACAGTGAAATCTTCAATCCCACATACTAAGATCTATAATACACCTGATTTTAAAATGCAATTCTTTGTTTTCTTTTTATTTGCAAATATGGAATGAAGGTCATTGGAACATTTCTGCAGCAGACTCAGTGTGGAGCCGTCAGCCAGCAGCACTTAGTCTCTGGGTACGGAAAAGGAGCAGGCCCTATTAGAGGAGAAGTTTCGAGGGTGTCGATTTGCCTTCCCTAGCTTCCCCTCTAATAAAGGATTTACCTTAGAGGACTGATAGGATTTAGATTCGGGGCTCTTGGAGTTGTAATGATATAGCAAGTCAAAGTTCCTGGATGCAGGCCTCTGTCGTTGCTTGCAAAAGTGACCTTGAAAAACTGCTGGGGAGTTGAAAGATTGAAGGACAAAGTTTGTTTATACAGATTTGGACTGAAAAGCTCTATTTAAGATGAAAAGAGACTGTACTTCTGATATTCAAGTCGAGTGGTTAGTAGGAATATGTTATAGATTCAGATTAGGAATTTTCAGGGAATAAGACAATAGGGCTGCATTCATTCTCTCTCCCACTCTTTTTACTTCCCTCCCCCCAGCAAAAAATTCTAAATTCTTTTGGTATGATAGCTGAGTGAACTGCCTAACAGATTCAGAATTCCTTGCATGCTACCTTGTCTTCTTTGTAATCTAGAGGGTTCTTAGTGAAGGGGATAGATAGTATTTTAGGAGTTCAGAGTAGTTGTATTTGTGAAAGTTTTGGGGAATTAGAATGCTTATAATAAGAAAATGTTCATTCTGGGAATTTAAGTCCTAAGATGAAGAAGTATGTGTTAAGGATTACATTTTAAGAGGTAGTTATTTTGATTTAAATTTATTTGTTTGTCATTGATTATTTATATGTTATCAGTTGTTCCAGATTATATATATGATTTTAAAAACAGTTGTAGGTGCTGACTTGACCCTGTTGGCCCTAGGAGAAGGCCTGCAGCAGGGGAGGCAAAAGTGAAGGTGTGGTACAGTATGAAGTAAACTATAAACTTGAGAACTTTGTGGATTTGGCTTCTTGGAAAGATGCCCAGTCACTGCCTCTAGCCGAGGTTCTTCACCATTCTCTTTGAGAATGACCCACTACCTGGAAAAATGCACATGGGCATGCCTGTACAAAACCTTTGATGACTAAGTTATTTTTTAGTGTATGTCAAATGGTATTTAACACTTCAGCCAGATAAATGTTTACTAGACAAATGAAGAAAACTTTGCTTCCAGAAAGAGCAAAGACCTTCTAGAGAGCTAACTCTAATTTAGGCCATGGGTGGCTGTGTGTGTAAGTGGGGGAGGCTTAGATGGGGTCTAGAGATATGGACATTTATTTACTCTGATCACAGTATTTGAGGCAGCATGGTACAGACCATTTAAAGTCAAGAGATCTGTGTTCAAGCCCCACTCACCTTTATCACCAGCTTTGTAGGTTTGGGCAAGTCAGCTATTTAGTGTTAGCTTCCTCACATGTAAAAATGGAACCTAAAAATAGTGTCTGATTTAGTGGCGAGTCTTGAATGAGATCATGTGTGTCAAAGTACTTTGCAAATTGTGAAGAGCTACATAATATTAGTTGTTACTAATCCAGACTATTTGGGGGATGAAACGTTTATGAAGATAGGTGTGGCATCAAAGAAAAAAATGCCAGTATTTTAATATTTGTAAAAAGGAGTTAGTTTAAACCTGACACATTTCTTTTTAAACTGCCTTCACCTGCATATTCCTATTTATGCTGACATGACCCTATTTATTTAATGCATATGTTGAGACCACCAGTCCTTTACTCATCAAGATCCTTGTGAAAGAATTTTAACCCCTTTGTCAAAATTTAAGGACCTCTCAGAATAGGATGAAATGGGTATGCTGATTTTTAAAAAACTCTTGTTAGATTTAGGAACCTCTCAGAATAAAATCTGGAAGCCTGTTCCATTTGCATTATGAGATTTGCATTACAATGCAGGTAAGTTGTAATGGTTGCAGATGTTTACCAAGCAGAGGTTACATATTTAGTTTGTATACCAAATATTTATAAAGTAAACTGGAACCATTTTTTTTTTTGTTTGCTTTGTGATTATCCTGTCAATTTTCAAGCATGGGAGGTAATTATAGCCTGCTGTATAGTAAGCAAGTAAATGTTGGGATTAATGCCTTTTTTTTTTTTTTTTTTTTTTTTGCAGACGAGGTCTCGCTCTGTTGCCAAGGCTGGTGTGCCAGGCTGGAGTGCCGTGGCATGATCATGACTCACTGCAGCCTCCACCTCCTGGGCTCAAGCAATCCTCCTACTTCAGCCTCCTGAGTAGCTGGGACTACAGGCATGTGCCACCGTGCCCAACTAATTTTTTTTTATTTATTTATTTTTATTTTTATTTTTAAATACAGACGGGGTCTTGATTTGTTGCCCAGGCTGATCTCAAACTCCTGGACTCAAGTGATCCTCCTGCCTTGGCCTCCCAAAGTGCTGGGATTACAAGCACTGGGATTACAGGCATGAGCCATTGTGCCCAATTGTGGGATGAACACTTTAAAAAAAAATAATTGATCTCTCATCAGAAATCTAACATAAATTTCACACAGTTGATACCTACTATGAGATACCTTTCTAACATAATTGGTGGAAACTCATGGGGGTTTCTTTTAATCTAGTCTGCATGCCCAGTGTCATCTATTTTTAGGACTTCCTTTTTTCCCCCCCAGGGGTGGGGTTGATATTTTGTGATGTTTGATTTCCTGTCCTATTAAGTCACTTCCTCTCAGGCATGGTCAGTCAGCATTGGTGTCTGCTTCCTATCTGTGCATTGGAAGAATCATATTCAGACAGAATGAGGTTTGGCAAAATTGATACTGACTTTACCAAATAAAATTCCAGTTCCAGGGATGTGTAGGTTTAAAAACAGCAATCGTGGTCACTTTGGGCTTTTGTTTTTAAAACAAGATGAGGTCTCCCTTTTAAAGAGGCTAAATACTTTTGTAGGAGCTTCAGTAACCCAAAAAATGTATTAAAAGTTGAACATGGCTGTCTTCATGAATGGAATGATTTTTGCCTATCCTTATTACTGATAATATATGCATACAGAGTTTGAATACATCTAAATTAGGCTGATGGGAATCACTTAGGGATCTAGTCTAGTTCCCTTCTTGTAAAGTGGGGAAATTGAGGCCCAGTAAGTTCAGGTGCCCTAATCCAAGTCTTTCAGCTTTTTAGGAACAGGCTTGTACAAGTTTGGAGATTTGACTCCCACTCAATTTGTTGCATGTTTCTTTTATTCCTCTAGGTTGTTTTCACTTTTTATTTTTCATGTTTCTTTTCTTTTTGGGACTTCTGTATAGGCTTGCTGTTTGGGTATAGAAGGAACAGAGAAAATGTGCCATGGAAGAGGTTCAGAAGTCTTTACCTGAAGTGTGTTGGTTAGAAAGTCTGCTGCAGCAGATTTAGTGTCCCTTTGGGATCTGAAGATACCTTGCCTCAGCCAGTTAGTTGCTTATTCAGAAAGCTGAGAACCAGCTAGGAAGCTAATGGTGTTCACCTGTGAGGTATTCCAGAAAGCCAGGTTACTTTTATGCATTATGAGGAATTTAGGGTATACAAACACATCACCTGCAAGCCAGTTAGTGTTTTTTGTTGTTGTTTTTTTGTTATTATATTTCAAGAACAAGCTAATTCCCAAAAAAGTTTGGACCTGGCTCTTAAAGTGAGTCCACAAGCTAACCTGTATTTAATAAACAAAGATTCCAGGGTCATTTTAAGCATTTGACAAGACTAAAATAGGAATCATTGTTTATAGACACCCAAAATAATATCTTAACTGTGCTGACTTTACTGTTTCCCATCAGCAAAGTGGTATTATGTGTGTATGTGCTTGTGTATGTTTGAGTAGTATTTGTTCTTTATATTCTTTGATAGACCATGATATACTTTAACATTTTTAATTTTTCTGAAGGTGATGACCTTCATATATTTAGACAAAAGTTATAGTCCATTGAAAGAATGAGGGCTTGAACGATGTAAGTTATGTAATATTTAAGTCCTAAAGTGTACTGACTGAAGATTATAATAGACATAGCTGGATAGAATATATTTCATGTCTACATTTCCCAGAAGTTTAGTTTTCTTTCCTTTTTTTTGGAGACAAGGTCTTGCTCTGTCACCCAGGCTAGAGTGTAGTGGTGTAATCATAGATCACTGCAACCTTAAACTCCTGGGCTCAAGCAGTCCTCCCACCTCAGCCTCCGAGTAATTGGGACTACAGATGCACGCTACTAGGCCTGGCTAATTAAAAAAAAATTTTGAGGGCAGGGCGTGGTGGCTCACGCCTGTAATCCCAGCACTTTGGGAGGCCGAGGCAGGCAGATCACGAGGTCAGGAGATCAAGACCATCCTGGCTAACATGGTTAAACCTCATCTCTACTAAAAATACAAAAAATTAGCCGGGTGTGGTGGCGGGCGCCTGTAGTCCCAGCTACTCGGCAGGCTGAGGCAGGAGAATGGCATGAATCCGGGAGGCGGAGCTTGCAGTGAGCCGACATGGCGCCACTGCACTCCAGCCTGTGCAACAAATCGAGACTCCATGTCTCAAAACAATAAATAAATAAATAAATAAATAAATAATAATTTGGCTGGGTGTGGTGGATCATGCCTGTAATCCCAGCACTTTGGGAGGCCAAGGTGGGCGGATCACTTGAGGTCAGGAGTTTGAGACCAGCCTGGCCAACATGGTGAAACCCAGCCTTTACTAAAAAAACACCGAAATTAGCCAGGCGTAGTCCCAGCTATACAGGAGGCTGAGGCACAAGAATTGCTTGAACTGGGAGGTTGCAGTGAGCCATGATAGTGCCACTGCACTCCAGCCTGGGCAACAGAGTGAGATTCCGTCTCAAGAAAAAAAAACAAAAAACAAAAACTTTTTTTTTTTTTCCTGTAGAAATGGAGTCTCATTATTTTCCCTGGCTGGTCTCGAACTCCTGGCCTCAAAGGATCTTTCTACCTCAGCCTCCCAAAGCACTGGCATTTACAGGTGTGAGCATCTGTGCCTGGCTAGTTTTCTTTTTAATGTGTTCTGCTACCTCCATATGGGGGCCCACCTCTTTATAACGTGGTCAGATTCTATTTGTATTATCACTCTTATCTTCTTGTCTCTCCCTTAGGGATCCCAAAGCTAGACCCCGCTGTTCAATAATTGACCAAAAGTTTTTCTCTACTTATAGTATTTTTTCTAAATTAGATTACAGTCTAGCACCTGCAGTGAAAATGGGCAATCGAAGGATAAGGAATGAAGGTAAATTCCAGTATAAAGGAAGAACTAAAGAAAAAAAAACATAGTAAATGTTTAACTTTAAAGTGGCATAACATTGTGACCTTGTGTTCCTTAGTTCAAAGAAAGAAGACTAAAATAACTACAGCAAATAGCAGTGCTAATTCACTTGGTTATCCTTTCTTCTTGGAAGTACTACCGTTTTGGTCTGTTTCCATAGTTTCAATTACATAGAAAACTAAAGGGAAGACCTGCTCAATTGAAAATATCCAGATAAAATGAAATTTTCTTCTGTCTACCTAAGCTATATAGTTCTTACTTTCAAGGAAATGCTAAAGTTGGATGCTTTTTACACTTCCTTTCATCAATTCACCACGCATGCATGTCTTTTTTGTGGAGACTTTAAAAATGTATACAAATAAAATTTTACTCTGAGACTGATGATGTTTATCAAGTATTAGAAACTGATATGGAAAGAACAAGCAAAATACACAGAATTCAGAGGAGGGGAGACGTTCGCTTAGGAATGAAGGCAAGCTGTTTAACTGGGTGTAGACTCAGGGAGGTAGGGACAAGGGCATTCCAGACATTGGGAGCAACAAGCAAGATCATGATTCAAAAAGTACATCTTGGGTTAAGGAGAGCAGTAAATGGTCAACTGCTTAGAGCATAAGGAGATGAGTTAAGGACAGGAAGGAGTGGTAAAAGAAAGAAGTATGGAGAAGTAGATTGGGTCAGATGTTGAAGGGCCTTGTTTGCTAGGCTAAGAAATTTGAACAGTCTCTGCTTGACGTTGGTGACCATTGAAAATCTGGGGTAGTAGAGTGATGTGGCATTATGAGAGCTGCACTTTTATATGATTTATTATACATCTTAGGTTCACAACCCTTATAGGATTATTAGGAGGTTTAAAATAGGTAGTAACATAAAGGGCTTAGAATTGTACGTGGCACACAGTAACTCCTAATGAACATTGGCTATCATCATCATCGTTTTTATTACATGGAGGCAATGAGGGTCTGAACAGAGATAGTGGTAGTATGAAGAAAGGTCAGGAGATGGACACTGTTGGACACTGTTACTATAGAATTTAGCAGCTGATTAGAATTGAGGAACAGAGGAGAAAAAGTGCAAAATGATACTGAGATTTCTATCCAGTCTGGGTGACTGGAGGATAGAAACAGAAATTTAGGAAGAGCAAGTTTGGGGGGAAAAGAAGATAGATTTGATTTGGGGCACGTGGAATTTCAGTTCTGGGTAGCTTTCTGGTTGTAGATGTCCAGCCAGGCAGCTTGTACATGAAGGACTGAAGCTTTGGAGAAATATCAAAATTGGTAATGTATATTTGGAATTTAGGATCATAGAGATTATAGCTGAACCTAGGGGACAAACAGGAGAGAATCAAGAAAGAGAATTGACAGAAGACTAGTGCTACATGTCAAACATGGAAGCCCAAAAATGTCTGACTCTAAAGTTGAGAAATCCAGAAATGAGCATGGTAGAGTCCTCTAGGTCAGTGCTCTCTAAGCTTTTTTTGGTTGCACACCCCTGTTTTCTGAGTGTGCATTTCCCATGTAAGAATTAATATTCTTTATTCCAAAAAGTTACTTGCTTGGTTTTTTAGTATTAGTTTACTAAAAATAGAGAATATCTGTAACTCCCCTTAATCCAGGCGTGTACAACAAGGTAAAGGTTTCATTGTTAGCCTACATCTTCCTCGCAGTCCTTGGAGCACCGTATGTAATACATGGTCTTCTGACAAGTTCAACTAAATGAGGGCATCATTATCAGCTCATAGGTTAAATATTTGAAAAGCTAATATTAACACTTTCTGTGTGTGCCTTGATAAGTAAAAGACTAGAAATACTTCCTTAGAATCTGGTGACCTTCACTTGCTTTAAAGATGTACAAATATTTCCTTGAGATTAGTACATATACCATATCTCCATTTGGTACAAAGACTAGGTTTTATTTTTTGAGTTGCTTTGGGCATAATCTTACTGATTTTAGCTTTGTAAAATCTCAAATGGCAGCATCCTGCATGAAGCTGACCAAAAATACATATGTAGGAATTTGGCAGCATTTGCTGAGCAAGTAATTTATAGCCCACATGATCATTGTAGCACCAATGAGCAGCACACACAATTAATTACCAGGAATGAGACTAGCCTCATCTGTAGGATTTAGCAGAATTTTTAATATAAGACACCTATATTTAGTTTCTAGGCTATATATGTTGTAATTATCCTCAATCTAAAATAAAGGCAATAAGAAACTTTTCACTAGAGAAATAGTGGTAAATTTCCAGCCATTTTACCTCATTATTTATAATCTAAACTCCATGATTATTTTCCTCTTGGAAATTCATTGGCCAGATGCCCATGAAGCTCCCCTTGAAGGTGGTTAAGCAATGTAATAGAATGCAGTGTTTATATGAATAGTACTTTATAGTTAGTGAAGTGATTTCATACTCATTCTCTTATTTGGTATCTACCTAATGTAAGTAGGACAGACGATTATCATCCCCCATTTTGAGGGTGAGAAAATAGAAGGCAGAGCCTAGTGACAAAGGCTTTTGCTCTTTATACTGCACTTTCTTACCATATATGAAAAACAGTCTATAGCTGTGTCCATCTTCGGGGACTAATTCTTCCTCCTACCTTCTCTTTTCCATACTTGCTTCTCCCCTGAAAGGCACAGAACTTTCCCAGAGTTCTCATCAACTCTCATATTATAGACTGCTTAACAGGCTAATCGTAAAGGGAACAAACATACAGTCAAATTGAATTACCTTTAAAGTGTTTGTTAAAATAGGTGAACACGGTCACTTTTTGGAACAAAGCATGGTACAAGTAGATAACAATTGAGCACTACCAGTATTTTGGAAATTGTCTTTAATGAATCCTAAATTCACTAAGGTCAGGTAAGTAGTTGAAGGATTTTTTCCAAATAGATATGTGGTTAGAATTGTATTAGGTATTCTATGGTATTCCTTAGCTATGCAGATACATACTTTGTGGTATGTATTGAGGCAGCTCCCACATTTGGGTTCTCATCTTGAAACATAGAGATCGATATTTTTAGATGAATCATGGTGGTTTTTTTTGTTTTGTTTTGTTTTGTTTTGTTTTTGAGACGGAGTCTTGCTCTGTCGCCAGGCTGGAGTGCAGTGGCACGATCTTGGCTCACTGCAACCTCTGCCTCCCAGGTTCAAGCGATTCTCCTGCCTCAGCCTCCCGAGTAGCTGGGACTACAGATGTGCGCCACCACGCCCAGCTAATTTTTGTATTTTTAGTAGAGACGGGGTTTCACCATGTTGGCCAGATGGTCTTGATCTTATGACCTCGTGATCTGCCCGCCTCAGCCTCCCAAAGTGCTGGGATTACAGGCGTGAGCCACGGCGCCTGGCCCATGGTGTTCTTAAATAATCCGTTGCTTTAAATTTCCTAGCTATGATTTATAATCCTTGCTTACCCCTAGTGAGGTGGAACAAAGGAATTCTGATTTCTTGGAGGAATGGCTGGATAATTAAAATAACATTATCACCATGTTCACAATGTAGCGATAGCTATAATTTTGAAACACTGCATAGAATTTAGCCAGGTGATTCCTCCTATAAGTGGGCAGCTATGAAAACATCTCCAATATAGGAGGCTGGGCTAAGGCTCTTCTTCTGAATTATAGAGAAAGGATAGAGTGACTTCCCATCACCAGGCCCCCAGAAAGTGAACTTGATCCTTTCTATCTCCACTTTTGTTTGGTAGCTAGATGGCCTAGTCCCACTCCTTTGATGCAACTGCAGTTTAGCAAGCTTGAAAACCTTAAGCTTTCTTGTTTAAGCTTTCTACTTTGAAATGTTTAAGAATCTGGTATCTTGATTTTTTTGGAGTACTTTTTTCAGGAGAGTGATCAGGAAAACGAAAGGTAAAAAGGCCTGGTGGATTTGTGTTCCAGGCTGAGAAAAGCTATAGGTTCTTAAGTTTTGTGTTTTCTGTTGTTATCAATTCTAAAGTAGAAGGAGAAGATTTAATGAAAGAGCACAGAACTGAGAATCAGAAGACATGAATTTTAATTTCACCTGTGGCATATACTTGTCCTGGTGAATTCTGCCAAGTTCCTCAGTCCACCTGGATAAAGTATCTTTATCTGTCAGATGTGTTGCTTATCTTATGTGTTTATGGTGAGAAACACATAAAATAACATGAAACTACTTTAAGAAGTGTAAAGTATGTACAAATGTAAGGGATTAGCATAACTATCTCAGTCACTTTGCCCTCTTTGAAGAGGTCTTTATGTTCTCAGTTCCTGACAGCTGTATACATGAAGTTAAGAGATTTATGGTTTGGTTGGCTTGGAAGATTTGTCTCATTTCATGTCGTTTTCCTTTCTTTCTTCTCCTCTTTTAAACATTTAAATCAATAAAAGACACTAAACAGAGGGAAGAATTCACAGTGTATCTGAATGAGCAGAATCTAGACAGCAGAATCAATACAGCCAAGCTCATATTGACATTATTATAACGCCCTCTAGGTTTTTAATTGACAATTTTCTGCCTTCCCCTGTCCCACCACCCCCCTGGTTTTTAGATGTATTAAGTCACCAGCACAATCTCCCATTTTTCAGTGGAGCCGATGATTAGATAATTGTCTACATTTTCCAAAGTAGAACAAGTTTTTCTCCAACCCCACTCTTGTGGCTCTTCCATTGGATTACTGCACAAAGGTTACTGCACAACTGAGCACAGATACTTAAGAAGGAATTTTCCCATTTCAAAGAAAAGTACCTAGAATGAGGCCAAGGATACTTGGGGTCTTAAAATAGTTCTTGTCCAGGCATGGTGGCTCACATCTGTAATCCCAGCACTTTGGCAGGCCAAAGTGAGAGGATCACTTGAGCCCAGGAGTTTGAGACCAGCCTGGGCAAGATAGCAAGACCCTGTCTTTACAAAAAATTTTAAAAATTAGCCAGGTATGGTGGCAAGCACCTGTAGTCCCCGCTACTCAGGAGGCTGAGCAGGGGAGGATCACTTGAACCCAGGAGGTTGAGGCTTCAGTGAGCCATGATTACGCCACTGCACTCCAGCGTGGGCAACAGAGCAAGACACTGTTATTTAAAAAAAATTTTTTTTTAAGTTCTTGAGGAACCTGTGTTTGTTCATTCAGTAGATGTGTATTGAATCCCCACTATGTGCAAGGCATATTTGCCTTGAGGGTGTATCAGAAACAAAATGATTATGTTTGTCTTACAAACGGGGGAAAAAATAGGAGCATGAAAAATTTAAGCTTAAAAAATAATATGCCCCCTAAAAAAAGAGAACATGTTACACAAGTCTGAAGCAAGTGAATATGCTAATTAGAGAAATAGATTTGATTGTGTGCCAGGAATGGTTTCTTGGGGAGAAAAAAAATTTATCATCACTGATTAGTGAATGTGTAGACAGTGTTTAATTTCTTTACATTTGTACTGTAAAGGCAAGCTTCTTATCAATGCTATTGCAGAAGAGCCTTAAACATTGGTTTCAACCCATGAGATAGTCTGAGAAATTCCAACTTTCCAGAACATGTTTCCTTCATGTTCACTTCAGGATGTTGGATATAGATGGAAGTGGGTGGAGCTCTCTTTAGAGCTCCAAACAGAATCTTTTGCTTGGATGGTGGGGCCAGGTTGAGTGGGGAGCTGCCTGGACTCCAGGTTTCCTCTACCCTCTAACATAAACAAGATTCCTTTCACAAGACAAAACAGGCACGTACTCCTAGCTTGTGGAAGTCTTAGGTATCCAAGGAGATGGTGGTGGTTGTGGGTTTTTTTGGGGTTTTTTTTTGATACAGGGTCTCACTCTGTTGCCAGGCTGAAGTGCAGTAGTGCAATCATGGCTCATTGCAGTCTCCCAGCTCCTCGGCTCAAGTGATCCTCCTGCCCCAGCCTCCTGAGTAGCGGGAGCTACAGGTGCGTGCCACCACACAGGCTAATTTTTTTTTCTTTTTTGTAGAGACGAGGTCTTTCTATGTTTCCCAGGCTGATCTTGAACTCCTGGGCTCAAGCGATCCTCCTGCTTTGGCTTCCCAAAGTGCTGAGATTACAGGCATGAGCCACCGTTCCCAGCCCAAGGAGACATATTCTAAGAATTGAAGGCCGGGCGCGGTGGCTCATGCCTGTAATCCCAGCACTTTGGGAGGCCAAGGTGGGCGGATCAGGAGGTCAGGAGATGGAGACCATCCTGGCTAACACGGTGAAACCCTGTCTCTACTAAAAATACAAAAAAGTTAGCCAGGCGTGGTGGTGGGCACCTGTGGTCCCAGCTACTTGGGAGGCTGAGGCAGGAGAATGGTGTGGACCCGGGAGGCGAAGCTTGCAGTGAGCCAAGATCATGCTACTGCATTCCAGCCTGGGTGACAGAGTGAGATTCCATCCCAAAAAATATATATAAATAAATAATTAATTTAAAAAAAGAATTTAAATGTTTTTGGATTAGTGTGGAGAGAAAACCTAGTATAGCTATTGATCATTGACACACCCAAGGATTTAAATTTGGAACGTTCCCATGTTCAGCTTGAATTCTTTGCTTTTTTGGAACTAGTACATTTGTTCCAAATTTAATAGTTTAAAGGGCTTAAAAATTATTTCATGTTTATAAAAGAGATAGGAGAACATCTTTCTCTATTTTAATATGTATTTCCATGCATCTGAAACTAGGCTTTTTAAAGAAATATGTCAAAAGCAAAGTAAGTCTAAATTATAGAGAAAAAGAAGCTAGTTGGTCTTTAGGCTCGGTACTGTATCTGGGACTCTTCAGACCAGTAGTTGGTGTCTTGTCTAGCTTCAGGCAGCCATGATGATATGATGCCATCTGGCATTTGTATGAAGCTTGCTATTTTTTGAGGCCTTCTAACATGTGTTTTACCATTTGTGTGTTTCAGCTGCTCTGTGGGATGTTGCTTTAGATGAATAGAGAAGTTTCTAAGAAGTTAAGAGATTTGCTCAAGATCACAGTTCGCCAGAGAGCTAAGAACCCCCAGGTCCAATACATTTTATTTATTTATGTATTTACCTCGTGCTTTAGTGCCCCCAACTGTTCGCAGCTGAGTATTCATAGGTGCTGCTAACCTGCCTAGAGACATGCAAAGGGGAAGGATAAAACAGAAAAGAAAAAAGAGTGACAGCTTAAACAGTGCAAAAAGTGGGAAAGAGCAAGTTATAATAAATCAAGACAGAATTTTAGAGCTTTTGCATTTTGACTCATCATTTATTGTATTGTGATCTTGAGCAAGTAATTTGATATTCAACCCTCAACCTTATCTGTAAAATTGGAATAATATTGGTAAATTTATCACTGAGCTAAGTAAGGGTCAATTGAGGATGATGTATGTGGCATGTATTTTATGAACTCTGAAGCCCGTAAGTTGGCATCTATGAAACATTCTTCAGAATCACACTTCTTCCCTCTGCTAGACACACAAACACAGGATACTGCCAGAAACTGGGCAAGAGGCTGTTTGTGAATCTCAGAAGGCACCCGGTAAGAAAATGATGCTTTGTTTTAGAATACAACTTAACTTAGGCTACAGGCACTCTTTCTGTCTCTAGCTCATGTCACAATTCCTTTTCGGGATTGAGGCCTGAAAAACCAGTTACTCACCATTCTTCCTACAAGGATTTATTTACTCGTTAGGCTGGAGGGTCAGAGAGACTAACAGATACTTCTGTGGGGCAGAGGGGGTCTGGCCCAGCTTACTTCTAATTGAGGATGAACAGGTGAGGGAGGCAGGGGAGCTAAGTAACAGTTGTGTGATCTAGGACCAGCTTCTCAACTTCTAGTGTCAGTTTCCCCATCAGTAAATCAGGGATAAATAAAACACCTAACAGTGCTTTAAAACAAGATCAGAATATTATCTGAAACTTTTTCTTTTCTTTTCTTTTTTTTTTGAGACAGGATCTTGCTCTGCTGTTCCTGCTCAGGCTGGAGTGCAGTGGCGCAATCATGGCTCACTGCAGGCTTGACCACCCAGGCTCAAGCAGTCCTCCCGCCTCAGCCTCGTGAGTAGCTGGGACTACAGGTGTGGGCCACTACACCTGGCTAGTTTTTTATTTTTTATTTTCTATTGAGATGGGGGTCTCACTATGTTGCCCAGGCTGATCTCGAGCTCTTGGGTTCAAGTGATCCTCCCGCCTTGGCCTCCCAGAGTGCTAGGATTAGAGGCATGAGCTACCATGCCTGGCTGAACCTTTTTCCTTAAAGGGCCAGATATTTTAGGCTTTGTGGCTGTATGATTTTTGTTGTAACTCTTCAACTCTACTGTTTAGCATGAACAGACAATATAAACTAATTAGGGGCTGGACATGGTGGCTCACGCCTGTAATCCCAGCGTTTTGGGAGGCCGAGGTGGGCAGATCACTTAAGGTCAGGAGTTCAAGACCAACCTGGTCAACATGGTGAAACCCGTCTCTTCAAAAATACAAAAATTAGCTGGGTGTGATGGCGGGTGCCTATAATCCCAGCTGCTTGGGAGGCTGAGGTGGGAGAATCGCTTGAACCCGGGAGGTGGAGGTTGCAGTGAGCCGAGATCGTGCCATTGTACTCCAGCCTGGATGACAGACTGAGGCTCCGTCTAAAAGTAAATGAATAAATAAATAAATAATTAGGGTTGATGTCTTCCAGTGAAACTGTTTCTAAAAACAGGCTGTAGGCCAGATGTGGCCTATGAGCTGTAGTTTTTAGACCCTTGCTTTAGAATACTTCACTAAATACTTGATCCTTTTTCTTCATCATACAAAATACTGATAGTGTTTTATTGCTGTTATATATGCAGAGATGGTTTAAGTTTGAGCATTGAAAGGATGAGTAAGAATGTGTGTGAAGTAAGATGTTACATATCGTTTTCTATTCCACAGAAAAAAGTTTTCAAATGTTCTGTTCATGCCTTCCCGTCACTTTCATTGTTTATACCAGTTGCTGTGCCTTCATTTTTCTCTAGTTGTGCTACAACTATATTATGATCTGGCCCCTGTTTCAAAGATTATATTGTACTAGATACCAAATAGAAAAGTATTTTTGTTTTTGAAGGAAAAGTGGCTCTTCTGCCAGTTTGAAAATGTGTCCTTGTGTACAGATCTTTAAGGAGAGCAGTGTGCAGCCACTTCTAAGCCTAAGTCTTTTAGGAAGCATGGTTTTCCAGTAGGCACTTTGAAAAGCGGCTTCCTCTTAACACAGATATACCTTCAAACGTCAAACTTGGCATTAATCAGAGTTGGGGAAGTAGAGCTATGTTATTCATTCTTGTATTATAGTAGTGAAGACTATTCAGTAGCCTGCCAGTAAATATGACCAGCTGGTACCCAGCTATGTAAGGGTTTAGAATGTAAGTAATAAGGTTTCAGGCACTAAACGTAGTGCCTGAACTTAGTTTCCTGCATGACTATATAAAAACCTTAGATGAGTTTAAATAGAGACTATTGAACCTTCTCTTCTCTCTAGTCACTTTGCCTTCCCTTGTATTCATTCATTTATTGCATCTTCAAGTAGTGAAGTGTAGGACTTCCCCACCAAACCACCAGAGACCCCTTTGGAATGTGTTCAGTATACATCATTGCTGGAGTGGCTTAGTAGAGTGACTGGCCCAGGGCCACCAGCTAGTAGGCAGCAAGCGTCCAGTACACAGACGTAGGTCTTTTAATTTCCAGACCAGTGCTGTTTTTCTTCTTGTGAAATTGTCAATTTTAGATTGGTTTTATTTTGGAGAGTATAAGCCTTCTTAAGAAATGCTTTTTAGCTGTTGTGATCGATAATAGCATAAGTCCTAAGGTCCATCTGTGTAAACATAAAAACCAAATAGTCTGTTAGTAAATAAATCCTACCCCCCTTTCCCTCATCCATCCATTTATTTTTATTAATATTCTTCCTTTCTCTGTATCTCCCATCATCATTTAAAATATAACATCTTACAAACCTTAGCTCATTTAAATGAAGAAACCTAGAACTAACCTCAGTAAATACCTGAGCAGTACTGGTACATAAAATGCTTGTGATAGTGCTGCCACTAGGGCAAAATACAATAAAGCTAACATTATAATAAAGAGAGTCACACAAATTTGTTGGTTTCCCAGTGCAAATAGAAGTTATGTTTATATTATAGTGTAGCCTATTAAGTGTGCAACAGCATAATGTCTAAAAAATGTGCTTATTTTAATTTTAAAATACCTTATTGGTAAAAATGCAAATTATCATCTGAACTTGCAGCAAGTCATAACCTTTTGCTGCTTGAGGGTCTTGACTTGATGATGATGGCTGCTGACTGATTCGGGTGGTAGTTGCTGAAGTTTGGGGTGGCTTTGGCAATTTCTGTGTATGTGTTTGTGTGTGTGTGTGTGTGTTTTTTTTTGAGATGGAGTTTCGCTCCTGTTGCTCAGGCTGGAGTGCAGTGGCGCCATCTCAGCTCACTGCAACCTCTGCCTCCTGGGCTCAAGCGATTCTGCTGCCCCAGCTTCCCAAGTAGCTGGGATTGCAGGCCCGCACCACCATGCCCAGCTAATTTTTGTATTTTTAGTAGAGACGGGGTTTCACCATGTTGGCCAGGCTGGTTTCGAACTCCTGACCTCAGGTGATCCACCCACCTCAGTCTCCCAAAGTGCTGGGATTACAGGCGTGAGCCACCGCATCTGGCCTGTTTTTTTTTTTTCCTCTCTCCACACTGTCACCCAGGCTGGAGTACAGTGTCATGATCTTGGCTGATTGCAACCTCTGCCTTCCAGGTTCAAGCCATCCTCCTACTTCAGCCTCCCAAGTAGCTGGGACTACAGACACGTGCCACCACACCCAGCTGATTTTTGTATTTTTTGTATAGACAGGGTCTCCTGTGTTGCCCAGACTGATCTTGATGTCTCAAACTCCTGGGCTGAAGTGATCCTCTTGCCCTAGCCTCCCAAAGTGCTGGGATTACTGGCGTGAGCCACTGTGCCTGGCTGGCAATTTCTTAAAATAAGGCAGCAGTGAAGTTTGTTGCTTCAGTTGACTCTTCCTTTCATGAAAGATTTCTCTGTAGCTGCTTTTCTGTTTGATAGCATTTTACCCAGAGTAGAGCTTCTTTCAAAACTGGAGTTTGTCCTCTCAAATCCTGCCACTATTTTATGAACTAAGTTTATATAATATTCTAATGTTCATAGCATTTTCACTGGGAGTAGGTTCCATTTCAAGGAACGACTTTCTTTGCCTTCCATAAGAAGCAACTCCTCATCTGTTAAAGTTTTATCATGAGATTGCAGCAATCCAGTCACATCTCAGGCTCCGCTTCTAATTACAGTTCTCTTGCTATTTCTACCACATCTACAGTTACTTCTTCCACTGAAGTCTCAAACCCCTCAAAATCATCCAGGAGGATTGGAATCAACTTCAGACTCCTGTTAATGTTTATATTTTGACTTCCTCCCATGAATTTTGAATGGCTTTTTTTGTTTGTTTGTTTGGTTGGTTGGTTGGTTGGTTGGTTTTTGAGACAGGGTCTTACTCTGTTGCCCAGACTGGAGTGCAGTAGCAAGATCTTGGCTCACTGCAGCCCTGATCTCCCAGGCTCAAGTGATCCTCCCACCTCAGCCTCCTAAGTAGTTGGGACAATAAGCATGTGCCACCACAACCAGCTAATTTTTGTATTTTTTGTAGAGACAGGTTTTGCCATGTTGCCCAGGCTGGTTTTGAAGTCCTGAGCTAAAGCAGTCCTCCCGCCTTGGCCTCCCAAACTGCTGGAATTACAGGCCTGAGGCACTGTGCCTGGCCATGAATATTCTTTTTTTTTTTTTTTTGAGACAAAGTCTTGCTCTGTCGCCCAGGCTGGAGTGCAGTGGCACGATTTCGGCTCACTGCAACCTCCGCCTCCCAGATTCAAGTGATTCTCCTGCCTCAGCTTTCCAAGTAGCTGGGATTTCAGGCCCACACCACCATGCCCGGCTAATTTTTGTATTTTTTTAGTAGAGACAGGGTTTCACCATGTTGGCCCGGCTGGTCTCAAACTCATGACCTTGTGATTCGCCCGCCTCGGCCTCCCAAAGTGCTAGGATTACAGGCATGAGTCACCGCGCCCAGCCTGCCATGAATATTCTTAATGGTATTTAAAATGGTGAATCCTGTCTAGAAGGTTTTCAGTTTACTCAGATCTGTCTGAGGAATCCCTGTCTATGGCAGCTGTGTCCTTATGAAGTGTTTTTATTTCTGAGACAGAGTCTCACTCTGTCACCTAGGCTGGAGTGCAGTGGTGTGATCTCGGATCACTGCAGCCTCATGCTTTGGCCTCTAGAGTAGCTGGGACTACAGGCGTGCACCAACAAGCCCTGCTAATTTTTGTGTTTTTAGTAGAGATGGGGTTTCATTATGTTGGCCAGGATGGTCTCGAACTCCTGACCTCAGGTGATCCTTCTGCCTTGGCCTCCCAAAGTGCTGGGATTATAGGCATGAGCCACTGTGCCCGGCCATGTATTTTCTTCAATAATAAGACTTGAATGTTGAAATTACTCTTTGGTCCATGGGCTGCAGAATGGATATTGTGTTAGCAGGTGTTAAAATACTAATCTCGGCTGGGCGCGATGGTTTACACCTGTAATCCCAACACTTTGGGAGGCTGAGGCGGGCGGATTACTTGAAATCAAGAGTTTGAGACCAGTCTGGCCAACGTGGCGAAACCCTGTCTTTACTAAAATTACAAAAATTAGCTGGGCGTGGTGGCGCATGCCTGCCATCCCAGCTACTCGGGAGGCTGGGCATGAGAATCGCTTGAACCCAGAAGGCGGAGGTTGCAGTGACCTGAGATGGCACCACTGCACTCCAGCCTGGGCGACAGAGTGAGACTGTCACAAAACAAAACAAAACTCTGATGGAGTTGTGCAAGCAGATTAATGTTTTTTGTTTTGTTTTTTGAGACGGAGTCTCGCTGTGCTACCCAGGCTGGAGTGCAGTGGTGCAATCTTGGCTCACTGCAACCTCTGCCTCCTGGGTTTAAGCGATTCTCCTGCCTCAGCCTCTTGAGTAGCTGGGATTACAGGTGCCCGCCACCACGCCGAGCTAATTTTTGTATTTTTAATGGAGACTGGGTTTCACTATGTTGGCCAGGCTGGTCTCGAACTCCTGACCTCAGGTTATCCGCCCGCCTTGGCCTCCCAAAGTGTTGGGATTACAGGCGTGAGCCACTGCTCCCAGCCTCCATCAGTTTTTGGATGACCAGGTATATTGTTAGTGAGCAGTAATATTTTCAAAGGAATCTTTTTTTTCTGAGCAGTAGGTCTCAACAGTGAGCTTAAATAGTCAACCACGCTGTAAACAGATGTGCTGTCATCCAAGCTTTGCTCCATTTATAGAGCACAGGCAGAGTAGATTTTGTATAATTCTTAAGGGCCCTAGAATTTTTGGAATGGTAAATGAGCATCGGCTTCCACAGGCATTGACTTCTTTGTAGCTATGAAAGTCCTTGATGGCATCTTCTTCCAGTAAAAGTCCATTTTGTCTGCACTGAAATTCTGTTGTTTAATGTAGCCAGTTGCATCAATTACTCTAGCTAGATCTTCGGGATAAAACTTGCTGCAGCTTCTACATTAGCACTTGCTACTTCACCTTATACTTTTATGTTATGGAGATGGCTTCTTTGCTTAAACCTCATGAACCAACTTTTCTTCTGCAGCCCCCTCACCTCTCTCAGCCTTCATAGAATTGAGAGTTAGGGCATTGCTCCACATTAGGCTTTGGCTTAAAGGAATGTTGTGGTTGGTTTGATCTTCTGTCTAGACCACTGAAACTTTCTTCATATCAGCAATAAAGCTGTTTGCTTTCTTATTTGTGTGTTCACTGGAGGAGCACTTTTAATTTCCTTCAAGAACTTTTTCTTTGCAGTCACAGCTTGGGTAAGTGTTTGGTGCAAGAGGCCTAGCTCTTGGTCCATCTCAGCTCTTTTTTTTTTTTTTGAACCGGAGTCTTGCACTGTCGCCCAGGCTGGAGTGCAATGGTACGATCTCAGCTGACTGCAACCTTCGCCTCCTGGGTTCAAGAGATTCTTCTGCCTCAGCTTCCCAAGTAGCTGGGATTACAGGCGCCCACTACCATGCCTGGCTAATTTTTGTATTTTTGGTAGAGAAGGGGTTTCATCATGTTGGTCAGGGTGGTCTTGAACTCCTGACCTCAGGTGATCCACCCGCCTCGGCCTCCCAAAGTGCTGGGATTACAGGCATGAGCCACCGCGCCCAGCCCCATATCAGCTTTTGATGTGCTTTCCTCACTAAGCTTAATCATTTCTAGCTTTCGATTGATTGAGTTAGAGACAGAGTTTTGTTCTGTCACCCAGGCTGGAGTGTGGTGGCATGATCATAGCTCACTGCTGCCCAAGTGATCCTCCCACCTCAGCCTTCTGAGTAGCTAGGACCACAGGTGCATGCCATCAGCAGGACTGGCTAATTTTTCTTTCTTTTCTTTTTTTTTTTTTTTTTTTTTTGGTAGAGATAGGGGGTGTCTCTCTGTGTTGCCAAGCTGGTCTCGAACTCCTGGATTCATGCAGTCAGCCCTCCTTGGTGCCTCAAAGTTCTGGGATTACAGGCGTGAGCCACCACACCTGGCCTTTAGCTTTTAAGTGAAAGATGTGAGACTGTTCTTTTACTTGAACGCTTAGAGGCCGTTGTAGGGTTATTAAGTGGCGTAATTTCAGTATTGCTGTGTCTCAGGTAATAGGGAGGCCCGAGGTGGGAATGGCCAGTTGGTAGAGCAGTATCTGTGAAGCACAATAAAGTGAAATGCAATAAAACAAGGTATAGTTGTAAAAAGGATGTCACCTCATGACAGAGGAAGATATGATCAAAATGCAAGTCACAAAAGTGAGTGAAGAAGGTAAGTGCCTTGATCATAGAGAGATACTTGTTGACATGTTAAGTTGGAGATGCACAGGAATGGTTGGGAACTCAACCCAAAAAGCCTAAGGGCTGCAAGTCGGTTTGGGGAACATTAAAGGGGAATGATAATACCAACATTATATTTGTTTCTTAGTCAGTACTGAGCTAAGATATATTTGTTTGCATTTGACAGTGAGAGCATTATTTTTAGGTAAAACATGTCTTCCCAGGATGGTTCAACTAGTAGTACAGAGGGTCTTCAGACAATGTTGTTTGATTATAATATTGATGAAGAAAAAAGAAACCAGTTCCTGGCCGGGGTCACTCTCTGTGTGGAGTTTGAGCATTGTCCCCACGTCTGTTTGGTTTTTTTTCCAGTACTCTGCTTTCTTCTTGCATCCCGAATATGTGCATGTTAGGTTAATTGGCACATCTAAATTGTCTCAGCCTGAGTGAGAGTGTGCCCTGTGATTGAGTTGTCCAGGCTTGGTTCCCACCTTGTGCCCTGAACTGTTGGGATAGGCTTCAATCATCTGCAACCCTGAACTGGAATAATTGGATAAATAATCATCTTACTTTTTTTTTTGGGACGGAGTCTTGCTGTATCCCAGTATGGAGTGCAGTGGCATGATCTTGGTTCACTGCAACCTCCACCTCCTGGGTTCAAGCGATTCTCATGCCTTAGCCTCCCAAGTAGCTGGGATTACAGGCGCCTGCCACCATGCCTGGCTAATTTTTGTATTTTTAGTAGAGACAGGGTTTTACCATGTTGGCCAGGCTGGTCTTGAACTCCTGACCTCAGGTGATCCTCCTGCCTCAGCCTCCCAAAGTTGGGGTTACAGGTGTGAGCCACCGCACCTGGCCTTTCTTTTTCTTTTTCTTTTGGCGGGGGCGGGGGACAGAGTCTTGCTCTGTTGCCAGGCTCTAGTGCAGTGGCGCGACCTCAGCTCACTGCAGCCTCCACCTCCTGGATTCAAGCGATTCCCCCGCCTCAGCCTCCTGAGTAGCTGGGACTACAGGTGTACGCCACCACACCCAGCTAATTTTTTATATTTTTAGTAGAGATGGGGTTTCACCATGTTGGCCAGGATGGTCTCAATCTCCTGACCTCGTGATCTGCCCACCTCGGCCTCTCAAAGTGCTGGGTTTACAGGCGTGAGCCACCGCGCCTGGCCCCGGCCTTTATTTTTCTTAATCTTTCTTCAATGTATGTATAGTTCATACTTATTTCAGTGTTTAATATTAGAAGTGTCTTGATCTTTATTTAGAAGTTTGGTGATGTTTTTGTGACCAGAAATATGGAATAGGAACTAACTCTTATTTATGTCAATTAGCCTTTGGTAAAATTGGTTTTGTTATATGTTTGGCTTAAGTTGCGGTTTCCAAGAGCCTATCGAAGACATTAAGGGAGGACTTAACTTTGCTTTAATTGGAAGCAGCATTGGTCAAGAATTGGGTTTCATTTTAGCGGAGCTTCCTGTGGTCTTTTTCCCTTGGACAGTTGTTGTGATGTTAGGTTTTTAAGTATTATCTCCCAACAACATCTATTTAGTTTTAGTTACCTCAAAGAGCTGTATTGTGGGTTTAGGCTACTATAAAAGAGTTTGGTATAGAGAATGAAGTACATGCCAAGGAATAGAGAGCTGAACTGAAGTCTAAAGGTCCTGAGTTTCAGAAACCAGGTCATATTGCAATAAAACCTTAGATTTCTTTTTATTTATGAGGTTGATAATTTTGATACATCCTGTTGTTCCATGCCCAGGCATATCACTAAGAGAAGATTTGGCAGGCATGGTACCTGGTTGAGAGCAAGAGCTTGAAAGATTTCCAAACAATTTTAAAAGGAACACTCTGATTTTGGGATGTTTTGAAAACTTCTGAAGTTTCATTTTTTTCTTTAAGAATGATAAAGAGTAACTGGATATAAGAGTAACAGCTAGATTGCCCACTCATCAGTGGTCTGATCAAATCATCTCACTTCTGCATGATTTTCCCCTTCTTGCTAATGGATGGCCAGGCAGAGGTATTTATCTTCCTCCTACTTACCCATTGTCATTAATATTTCAGACTTTGCTAATCTATCCTGGTCACTTTTCTGAAGAGGTTCTGACTTTGAAAAGATTTACACTTGAGAATGGTATGCATCCACATTTCCAGCCTTCAAGTCTGCCTTTCAGCTTCCAGCACTGTCTTAGATGTTTGTGTGTGTGTGTCCTTTCTGTCATCCCCTTTTATTTTAAATCCATTTCAGTAAATCAGTTTCAGGTAGATTTCTGATTGCAGTCTTGCTTTAAAGTCCTGGAGCTCATTTAGTCTAAGCTTCTGGAATAGCTTGTGTAACCATTTCCTTTGGTTAGGCAATTCCAATAAGTATGTCAGGGCCAAGCTTTCCAAGATTCGCCCCCCCCCCCTTTTTTTTTTTTCCTGAAAGGCCATACCCAGCATCAGTCTTGCACCTCCTCTTAGGGGTAATTAGTTATCAGACTGTGTGCTGGATACTGTGAGGGATCCAGAGAGATGAATCATATGCAGATCCTACCCTCAAGGAGCTTGTATAGCAGGAGGGGAAATAAGACATACACATTGATGTGTATGTCATACAAGGTATCAAATACAATGATTGTACAAGGTAATGTGGTGAGGACAGAAAGAGAGGTGCAGATCGGGCCTCCTTAATGCTCCCAAGGGAGGGACCAGTTCCAGAAAGCAGTAGAGAATACTTCGTGGAGAGATAGTAATTGAGTTGAGTGCCTGTAGTCCCAGCTACTTGGGAGGCTGTGGTAGGAGGATTGCTTGAGCCCAGGAGGTAGAGGCTGCAGTGAGCCAAGATCACACCATTGCACTCCAGCCTGGGCAACAGAGCGAAACCCTGGCTTTGAGAAAAAAAAAATAGAGAGAAAGAGTAGTTTAACATGGAATGAAGAGGATCCTGGAATGAGTCTCTTTTTTCTTGTATTTTTTATTATTATAATTTTTTTGAGGCAGGGTCTCCCTCTGTTGCCCAGGCTGGAGTGCAGTGGTGTGATCATAGCTCACTGTAGCCTCAAACTCCTGGGCCCAGGAGATCCTTCTGCCTCAGCCTCCTGAGTAGCTAAGACTTACACGTGTGTGCCACAATGCCTATTTAAAAATTTTTTTTTTATTCTTCTTTTTGAGATGGAGTCTCGCTCTGTCGCCCAGGCTGTTGTGCAGTGGCATTATCTTGACTCACTGCAACCTCCGCTTCCCAGGTTCCAGTGAAACTGTTGCCTCAGCCTCCCAAGTAGCTGGGATTATAAGCATGTGCCACCATGCTCGGCTAATGTATTTTGTGTTTTTAGTAGAAACAGGGTTTTGCTATATTAGCCAGGCTGGTCTTGAACTCCTGACCTCAAGTGATCCTCCACCTCAGCCTCCCAAAGTGTTGGGATTACAGGTGTGAGCCACAGCCCCTGGCCTTAAAAAATCCTTTTTTTAGAGACAGAGTCTCACTGTGTTGCCAAGGCTGGTCTCAAACTACTGGCCTGAAGTGATTCTCCTGTCTCAGCCTCCGGAGTTGTTGGGATTACAGACATAAGCCACAACACCCAGCCTCCTCTTACTTTTAAATACATTCTTTCCCTTATTATCCTAGAAGATGAACCCAGAATATTTTCCATGGGCTTGTAGATGTTGTAAATGGACTACTTCTGTAGCAAAATCAATTTATTTGCAATTAATGCATTAAAATAAGAGGTGATTAACTACGGTTGCTTTATTTATTTATTTATTTATTTATTTATTTATTTATTTTGAGATGGAGTCTTGCTCTGTCACCCAGGCTGGAGTGCAGTGGCATGACCTCGGCTCACTGCAACCTCCACCTCCTGGGTTTGCAGCCTCCACCTCCTTGGTTCCCGAGTAGCTGGGACTACAGGCATGTGCCACCACAGCCAGCTAATTTTTGCATTTTTAGTAGAGATGAGGTTTCACCATGTTGGCCAGGCTGGTCTCGAACTCCTGACCTCAGGTGATCCACCCGCCTTGGCCTCCCAAAGTGCTGGGATTACAGACGTGAACCACCGTGCCCGGCCTGCTTTATATATATAATATTAATTGTTGGGTGTTTTTAAAGCTCCATGCAAAGAATGGATCTGCTTTAGGAAAAGCCTTTTGAATAAAAGTACTCACTTTTTCCAGGAATTTACATTAACAATTTATGTTCTTCTAAGAGACATTACTAATAATATCTGCAAAGATGTTAGAAAACATGCTTCAAACCTTTTTCTCTTTTTTCCTGGTGAGAAGAACTTGTGTCCTTCAAAAGAAGATTACCTTTGTCTTTCGAAGTCAGGAATTTATAAAAAGAGTTTGCTGGATGGAAAAATCATAAAGGCCATAACTCTAAAACCTAATGTAAAGAAGAACAGTTAGAGCTGTCCAAAGATGGGAAAGAATGTCTTACCAGTAAGCCAGTTTCCCAGAACTGGAGTGGGGGGGCCCTCAAATGTAAGCTGGTTGAACACTTAAGGTAGAATCACCCGGGGTTGGGCAGAGGTTGAAGAAAAGCTGCGAGCGTCTTATGAAGGGGTGGGCCTGAGTGTCTCCTTATGTCTTTTTTTTTTTTTTTCAGTCCTGAACTTCTATGATGCAGTAAAATGTAAAGGATATTATTGACTTGTATTTTTCGCTTTACCTATTTGGGATTTCCTAATGTAGATGGGCTTCTCAATTTTAAAACTTAACCTTTAATACATTTTCAGTTCCAAAAAAATTTGATAACTTCTGTTTTGTACCTAACTTCCACTACTACAGTATGTGGCTCTGAGCCAGCCAAAGATTCATGATCTGTTGACTACACAGATGTTTGCGGGCTGATCATGCCTGCACATCTGTAGTTGGGACAGTTCAAAATTTAAAAGCAGACTGCACAGATGGTTCTAGACGTGCTTTTTGAATTGTGTACCTTTGTAATGTTTTGGGGGGATATCAGAGGACAGCCAGAATTTGTTACCAGACTTTTAAATCGTACAGGTCTTTGTACTCCAACTAAACCTACCCATCCATTAGCAAGTGTACAGAGATATCGTCCTGGCAATTGTGCATCTTTCTCCTTTGACCTTAGCAGTTTGCATGGCAGATTGTGCCAAGATGAGGCCTGTCCAGGGACCCATGCAATAAAAGGTTAGATTCTTTTAAAGCTTTTTGATAATTATTATTATTTCCAGAAAGATATTTTTGTTTGCCCCATTTAAAAAAGGTTAAATTGAGTCACTGTCTTCATTTTCATGAGTACCTTGTAGAAAACTATTAATAATGATAAATAACTAAACTTCTCTAGATTACCTTAATTTTTTTGTTGTTGTTCTCAGTACATCTAAGAGAGTAGCATATAGGCCATGTGTATGTGGTGATAAATGAAAATGCAGGGGTCTTACTTGGTTATTTAGGACTTAAGATTTTATCTAGTCATTTTCAACTGTGATTGAACACTTCCCTTTAACTCCCTTCAGAAACTCCAAGATCATATTGTATCCCAGGTACTAGAATTTCTGTTCAGCTGTTTATAGGCCTCCACCACAAGAAATTGGCTCCAAACCTATTCCCATTACATCATCACCCACTAATGTCATTACACCAGAATGAAATCTGCTTTGAGGCTTGTATTGTTGTTTTCCTTCCATTTCTTTCCCCTCATCATTTCCTTTAGAAGGAAAAGGGAAGGAAAAAAAAAGAAAAAAATCAGAGACCTGTAAACATTTAAGAGTGAATTGGACATCCCCACAGGCTAAACCTAGAGTTGTCAGCTTTCATTCCATTCTGCTGTGATAGAGTGTTCTGCCCAGTATGTATCCACATGGAGCCTGGAAAGTAACAAGTCTGGTCATGTGACAACTGGCTTTGGTGCTTTGCTTTCAGCCCCTCAGAATTAGTTCCTAATGGCTCACATAGCTCCCTGCCAGCATCCCGTCACTGGCACGTTAAACCTTTTCAAATAATTCCTCAGAATAGAGATTCTTAGGAGAGCACTAAATTTCTCCATTCTTTGTGTTTAATTAAACTGTTCTTGCATTTTAATATTTGCCAGATAAGCGCTTAAGACATTACAATACAGGTTGAGTATCCTTAATCTGAAAATCTGAAATCCGAAACTTTTTGAGCCCTGACATGACGCTCAAAGGAAATGCTCATTTTCGATTTTGGATTTTCAGATTTGGGATGCTCAACCAGTAAGTATAATGCAAACTTATTCCAAAAAAAAAAAAAAAAAAAAAAAAGGCTGGGCGCGGTGGCTCACGCCTGTAATCCCAGCACTTTGGGAGGACGAGGCAGGTGGATCATCTGAGGTCAGGAGTTTGAGGCAGCCTGGCCAACATGGCGAAACCCCATCTTTACTAAAAATATAAAAAATTAGCTAGGCGTGGTGGCAGATGCCTGTAATCCCAGCTACTCAGGAGGCTGAGGCAGGAGAATCACATGAACCTGGGAGGCAGAGGTTGCAGTGAGCTGAAATTGCACCACTGCACTCCAGTCTGGGCAACAAGAGCGAAACTCTGTCTCAAAAAAAAAAAAAAAAAAAAAAGTCAAAATCCCAGACATTTCTGGTCCCCAGGCATTTCAGAATTTCAGATAAGGGATACTCAACCTGTGTTATCTACAGTTATAGCTGACATGAGGATCCTTATTCATCTTCCCTCCTTTGTCACAAAGCAGTTGACTAAATTGCAGGTTCTAGCCCTCTTTCTCTATCCTAATTTTAATTCTACTTTTTTTTTTTTTGCGATGGAGTCTTGCTCTGTTGCCCAGGCTGGAGTGCAATGGCGTGATCTTGGCTCACTGCAACCTCTGCCTCCTGGGTTCAAGCGATTCTCCTGCCTCAGCCTCCTGAGTAACTGGGATTACAAGCGTCTGCCGCCACGCCCGGCTAATTTTTGTATTTTTAGTAGAGATGGGGTTTCACCATGTTGCCCAGGCTGGTCTCGAACTTTTGACCTCAGGTGATCCACCTGCCTCGGCTTCCCAGAGTGTTTGGATTACAGGCATGAGCCACCGCACCTGGCCTCTCCTTCGTTTTTTTAACTGTCTTTAAGGCTTCCAGTTGCCAGTGTGCTGTGTTAGGCTTGTGTTTAATAACATGGTTAAGGTTAGGAAAGAACTGGGCGAACTGGCAAGTAGTTTCATTTCAGGGGCTTCATGTTACCTACACAGTTAATGGCCTCATGTCCTTTGAGACAGATTTGTCTGAGATTAGAAGGAATAATCATCATCAGGAGCCCCAGAGAAACAGGATCACAGTGTCTAAAACAAAAGAAGAAACTTAGCGTGCTCTCTCTCTTTTTTTTTTTTTTTTTTTGAGACGGAGTCTCGCTCTGTCGCCCAGGCTGGAGTGCAGTGGCGGGATCTCGGCTCACTGCAAGCTCCGCCTCCCGGGTTCACGCCATTCTCCTGCCTCAGCCTCCCAAGTAGCTGGGACTACAGGCGCCCGCCACTACGCCCGGCTAATTTTTTGTATTTTTAGTAGAGACGGGGTTTCACTGTTTTAGCCAGGATGGTCTCGATCTCCTGACCTTGTGATCCGCCCGCCTCGGCCTCCCAAAGTGCTGGGATTACAGGCGTGAGCCACCGCGCCCGGCCCTCTCTCTTTTTTTAAGAGACAGACGCTTGCTATGTTGCCCAGGCTGTCTTGAACTCTTGGGCCCAAGTGATCCTCCTGGCTCACCTTCCTGAGTAGCTGGAACCACAGGCATGCACCTTTGTGCCCAGCTTGGCTTTTATCTTTTAAGACTGGGTTTACATTTCTGTACAGTACTAATCACTGGGGACTTTTAATATAAGAATTTGCTGAAGGCTGTGGCATGGAGGATGAGAAGCCACAGAGAACTTGAAAAAGCTTTGGAAAGAATGGCATTGAAAATTATGGGCTAGACTAGGGCAACAAAGTACTTTCCTCACCCCACACCCATATAAGAAGTTAAAAGTCCTTGATTAACATTAGGATTTCAGCTTACATTTCTAGCAACTTTTGATATTCTAGTTGGAGGTCTTCAGTAGTCTCTATGGTATAAGCTAGATAGAAGGAAAAACTTTCCTACCAATGTTTTTAAGATGTAAGTCTGTGTTAAAATCTTTTTAGCGTAATTATATACCTTATCAAACTGAAAGATTGAATAGATTCATAAAAACATCCACAAATATACAAATGCCTAATCTGGACAGAAAGTCTGACTTTATTGTTTCTAATGTGTCTTATGTATGTGTTTATTTTCAGTTGTCGAGATGTCCACAGAAGGAGGATTTGGTGGTACTAGCAGCAGTGATGCCCAGCAAAGCCTACAGTCGTTCTGGCCTCGGGTCATGGAAGAAATCCGGAATTTAACAGTGGTGAGGAAGAATGAGAAACTTTTATTAGAAACTTTTAAAGAGTATAAAGAGCTCTGGGAAATTAACCAAAACTCAGACTAAAGCATTTTTAATTTCAAGCACATTTACAGAGGCATGGTTCACCCCTGACCTGTGGGTAGGAAAATGAAAACATAATTTGCCTTCCGTGAGGTAACTGCAAGAGTCTTTTATATCTCAGTGTTCTTCCATAGGCGTGTGGTGTGCAGTGGATACTTTGACTTGGAGGTAGTTTAATGTGAGGCATATCCTTTAGGACTTACAGAAAAACAGAGATCTCATCTTCCTTCAGTAGCTGTAGCTCAATTTTTTAGGCCTGATTTAGTGGCCCTACGACATTTCTAGAACTTGGTAAAAACTATTGGGCAATTTATTCAACAACAAATCTATTGTGAGTCAGGAACTCTTTCTAGGTGTTAAAAAGATATACTTTGATCGCAGTTTCTCAACAGCTGCATTATTGACATTTTGGGCCAGATAATTCTTTGTTGTGAGGGGCCGTCTTATGCATAACAGCATGTTTAGCAGCACCCCTAGCCTCTACTCACTAGATGCCAGTAGCACCCCTCCCCGAGTTGTGACAACCAGAAAATGTCTCCAGACATTGGCAAATGTCCCCATGGGCAAAAATCATCCCTTGTTGAGAACTACTGACTCAGAATAATTAAATATAACCTCGGCCTGTGAGGAGCTTACAATCTAGTAATTACAACCAGAATAATTTAGTCAGTAGGTATTTACTAAGTACTTACTGAATCAGGCACAGTGATGAGTCCTGAAGCAGTAAAAGTCAAGGAGCACAGAGGACATAGTGCTTGATTCTTTCTGGTTGAGTTTAAGTAAAGGGAACATTTTTGTTGAGTCTTAAAATATGAGTAAGCATTCACCAGATGTGAAGGATGGGAGGGCAAAGACAAGGGCATGCATAAAGGCATGGAGGCCCAGAGAGGACCTTGTAGTTAGGGGAACATCAAGACATTCAGAGTGCCTGGAGGTTACTGTGTGTTTAGTGGAGGTTGAGGGAAGGAGTAAGTATGTGGTATGAGAGTGGTAGTGGAAGGTGAGACAGGTTAGAGTTGGAATATTTTCATAATACAGTTGTCATGTCCTTAATGAAGAATGTTCATTAAGGTGTCATTTTAGCACATACTAAAGGAGCTCCCCATGTTGGCTGTGTCATTCCTGCCCTGGAAATACTAGCATCCTGGCAGAGCAGACACTGGATTCCTTCCTGATGTAGAATTAATGTTGCAATTGCTTAAGGTTAGTGACCTTTAACTTCTGACGTTACAATGTCAGTTTATTCATTCACTCAACAAATACTTATTATGTACCAACTAAGGCTATGCTAGATACTGTGGATACAGTAATGAACCAGACAGACAGGATCATTGCGCTCATGGAACATATATTCTGATGAGACAGGCTAATAAACAAGTAATTAATGAAATGAAATAACTTATTATGATAAATGCCCACTGACTTCAGGGATAAAAAGTAATTCATGTTTTGGATATACCTCTGGGTCATGTTTGTTTATATGAAGAGTTTTCAGCAGTTGAACTTGGCTTAGCCTTTCTCAGACTGGCCTGGGTTCAGAGTGGATTTCCACTGAAAAGTCATTGTTCCTCTTCTGCAGTCTAAGGTAGTAGTTATCTAAACTGTCTCAGATATGAAAGAGAAGGGAGGAATAAATGAAATGATAAAGTCAAAAGGATGGGGTGTTTTGTTCATATTTTAGGGGGTTAATCTCATGATTAAGCTTATCAGCTTTTGGTGCTGGGGTCAGCTTGGTGTAAAATGAATGCTGTCCTGGGGTGTGGTGGGACTAGGCCAATCGAGCAAGTCTGTGCCGCAGCTTGAGCCGAGAGGCATAAATCCAGGATCAGGCAAGTGGCCAGATAAACTCTGGAGGTTTAAGCTCAGCACTTAACTTTTCTGTTTTGTTGGACTTTGATTTTTTTTTTTTTTTAGTTGTAGTAAAAAAACACATAAAATTTCGCCCCTTATCCATTTTTAAATGTACAGTTCAGAAGTGTTAAGTATAATCACATTGTTATGGAACTTACCTTGAGAATTTTTTCATATTGCAGTACTGAAACTGTGCACTCAATAAACAGCCACCATTCTGCTTTCTATGAATTTGACTATTTTTGATACCTCATAGAAGTGGGATCATATCGTACAGTCCCCTACTTACAATGATTCAACTTAATGTTTTTTTTCCACTTTACAGTGGTTAGAAAACGATGTGCATTCAGTAGCAGTTGTACTTTGAGTACCCATTCAACCATTCTGTTTTTCGCTTTCAATCTAGTATTCAATAAATTATGAGATACTCAACACTTTACTATAAAATAGGGTTTGTGTTATATTATTTTGCCCAACTTTAGGCTAATGTAAGTGTTCTGAGCACATTTAAGGTGGGCGAGGCTTAACTATGATGTTTGATAGGCTAGGTGTAGTAAATGCATTTTCAACTTAGGATCTTTTCAACTTAACAATAGCTTTATCAGGATGTAACCCCATTGTAAGTAGAACAACATCTGTATTTGTCTTTTTGTCTTATCTTATTTCACTTAGCATGTCTGTTGAAGCATGTGACAGGATGTCTTTCCTTTTTTATCTTTTTTCTTTTTTTTTTTTCCTTTTTGGAGACAGGGTCTCACTCTGTCATCCAGGCTGGAGTGTAGTGGTACAATTATGGCTCACTGCAGCCTCGACCTCTCAGGCTCAAGCGATCCTCCCGCCTCAGCCTCCTGAGTAGCTGAGACTACAGGTGCACGCCACCACACCCAGCTAATTTTTGTATTTTTCTGTAGAGGCAGGGTCCCACCATGTTACCCTGGCTGGTCTCAAACTTCTGGGCTCAAGCATTCCTCCCACATCTGCCTCCCAAAGTGCTGGGATTATAGGTGTGAGCCACCATGCGTGGCCTTTGTTTTTTCTTTTTTAAAGAGACAGGGTCTCACTCTGTTCATTGCTGGAGTGCAGTGGCAGGATTATAGCTCACTGTAGCCTTGAACTCTTGGGCTCAAGGGACCCTTCCTACTCAGTCCCCCAAGTAGCTAGGACTCTAGTTGTGCACCACCACACCTGGCTAATTAAAAAAAAAAAATCTTATGTAGAGATGGAGGTCTCACTATGTTGCCTAGGCTGGTCTCAAATTCCTGGCCTCAAGCAATCCTCTTGCCTTGGCCCTCCAAAGCACTGGGATTACAGACATGAGCCATCATGTCTGGCCTATCCTTTTTTTTTTTTTAAGGCAGAATCATACCCTGTTGTATGTATATACCACATTTTGTTTATCCGTTCATCTGTTAATGGACATTTGGGTTGGTTTCACCTCTTGGCTATTGTGAATAGTGCTGCTGTGTTACATGAGTGTGCAAATACCTCTTCAAGACCCTGGGCTTTGATTTGTAACCTACTTGGTTTACAAGTTTGATTGCCAACAAAGCTGATCATGATGTTGACCAAATTTTAGTACCTAGACTTAGTCTATCAGAAGTTAAAAGAGAATTACTTTGAGGGATTCAGTTTTGGTTCAAGTTTTGTGGGTGAAGAGAAAGAAAAGTAAAGAGGAAGTTGTCTTTAATCCTTCTTGTATTGGTGACTAATTAAAATTCTCCTCCTATGTACTTTTGAAAGGGACTCCTAGACCTCTGCCATGCTATGTCTTTTATATCAGGTGCTTAGAACAATGTCTGGCATGTAGTAGGTGCACAATAAATATTTGAACAAATTAGACTCCACTTCAGGTTTAGTGCAAAGCAACATCAATTCCATATTTGAGTAAGAATGCAATCCAGTAAAGTCAGGGTAATTTTTTTCCCTTGTGTGACTCTTATTTTCCCCTCTTCTCAGGAGTGCAACACGTGATGGCATCTGCTTCTCTGACTGCGCTGCTGCCTGTGTAACATGACCAAACATTTTAGCATTTAATCTGTCCCTTTCCAGAACTCAACAGTACTTAAAACCAGACTTCCTCAGATGTGTCAGAGCCTCTTAGGTTGACACCTCACAATATCTAACAGATTAAAAAGAAAAAAATTCCTTATGTTTAAACTAGCCAATCATAAGTAAAACTTACGAGAATATTCATAAAATGTGATCTCAGACTGGGACACAATTTGTTTCAAAAAGAAGTAATTGAAGTTTGCTAGATGATATATTTCATGATGTGTTGGAAACACTGGCCTCAAGTCCTTTTGGTCTGCGTCCTGTAAAAGCAATTTATCTTTCATTTTAGCTTGTTCTCATGATTCTTAAAAGCTCTGTAGTTGTCTATAAATCCAGGTGGTGTTCAGCTGGGATTGAAATTAGTTAAAAACCATATCAAGATGATTGTGCACCAGAGTGATTGTGTAAAACCCTATATTCCCGCACAGCAGAGCTCTGGGAACAGCAAATAACAGACTTCTTCGTGTTGAGTTTTGCCCCAGTGGGCCTCTTTGAAAATAGGAAAGAGAAAGCTAACTTTGTCTTTATGGAGGTGAGTTGGGGGCAGGTGGGCAACAATGCTGAATTTCGAAAAGAAAAATCTAATTCTCTACTTACTCTTTACATCCCATTCAGCCTTCACTTAACTGTAATTGAGTGCCTAGGTCACTTTCTTTTAATTGGCAGTTTCATCTTTTCATTCCTCAGTGCCTCCTGATTGGGTGATGACATTTCTAACATTACAATCAAATCAGATAACTGTTTAAACAAGAACTTGGTGATGAAGGTTGGTGGACTGTTACAAAACAGGTCCTGTGCTGTGTGAGCCCTTTCTGTAGAGCAGTGCTTCTCAAACTTTATTGTCTGTATGAACCACGTGAGGGAGGATCTTCTTAAAATATTGATGCTGATTTAGTAGGTTAGGAACGGAACCTGGGATTCTGTGTTTCTTTTGAGTTCCCAGGTGATACCATTGCTGGTCCAAGGACCTTACTTTGAGTAGCAGGGCCGTAAAACAGTAGTCCTTAACTCTCACTTGGATCATAGTCACAAGGGGAGTTTTCAAAAAACATGATGCCAGTACTCTACCCACTAGAGCAGGGGTCCCCAACCCCTGGGCCACAGACCGGTATGGGTCCATGGCCTGTTAGGAACCTAGGAACTGGGCTGCACAGCAGGAGGTGAGCAGCCAGTAAGCAAGCATTACTGCCTGAGCTCCACCTCCTGTCAGATCAGCAGTGGCATTAGATTCTCAAAGGAATGTGAACCCTATCATGAACTGCGCATGTGAGGGATCTAGGTAGCACACTCCTTATGAGAATCTAATGCCCACCCTGCCCATCTCTGGAAAAATTGTCTTGCACAAAACTGGTTCCTGAGGTTGGGGACCACTGTCCTAGAGTTCCTGATTCAGTTGGTCTCCAGGAGAGAGCTCAGGCATCTTGTTTTTCAAAAGCTTTTCAGGTGATTCTAACCTGCAGCCCCAAGATTGAGAATCATTGATTTCAAAGGGTTGAGAATCTTGACTTGCCAGAGTGCCTGACTGGGTAGGCCTGGAAAAGGTTTCTCTTTATTATTTGAAACTCTGGATGTTCTTCAGTGCAGCCCAAGATCTGTTGACTTTTCTTTGTCTCCAAACTCTCATTGAGTGAATTCAGATTTGAATTTGTCTTGAAATGCAGCAGTTTCAGATGGAAGCATTTTTAACGTAGTTCTTTGGTAGTGGTCAGGAGCATGAGAATGTTCTGAGAGATAATCTGCTCTTCTGCCTTACTGATAGAACTCCCAAAAGTAGGGGGGAGCAGTGTGTGTCAGCTGTTCTTCCAGTTGAATCAGTATCAGGAGAAGGAGTTAAGGAGTTAAATGTTACTCACTTCAGTTACATGGTAGCTAGTGAAGTGGGGAGCATGAATCCAAGTTTCGTGGGCCTCAATCTACTGATTGTAGAGGGCCTCCCTTTTCCAACAAGCTTATGGTAAATCCTTACATGTAACTAGAAGGCTAGGATAGGATTATAGAAAACTGGGTGATTGTCAACAGGGATGAACCATACACACCCCTCAAGATCCACTTTTACACACTGCTTCTTGAGATCTCAAGGTTTCAGGAACATGAAAAAATAGTTTGTCACAAAGAAAAGCTTTGGGAAGGGGATTAAAGCAGAGCTTATTATAAATTTCTGCCTCATTTTACATCTCTGCAAGGCGGGAATGATCTCTTGATCCTTGACTTTTGTTGCTTTTGATTAAAGAAGAGAAATTGAAGGAGTAATAGTTTACTCTTTCAATTTGGGGAAAGAGGTCTTTTTTATCAACTTTGGGCTTTAGTTAAGTAATCATGGAACGTTCTTGTACAAATTATATTTAAAACCAAGCCAAACAAGAGCACACTTGCAAGAGAGCTAAATGTATGATCATCTTGTGCTGTATGTATTAGCCTGGGAGGTTTTCCAAAGGAATGATCATCCCTAGCATTCTCTTTGGCATTTCTATGTAGTGTCATCATCTTCTGTGATATGCCACACAAGAAGGAAGACCAGTGGTTGATTTCTGGGATTAAACTTTTAAAAAAACTCTTTAGGATCTGGCCCCAACCCAGTATCCTCTTTCCTGCTTTTCCCCTCTATACTCAGGTAGTAGATCTAAAACTTAAATAGGCTGTGATTTTTTGTCTCTCTCTCTGTCTTTGTTGTTCTGTCTGAATAACATTCTCATACTTTTTCAACAGGCAAATTCCCAGCATCCCTTAGACACAATTCAGATGTCATCCCCTTTGTGGAACATTTCCCAATCCCTCACTCTCCCTCCAGCCCCACATTGCTAGCTGTCCCTAGCAATATGTCCTTCTTTGTGTCCCCGCAGGGGATCCCTCCCCTCCAGTATTGGGTAGGGGATTATAATGTTTTTATGTGACTATCTCTGACAAACCACAAGCTCTTCAAAGGTAGGAGTAGATGTGTATTTTTTTTCTTTCTTTTTTAAATAGTGATGGGGTCTCACTATGTTGACCAGACTGGTCTCAAACTCCTGGCCTCAAGCGATTCTCCCATCTCAGCCTTCCAGAGTGCTGGGATTACAGGCATGAGCCACCATGCCTGGCCTACATGTGTATTTTTTGCATAGTAGTAGGTATCATACATTTACTATTAGTTGAGTTGCTTGAATCAGTAAATGAAAGAGCAAGGGGAAAAACAAGAATAGAATGAACCTGCGCTACTGTTTCCTTTTGTTGAAATTTTAATAAACTGAACTTCTAAGTCTCTGTTACTCCAGGGTTAGTTTTAGTAGAGGGTTCATGGAAAATGTTGATACCTAATTTGGAAAAGGAAAAGATGAAAAATTGGTGTTTGAAGTTTGTAGAGCAGAGTGGTAGCCAAGCAGCTTGTTGGGTTTGCATGGAAAAATTAGATGTCTTGGTGTACATTTTATCCTAATAGATTCTCTTCTTTCTATAATCATAAAATAGGTTCTGGGAAGACTGTTGATGTTTTTCCAAAATACCTTTTTTTGACATATATTTGAGATTTTCTGTTGGTCTTGCAAAAGAAAGTTCACTTATGCTTGTTAATTACATCAAATCTGAAATAATATATGCTCCTTCCATAATGTGATGATGCAAATTCCCAGGTGAGCATATTAGGTTTAGTGAGTCACATTTCAGACCACTTATAGAATCAATCATTTGACACCTAGTCCCAGTAGAGATTTTGCTGATTTTAGCTAATATCTGCCTTTGCACCTTCCTCTTCATTGCAGCTCTGAAACTCAAAATTGATTTTTTTCCTAGAATTGCATCCATCATTGGGCATGTGTTTAAATACCAGTAGTTTCAAAATAAAACAAAAAAGGGCTTAAGTCTCAAATTATTGAGTAGTGCTGATCAAAAAAGCCCTTTCCTAAACTATATCCACAGTGAAGTTATATGGTCCTCCCCCACTCCAGGCTTGTTAAGAAAAAATAACACAGCTGTTCCTAAAAGGCAGCTGACAAATTCACCCTCATCCTTTTTCTATACTCCTCTACCCCCACTTGAAACAAATTTTGGAGACAAGGCCATTGCTACTGTGATGAGAAAGGAGCTCTCCTCCCCAGTTTCTGTTGTCAGGTTAGTGCAAATGTCAGAAATGGCCACTATCAGTTGTAAAGAACTGTGGATCACTGTGGTCAAGTGCCCCGGCGTTGCTGTTAGTTTGGTCACTGAATGGAAGAAAGAACTGGCAGTTTAGAGGAATACCCCTGAGACAGAAATCTCATTTTAATCTGCATATTGCAGACTGGTAAACTTACTTGGAAAAAAAAAGAAGGCGCTCATAATGTCCCTCTATGTTGTGCTGACGAAAAAAAAAAAAAAACAGATATTGCTTGGGGCTGTGTTTCATGAGAGCACTGTTAGAGGCCATCCTAAGCTTTTTCTAAAGCCCATTAATTCTTTGAAGACCTGCATATGTTAAGTAAAGAAGAATTTTGCTCTGGAGCTTGTATTTTCTTCATTTCATCTGTACCTTCTCTCCCGACATACGCTTCCTGAAGAGAGGGACCAAGCCAGAGTGTTTCCTACTGCCTGTCATGCTTTGCCACACTGTTGATTGTCCCCACCATTTATGCATCTCTTGTTGTTCATTTCAGAAAGACTTCCGAGTGCAGGAACTCCCACTGGCTCGTATTAAGAAGATTATGAAACTGGATGAAGATGTGAAGGTGAATTCACATTCATTTTTATTATTTCTTATTGAAGCTAAGTGATGGGTAGGTTATTGCTCATTTCTCTAGAGCTCAAAGTTTAATTAAACAAGAACACACAAAAATTACTGTCTGTTGCTTTGTTATTTGGTTCCTGTGCAAAATTGTTAAGTGAGCCAAAATTGAGCAGTTTTGGTTACTATATGGATCATCCTGAAAATTTTTTAGATGTTGAAAAAATAGTTGATGTTGGGTTTTTTTTTTTTTTTTGAGAGTTTTACTCTGTTATCCAGGCCGCAGTGCAGTGGTGCGAGCTTAGCTCACTGCAACCTCTGCCTCCCAGGTTCAGGCAATTCCCATGCCTCAGACTCCCGAGTAGCTAGGATTACAGGCGCCCGCCACCACACCTAGCTAATTTTTGTATTTTTTGTAGAGACAGGGTTTCACCATGTTGGCCAGGCTGGTCTTGAACTCCCGACCTCAGGTGATATGCCTGCCTCTGCCTCCCAAAGTGCTGGGATTACAGGTGTGAGCCACCGCATCTGGCCTTTTCTTTCTTTTTGAGACAGGGTCTCACTCTGTCACCCAGGCTGGAGGGCAATGGCATAATCACGGCTCACTGTAGCCTTCACCTCCCAGGCTTAAGTGATCTTCCCACCTCAGCCTCCCAAGTAGCTGGGACTACAGGCACGTGCCATCATGTCTGGCTTAATTTTTAATGTTTTTTTGGAGTGGGGGACAGGATCTCACCATGTTGTCCAGGCTAGTCACGAACTCCTGGGCTCAAGCAGTCCTCCAGCCTCAGCCTCCCAAAGTGCTAGGATTAGGCATGAGCCACCATGCCCAGCTGGTATCTCACAGTTCTGTTCACAGTGTAGTATATACATGTATCATCAAATCAACAGGACAGTGCCATCATCTTAGCGTCTTACATAGTTTGTTGATCTGAACTCTTAAGAAATTTTTGATAATGATATTCTACCTGTTCTAACCTTTTGATCTATGAGTTTCTTTTACATGAATAATACTTGTGAGAGGGTTTGCGTGGGCTTGGCCATTTCTGTATTCCTAGGAGTCCATCTCCATTACAGATCTCAGAGAAAGAGGAACTCTGTCTCTTTACCACTCAAAATTAATAGTCTTTTGTATTTTCACAGAAAGCTAACAATTGATAGTAATTTTCCCTTTTATTAGCTCCTTTCTTCCTCACAGTAGCCCTGTGAGATTTGATATAATAAGAATTATCAGTTCCATTTTACAGACAATGGAAATAGACACAAAGAGGTTAAGTGACTCACCCAGAGTGATAGGACCAAGATCCCATTTCCCATCTGCTGCTTCTTTAACTCCAGAGCTCTTTCTGTGGCTGTATCCTGCACAGACTACCTCACCAAAGGTTTAGAACCTTGTTTGACCAAGAGCTTCAACTTTGAAATCAGACACATCAAGAAAGTTTATATGGCTTGAGCATTTCCTATATGCCAAGCCCTGGGCTGGGTACATATATTATCTCATTTGATTGCCACAATAAAACTGAAAGGTTATCCTCTTTTTCAGTACATGAAAAAGCCCAAAAGGATGGGAAGCCTGCAATTTTATCCAAATCCATTGGCTTTCAAGCTCATTCTCCTTCCTCATATTGTTTCTCCTTGGATTAGAACCTAAACCCTGCCACTTACTGGCTCTATGGCTGTGGGCAAGTCACTTCATCTCTCTTGACCCCTAGTTTCTTTGAAAGGCTATTATAAGAGTAAGAAAACACCTTGCACAAGGTTTGGCGCATGGTATGTGCTAGATAAGTATTCTTTCTCCCTGTTACCTGCTTTGTTCCCACTCATGGATTTATTTTACCTTGGAATCTCTTGAGTATACCACCTCATTTTTTGACCCTTGCCCCATAGTCCCATGCCAGGCAATGAGGCAAGAGACAGACTGGTTTGCATGACTTGCTGGTGATTGACAGGGAGGGCCTGTGTCTGTTACAGATGATCAGTGCAGAAGCGCCTGTACTCTTTGCCAAGGCAGCCCAGATTTTTATCACAGAGTTGACTCTTCGAGCCTGGATTCACACAGAAGATAACAAGCGCCGGACTCTACAGGTATTATTGCAGACTTAGATTAGGAAAACTGGGGTAAGCAGCAGCCTTTGCCTGTTTTCCTGCGTGGTGTTGGAGAAAGATTGTTCTCCTTTAGGACCAAAGATTGTTCTCCTTTAGGACCAAAGATTGTTCTCCTTTAGGCCTCTATCAAGCTGACGTGTCATTGGCATCACCACTGTTGGGAGGCAGACATACCTTCTAGCCATGGTGATTGTGTTTCTCCACCAAAAATCTTAATCAATTCTCTCCTGGTTTTCACAGCTTAGTGACTGAACTCTTTTCCCTTGGTGAGCCCTCACTATAAACAGAGGCTCAAGTGATAAGAGTATTTACCTGTTTCCAAACGTAATCAACTTCTGGTTGGGAGCCTTGAGAGATTCCAGGAAGTATCATCAGTCTCACTAGCTTCATTAGGCTTTTTGTTCCTTGTCAGCCTTCCTGGGAGTCCTTTTCTTTTTCTTCTTCTTTTTTTTTTAATTTTAATTTTTAACCTAGCGAATTCACATTCATACTGTATGCAGAGCCCTTGGTCATTGACTCTAGAAACCCTCACCCTATAGCCAAGCCCTGGCTCTTAGAGGAAAGATTTCCCAGATACAAGAAGAAGAGTGTAACAAGTATAAAACAGTGGTGGCAGTATTTTAACAATGAAGCCAAGAAAGTAAATTATTTTCTCTTCTTGTTTCCCTTTACCTACAAAGTAGAAAATGCATGTGTTTATTCATTTATTCTAAAAATACTTACTGAACACCCACAATGTGCCGGGCACTTTTCTAGGCTCTGGGGATTAACGATACACACAACAGACAAAAATCCTTATCTGTGGGAAGCCTGCATTCTAGTACAGCTTGTCAATGCGTCATAAAGTTAGGATTTGTGTACATTACTATATGAAAGTTTTAAAGCAAAAAAAGCAAAAAATACTGAGCTCCAATAAATGATATGCATGTTGAAGTCACAAAATTTATGTTGCCTTGAAGTTAGTCTGTGGATCCAGAGAGATCCAGTTAAAGCTCCCTTCAAGATCAATTCAGATTAGAAAATAAAATAGGCAAAACACTTGGACAGACCTTCAGAAAAAAAGATAAACAAATGCCCAATAAACCCATGAGAAGATATGCAACATCATTAGTCATCAGGGAAATAAAAAACTGCAGTGAGATACTGTTTTACACCCACTAGAATACCTAAAATAAAAAAGACTGACAATACCACAGTTGGTGAGGAAGTGGAGTGTCTGAAACTCATATATTGCTGGTCAGAATCTAAAGTGGTCAGTCAGTTTGAAAAAATATTAGACATTTTCTGATAAACATATCCCCCTACTCTGTAACCCAGCCATTTCATTCCTAGGTTTGTACCCAAAAGAACTGTAGCCATTCTTATATAAAAATGCTCTTAACAACCTTGTTTATACTACCTCAAAACTGGAAACAACTCAAGTGTCCATCAATATAGGAATATATAAACAAATTCTGAGGTATTGATGAAATGGATTCCTCCTCAGCAATAAAAAGAAACAAACCATTGCTCCATACAACATGGATAAATCTCAAAGATACTATGTTAACAAAAGGAACCAGAGGGAAAAAATTACATAGTGCATGATACAATGCATTATTACCACCTATAGTGATAGAAATCAGAGTTGTGGTTGCCCAGATTTAGGGGAGTGTGGGGAAGGATATTGACTGGAAAGGGCTAGAAGGAACTTTCTATATTCCTTTTTTATTTTTTGAGATAGGGTCTCACTCTGTGGCCTAGGCTGGAGTGCAGTGGCGCAATCACAGCTCATTGCAGCCTCGACCTCCTGGGCTCAAGTGATCCTCCCACCTCAGCCTCCCAAGTAGCTGAGACTACAGGTGCATGCCACCATATCTGGCTTAAAATTTTTGTTGTTGTTGTTGTAGAGATGAGGCCTTACTATGTTGCCCAGAGCTGGTCTTGAAACTCCTGGCTCAAGCGATCCTCCTGCCTCAGGGAATTTAAAAAGCAAATAAAAATTTTAGGAAGACCAACTTAAGTATATCTATGTTTCCAAAATACTCTAGAATATTTTATTATATGCTGGAGATGTTTATTATTTTTCTTTTTCCCCTTTTATTCCATCAATAAATGAGCCATTTAGATAGATTGAGTAGATGACATCAAAAAATGTGACACTATATTGTAGTCATCTTAAATGAGTTCTGGCAATCTTAAGATGGGCCCTGCTTCAGTTGGGAGGGTTTATCGTCAAGCTCGTGGTTGGCAAGAAGGGCGGACTAGAGTTTTGCATTTCAGAGGCTTGGGGCCATCACAGATACAAGGGAAAGAAAAAAAAAATTTCCATCCTCTCCTGTTTTGTCCGATGAGTCACCTTTTAAGGTGTGGTATATAGAGTTTGCTAAGGATTTCTGTTAGTGTGTTAACATTTTCCCCAGCATTTTATTATGAAAAATTTCAAACATAAGCAAAGTTTACAGTGAATACCTGTATACTTACAACCTAGATTCTACCATAAACATTTTACTATGCTTATTTTATTCTCATATCTGTTTATCCCTCTATCCATCCTTCAAGTAATCTGTTTTTAAGTGCATTGTAAAGTTTACTTTGCCCAAATACTTTAACATGCATATCATTCACTAGCGTTCAGTGTTTTTTCATATTGTTTTTCCTTTTGCTTTAAATCTTTAGTAAAGTACACAAATCTTAACTATACATAATATGTTGGGTTTTAGTAAAAATCTTTTAATTTTATTATTCAAAGAAAGGAAGTATCACACTTGGAGAGAAACCCCCATTAGAGCAGGTCTTGGTTTCAGTATCATTAGCCTTCTGACTCCTGTGTTCTCTTACCTCTCTTGCTGCTGTTCATAGCACAAACTATGAATATCAGAATTCTCACAAGCTATGTTTTTTATTTGGGAATTCAGAACTGCAATGATAAACCCATGGTTTAAGTATTGCAATTTAGAATTCCCAAATAAAAATCATAGCTTGTGAGAACTTAGTGTATATAGATCCAGTGACTTGAAAATGTTGCAAAAAGTTATTGAATTAGGATTTTACCTAATTCAATACTTGTGAACCAAAGGGAAAATATTATTTAGGGCCTTAAAAAGATTATAAACCTAACTTTGCTAACCCACAGAATGACCAGAAACCTGCTAATTGAGATTACTAGGTTTGTAATTTGAAAATCGCGGGGAGAGGATCAAGCAGGAGTAGCAGTGGTTGGAGGCTCAGATACCCCATTTTACAGTGTGAGTTACATGTATCTCTTTCTTTTTTGTTGATGGTTGCCCACCAGGTCTGATCATTTAAAGTATATGAGTTTGGCTGTGCTTATTTCAGCTGTAGACTTGCCCGTAGGTGTTTAGTTTGGCTTAAAAGTCGTCTTACCTTACTTGGAGGGTATAAAGCCAAGTGAACTAGTTTCTCCCCAGGCTAATTTTTCACACCGCTCTTCTTTGTTACAGAGAAATGATATCGCCATGGCAATTACAAAATTTGATCAGTTTGATTTTCTCATCGATATTGTTCCAAGAGATGAACTGAAACCTCCAAAGCGTCAGGTGAGCTGTGAAGGGATTGCAGTTGCTGCTGACTGAAGAGCGCTTTGTATACTGGTGTCAGATACGCTCCTTCTCTCTCAGCACAAGTCATTTGCTATTCCTTTTGCTTCTCGTTTCTAGACCAGATTCATTCTTAACATCTCCTTCTGTTACTCATTTCTGGATACTTTTAACTCAGTGCCTCCGAAGTGGTATTTCAGTGAAAATAGACAAAATGAAAATGAAAGACTTTAGTTACAAATGGTAAAGTTAAGCTCATTTCAAGTTATCTTAGGAAGTCTATCAGAGCTCTTCATCTGGGATAGGAGAATATTCCCAGAAAGTTATAGATTTTAGATTTTTAAGAAACAGCTTCTCTATGTGCACAGTGGCATTTGGAGTGAATGGACTATGTTTTCTCTTCCTCTATATTGTGGTTCATTATATCTTTATATAGTACCCTGACTGCACACTAGAATCACCTGTTGGGGTTTTAAAAATATCAGCGCCCAGGCTCTAACCCACATCAGCTGAATCAGAATCTCATGATGGAGCCCAGGCATCAGTACCTTTTAAAACTCCCTGGATGCTTTTAATGTGCAGTCAGATTTGAGAACCACCACTTGAGCTGTTTTGCAAGCAATCACAAGAAAGAATATGAACGTCTGCCTTCCCGTCTCTTCTGCCTGCCCCTCTCCAAAGGTCACACTAGTTGTTTTTTCAGCACCTTGGGTGCATATAGCTCTTAATTGTGATTGTAATAGACCTCTGTCCTTTAGAGCTCATTGTTTTAAGCATGCAGATTGCATGATTCACTAGGTGCCACTTGGGAAATTGTGGCAGAATCTCACAGGAGCAAAGCTGTGCCTTGTTCTGCTTGCTTTGTTATATAAAACTTTATTTTTAATGAATTATTTCATAGTATATTATCCTTAGAAGCAGTCATTCAGTGACAGCCATTCTCCCCATCCCAGCCTGTATTAATAACCAGTCAGAGAAAGTCTAGGAGAAGTGGGCATCCTAATGAACATTTGTAATTCTGACCCTGCATGAGGGCCTTTGGATTAGCAAGCCCTCTGTCACCTCCTTACTAGAGTAGGGTGTGCCTCACTGCGTCTCCGTTCTTTCTGGGCAGTCTTTGCTACTGTAAACATCCTTGACTGGAAGCTGTAAGGTGTTCAGAGGAGCTTTCAGTCGGATGTTTACAGCGGCAGGCTGCCACGGTCGTCCCCAGCTACGCACCGGCTTTGAAACATTGCAGGTTTGTGCCCACAGGCTCAATTCCTCCTCTTGGGGGTCCTTCCCTCCTCTCTCAGAAGTCACAACAAGAACTCAGGCCATTTATCTTCCTTCAGAACAAAGAGTATCATACACCTGCTTTCCTTGTTGAAATTGTTTTCTCCTTTTGTCTATCAGAAGCCCCCTTTAAAACAAGATTGTGAGCTCTGTGATGAAATCAGGCCTTGCTCACTCTCATTGTGCTAACTCCTTGTTTTCTGTGGGCTGCCTGCTGAATACACTGGCTGGAGAGAAGGGTCACATCCTGTCAGTTCCTCCAAATTCCTCAGTGCTTCTGGGTCTCTCGGGGTGTCATACAGCTCCTTATTCCATCTTAGCCAGACTCAAAATGCTATGATCCATCTGATTTTAAAGTGTGTCTAGCTGAAACAGCTTCTTGTTGCTTGGATTTAGTTCTTTGTAGGTGTTCGAGGCATTGATTGGCATCGTATTCGGGACAGCTGCTGCCTGGCCTTTGAAAGGTTGAGATTGCTGAAAGCTGGCCTGAAATTCTAAGATAGCATTTTTAATCCTCTGTAGACATGAAGTTTTCCCAGGCTTCAAATTGGCTGGCACCTCCTAAAGTCCTTTAAAACGCCTACTCTCCAAAACCCACCCTTTCTGAAGGAGGCAGCAGTTCACTCTTGCTACTAAAGCGAATGTACTTTTTTCCAGTCAGGGCTGGTTGCACAACACTGTAGAGATGGCCCTAGGATGTGATGCTGCTCTTCTCTGGCACTGTTCGTCAGTCTCAGCTTCTGGAAAGATTCCAAGAGCAAGCCCTGTAGTTGGGGAGGCCACTGCTAAAGTTGAGCAAGTGCCCCATTCTGGATTGATCCAGTCATTAAAGCATTGTTCTGCCACTTGGGGCAACCTCCCACTGCTGGGAAAAGGAACTAGTCAGAAATACTGAATTGTGAGTCCAAGGCCCTGACTTCTCAAAGATACTTGAGAGTTTCGCTTGTTCTTCAGAGAAGCAAGTAAAGATTATTTGAAGGTAGGAGGTAGTTGAGGCCTGACTTCTGCCCCACTAAAGCTATTGAGTTGAAAGTTCCTGCCCATTGAAATGTCATTATCTTTTCACCCATTTCTTTAAACCAAGCATAATCATTTCCTTGCTGGCTTGACCTCCATTGGCAGAATGAGTCTTCATAATGCAGAAGAGCCTTAGATATGCCTTCTTCCATTCCAGTGATTTGAGAACAGTTGTGCCTTGTCCTAACAACACAAACCTAGGTGCCTCCACTTGATTCTCAGTGTCCTAGATACTGTCTAGTTCATAAACAGTTTAAGAGGATGTAGTAAGCAGCATAGGAGGAGCTCTTGTCCTGCTCTCACAGCTTTTGGCAAGAGATATTTTGGGTTCTGGAAGGGGTTTTTAAAGGGTTTGCTTTTTGTCTGACAAAAAGATCATATTCAATACTAGATCAGCTGTAGTTGGGGATAACTGGAGACTAAACAATCACAGGTCACGGCTAGAAAATGCAGGTGTCTCCCTGCTGCCTAGCTTCCTACACAGCTGGTTCTGAGGCTCTCATTCCTGTATACCCTCTCATTACCCAAGAGCTTTTCCAAGTTAGGTCTGGATTTCAGTGATTTGTGCTTTTTGTAAAATAATAAGGGAGATCTCAGTGGAACACAAGTACCTTGAACCTACTTCAATAGCTTTGCAAAGAGCAGTTGGCTTCTGTTTCTTGGCTGCAAAAGGTATCAGTATTTTAGCTTTGCCACAGCCAATACCTAGTTTCCAGGCTGACATTTATTTATAATGATGATAAGTTGGGGTTGAAATTGTTGTGGAAATTGAGACCTAGATGAAAATAAAAGGGAATCTCCTTTTCCTTCTGCCTTAGCATAATCATATTGAGGGTTAAAACTATTTGTGTCTGAAGCACAGACTATATCAACCTAAAAAGTCAGTTCATATATTAACTTAGAAACCCAGAATGTTACAGGTATCTCCCTAAGCTGGGTAGATGGCTGTCAAGTAACCATGTCATGCAGAGACCCATGTTTCTCAGGGGTAGATACTGGCAGTCCTAGTTTTAGTATCCTAGCCCCCAGACATCAGGCAAACAAAGGATACTCAGCTCTGTTCCACAGGGGACACTAGCTGCTTCCTCACACTGTGGCCACAGAGTCTTAGAGGTACCAAAAGAGAGTTTAGAGACTACTTTTTTCTATTGGTAACAGCTGTTGGGTTTAAGAGAATTTGTCATATCAGCAAGTTGGATTCAGAGAACTACTTTCCTGCCTCTAACTGTCTGCCTGTCTAAATCCATTCATCATTCATCACGCACTTACTGAGTGCCTACCTGGGAACGCGGGGGATAGCAGAGAGCAAGAGAGAGCTAGGCTTTGCCCTCATGGTGCTTAACATTTTAGTAGAACAGACAGTTAATTTGACATGCAAGTGCAAAAATGTATACTGTGAGGACAGTACTTTGGAAGCACAGTTGAGGGCACCTAACATAGTGTGGGGATGGGGTCAATACCAGCTTTGTAAATGTTACTTTGGGGAGTTGGAGGCAATCCACAGGGTCTGTGTACATCTAAGAAGTGTCTTTTCCTCTTTTCTGGAACGTGGCAAACTTTGCCCTGAATAAGGACATGAGTAAATTTAGCTAATATTTTTACTCAGCCAGCCCAAGTGGTTCTGTGTTTTTATTGTTTTTGTTGTCCCAGGCAGGGGCACCATGTGTCACACAGGTCACTCCGGATCAGACGCCGTTCTGTGTCAGTGGTCAGGGGCTGATCAACCCTGGACCCTGTGGGCTATAACCATGCTGTAGTGTGTGTAAACATCCTACACTCTCAGCTGTGAGCTCAAGGTGGCTGGGAGAGGGTTGTTTACTCCTTCTGCCATGGAAAACATCAGCTGAAGAAGGAACAGTCTCCACTCCGCAGATCGGACAGAATGCGACCTCCCTAATCAGCCAAGGCAGTACCCCAGCGGAGAGCTGTCCATCAGGCCCCCTGGGTTGCGCTTCTGTGGCTAAGTACAACCAGAACCAGATGTGACACTGGATAGACATGCCCTCAGTGACCACAGAGCTTTCAACAAGCTGTGAAAAGCTGGGTACTTGCCTACCAGTGCTCTCGATCCTGAAATTTCAGCTCAGGAAAAGCCCTGTTTCCCATTAACCTGTTCTGTCCCCCTTGAAGTGGTGGGGCTAAAACGAGAAGAGTGCTGCCTATTTGGGAGATTGGGACCAGGCCTGAGAGGCATGATGTTTGGGTAGCATCTTCCCAACACTTGCAATTAGCACTGTTCTCAGATCACAGGCCTTGACAGCATTTACTGACAAGCACTGCTGGTGTGTGGTTTTTAGTTACGGTACTTATTTGCCCGTTTGCAACTTATCATGCAATGGGTGATTATTTCGTACTTCAGAAATTGGCTGTATGTTTTGTGAAGCCTATAGGATCTGTTATTTTTAGTTTGATTTAGCATAACTGGTCTCTTTGAATTCCACTTTCCTTTGGCTTCAAATGTGGAGAGCTCAGCATTCAGCAGGCAACTGCACATAGCCTGTTTGGGGGAAGAGTGGAAATTCACTGTGGCGGCTGCTGAGTTGGTTCTTTTCCTCTTACCTGCCTCTCTTTCCACCCAACAGGAGGAGGTGCGCCAGTCTGTAACTCCTGCCGAGCCAGTCCAGTACTATTTCACGCTGGCTCAGCAACCCACCGCTGTCCAAGTCCAGGGCCAGCAGCAAGGCCAGCAGACCACCAGCTCCACGACCACCATCCAGCCTGGGCAGATCATCATCGCACAGCCTCAGCAGGGCCAGGTCTGTGAGCTGCTGAGGATGCCCATCCAGCAAGACAGTGCCCCTTAGGTTTTTGGATGGGCAGAGCTTGATGAGGGCAGAGAGGCAGCCAGATCATTATAGAGCACTGGATTTAAAGTCTGGAAACTGGAACTTTTCCCCAGATTCAGCTACTGGGGTGAGATGTTACCCTAATCTCTCTGGACCCTGTTTTTCTCAAAGGTCAAATGAGGAAAGTGTACTAGACAGTATGTTCTCCAGGATCCCTATTAGCTCAGAAATTTTAGAAGGGAAAAAAAAATGTCTGAAATGCCTTATGAAGAGTAGAGGTGCTAAAGTGAACTCCATGCCTGCTGTCTGTGTGTCTGTGTGAGAAGTGGAATTTGTGCCCTTAAAGGGAGAGATTAGGTATCATTGCCAAGTTGCATACTCCTTCTCCCCGTCATTTCTCTGTCCCATATTTGTGTTAAGTGACCTTCTCTTTTTACGATAGTAATCAGAGGACTCTTTCTCTCCCCAGTAGTAGTGTTAAGAGCAGTAGCATTCATGTTTGTTGGGGGTCATGTGAGGCTGCAGAGAACTCTGTACTATGAGCTCTGAATCCAAATTCTCTGTCAATCATTATTTATTCATCAAACACTGAGCATCCTCTGAGGGTAAAGTTCTGTGCTATGTATTGGGGATACAAGCATGAATAAAACAGTCCTTATTTTCAAGGAATTCACAATTTAGTTGGGGATACAAATACTTAAAGGTTGTACCACCACGTGGGAATGTGTACAGGGTGTTAAAGGAACACATTAAAAGAAGTACCTTGGCTCAGCGCAGTGGCTCATGCCTGTAATCCCAACACTTTGGGAGGCCAATGTGGGAGGAACCCAGGAGTTTGAGGTTACAGTGAGGTAGGATCATGCCACTGCACTTCAGCCTGGGCAGCACAGCAAGACCTCTTCTTTAATTAAAAAAAAAAAAAAAAGGCAGGGGCATGTGGTGGCTCATGTCTGTAATTCCAGCACTTTGGGAGGCCGAGGCAGGAGGATTGCTTGAGCCCACGTGTTCAAGACCAGCCTGGGCAACATGGTGAGACCTTGTCTCCACCAGAACATCAGAACATTAGCCAGCCATGGTGGCATGCTCTTATGGCCCCAGCTACTTAAGAGGCTGAGTTGGGAGGATCGCTTGAGCCAAGGAGGTCAAGGCTACAGTGAGCTGTGATTGTGCCATTGCACTCCAGCCAGGGTGACAGAGCAAGATCCTGTCTCAAAAAAAAAACAAAAAAAAGTATATGTGTGTGTGTGTGTGTATGTGTGTGTGTATTATATATGTGTGTATATATATGTATATGTGTGTGTATGTATGTAGGGGAGGGGATGAGTAGCTGAGAAAGATGTGAACGAGGTGGTCAGATAATGTTTCTGAAGGGAATAATATGAGTCTTGGGGAACAGTGGAAATTAATCAAAGAAAGTGGGAAAGGGTGGTATTGCCAGTAGAGGGCACAGCACAGGCAAAGGCTCAGAGGTGAGAAACAGTACAGGGGGCCGTAGGAAAGTAGTCAGCGTAGGGGACCATCTACGCAAGTTTGGAAAGATAGATAGTAAACACATCCTGGACAGCCTCGTATATTCTAATAAGGAGCTGAGTTTGCCTAGAAGAAAAAAAAATGGAGTAGAGGTAGATTGATTGATTGATGTTTTTTTAAAGATAAGTTCTCACTTCGTCACTCAGGCTGGAGTGTAGTAGCACAATCATAGCTTACTGCAGCTTCAAACTACTGGGCTCAAGCAGTCCTTCTGCCTCAGCCTCCCGAGGAGCTGGGACTCCCAGGCATGTGCCACCACACCTGGATAATTTTTAATTTTTTTGTGGAGATGGGGTCTCATTATGTTTCCCAGGCTGGTCTCAAACTCCTGGCTTTATGCCATCCTCCCACCTTGGCCTCCCACAGTGGTGGGATGACAGGCATGAGCCACCATGCCCAGTTAGGAGGTAGATTTAAGTAATTATGATTTGGCCAGGTGCGGTGGCTCACACCTATAATCCCATCACTTTGGGAGGCCAAAGCAGGAGGGTCGCATGGGCCCGGGAGTTGGAGACCAGCCTGGGCAATATGGCAAGACCTTGTCTCAAAAACAAACACACAGAGAATTAAAAATAAGTAATTATGGCTGGGCGTAGTGGCTCACACCTGTAATCCCAGTACTTTGGGAGGCCGAGGTGGGCGGATCACAAAGCCAGGAGTTCAAGACCAGCCTGGCCAATATGGTGAAACCCCATCTCTACTAAAAATACAAAAATTAGCCGGGCGTGGTGGCGGGCGCCTATAGTCCCAGCTACCCGGGGAGGCTGAGGCAGGAGAATCTCTTGAACCTGGGAGGCGGATGTTGCAGTAAGCTGAGATCGTGCCACTGCACTCCAATCTGGGTGACAGAGCGAGACTGTCTCAAAAAAAAAAAAAGGTAATTATGATTTTAGGATTTATTCTCTGCTCATTTTACTTATCCATATAACAAAAATGTATTGAGTGCTTGTTCTATGCCAGACACTGTGCTAGGCAGGAGGGTTCAAAGATAATGGCTGCTCAGTCACTGGCTCAAGGCCTCGACTGTATCATGATGCCTAAGGGACCTTCTTTGGCTAATGCTTGTGCCTCTGCAGTGGTGAAAACTTTACCTGCCAAAGGCTTTATCCCTTTACAGAATGAACTTAGAGGGAGTCTGCCAAGGGCAGGCTCTGATTGGCTGATCATCCTAAGAAGCTCATGGCTGTTGTGCCCTGACAGCAGGGCACACCATACATGATTTGACAGCTGCCATGCTAACACAAGCCCTCATTTTCCTGAAATGATTTAGAAATACCTTGGAAATCCTCTCGGGAAAATTGGGTTGATACAGTACAGTGATGAGTTGGCAGCATGCATTTCTTTTTAGTCAGCGAGAATTTCATCTGTGCTCCTCTCTGCCAACCCAGACGTGCTCAGCTTGGAGCTGATAAGGCTTGTGAGGATGGTGAAGTTGGTCCTTCCCAGCATTTCCTGGCTGTTGTTTCACCATCCTGCTGCTTCAGGGTGGCCTTGTGCTGTGTCACACCTCCCTGGACCCGTAGTGATGGCTATTTCAAGTTGAGTGCAAATATCCTTCGTAGGACAGAATACATATGTATTAAAGCAGAGTTGGAAAGAATGCATATTTTGGTAAAATTAATCCTGTGTTTTCTGTCATAAATTGAAAACTTATTTCTGGAGGTTGGGAATAGGCTGAGTTGAAAATTGTGGTACAAGAATGGAAGAAATGTTTTCTGTTAGCCTAGCCCACTGCATGTACTTTTAGAACACTCTGTCGTCTTTCTTTTTGGCCCTCCTCCAGTTTATAGTAATTTCTCCGTAGTAATCCCTTGAATCTCATCTGTCGTTCCCAGAACACATCCCCTTCCCTTGTAACTTTGGATGCATAGTTGTAATTTTCAGTAACCTATGCAGTCAGAATTAAGAACATCAGAATAGCAACATCGGTTGAAGTTTATGATTCATTGAGAGTTCCATAGTCTTCTTATTGAGGTGATTAATTCAAAGTGAGGAGAGATAGTGATGGAATTCAAGTCAGGGATTGGGTGTACAGGTGTAGTTTAAAAGGCTCCACCCACGCCCACACCCCCGCCACCCCCCATCACTACCACCACCAGATGAGCCCAGATAGGCTCACTGCTCTAGGTAACCTGTAAAAGTCACAAACAGTACTAAAGGTTTGAGATTTGAAAGAATAATTGACCCTTTTGGCAGCTTGTGTCTTTACCGTCTCAAAAGAGTACATTTCATAGGACTACAACCATTGTGTGTGAGAGACAGAATCTGCCAAGTCATACACATTGGGCAGAAATTTCTTAAATCTGAGATTGCTATTTTTAGAAAGTTAGAGTTCTTGCTTTCTTAAATTCTATTAATTAGGGGTAGACTTAGTTAAGAGTCTGTGTCTTAACAGTGCCCAGTGAGTTAGCAGTGTTTGCTCTCCTTTGGGAAGCCATACTGTGGTCCAGAGCAGCCATCTGGCCAGTGTGGGCAGGAATTGCTCTGCAGCTTGAATGGGGTGAGAGCCAGCGTGCACTAGGGCCCGCCTTGGAGATGCACCCCTGTGCTTTATTTTTCTCTCAGTGTCTTACATGCCTAAGAAAGAGCACATGACCCTGAACTAAATAAATTCATACTGACCCTTTCCATTTAATGTTCCCCTCCAAATTCACCTGCCCCAGACTTGACTTTGGCTATTTCTGAAGTAAACGGTCATGGTTGCTTTTGATTTTTTCTGTAGTGTATGTGCCTTATCACTAAAGGGGCTGTGAAAAGTTGCAGCATTTGGGGCACAGAGATTTATGTTTGGGACCCATGCAAATATTTGTACTGTGAGCCTAAAAATATTTTTGGTTTTTCTTTCGTTTTGGAGAGTAACTTCAGCAATGCTGTAAACCCAGAGGACTCTGTAGGTTATTACTAGTACTGAGATGACCTTAGGCATTCATGGAGAGGGTTTGCTCCCAGCACATTGCTCGTTATTAACCTCTCGGTAATCCTGTGGGCTCTGAGCCTGAACTCACGCAGCATTCTCATAACTCTTCCTTTCAGACCACACCTGTGACAATGCAGGTTGGAGAAGGTCAGCAGGTGCAGATTGTCCAGGCTCAGCCACAGGGTCAAGCCCAACAGGCCCAGAGTGGCACTGGACAGACCATGCAGGTGATGCAGCAGATCATCACTAACACAGGAGAGATCCAGCAGATCCCGGTGAGTCCTGCCCTGAGGTCTGTCTTTACAACTTTATAGAAGGAAATACTTAAAGATATATATACCTTGATATATATATGTATATCTCTATATATACCTTGATATGTATATCTATAGCTATATATATACCTTGATATATATATCTATAGCTATATATATACCTTGATATATATATGTATGTCTCTATATATACCTTGATATGTATATCTATAGCTATATATATACCTTGATATATATATCTGTAGCTATATATATACCTTGATATATATATAGAGATATATATCACACGCATGCATAATCCTTTTTTTCTTTTTAGGAGACAGGTCTTGCTGTGTCACTCAGACTGATGAAGTGCAGTGGCTTGATCTCAGCTCACTGCAGCTTCCGCCTCCCAGGTTCAAGCGATTCTCCTGCCTCAGCCTCCCGAGTAGCTGGGATTATAGGCACGTGCCACTATGCCCGGCTGATTTTTGTATTTTTAGTAGAGATGGGGTTTCACAGTGTTGGCCAGGCTGGTCTCTAACTCCTAACCTCAGGTGATCCGCCCGCCTCGGCCTCCCAAAGTGCTGGGATTACAGGCATGAGCCATCACGCCCAGCCCTCAGTACTTATTTATATATATGCGTGTGTGTGTTTGTTTTGTTTTTAACCTATATGCCCAGTGTTCCTGACCACAACTTGCTTCACTGTGTTTGTTCCCTGCTTTCCTTTAATCTAGGTTCAGGTTCACCACGATTGGGCGGCTTCTCTCGATTTCCCCTCATTCTACCTATGCAGGGAAATCATTGTAACCACTACCCATGCCAAGGCCCAAAGGCCCTGTGAGGCAGTCCTGTATTTGATTAGCAGAGGATAAGAGGGAGGCGTATAGGGAAGGCCATAAATACACTTGTTGCATATTCATGAGTCAGTTCCCAGTGGAGCCTGCAGCAAAGTGTATTTTTGGCTTTCATATAACTTATCTATTCCTTTACTGTGGACTGCTGCTTCCTGTGTGCCTTGAGGGATTTCATTTCTTAGATTTGTTGGCTTTTTTATTTGTACTCCTTTTGTAAAATGTGTCCTTGTCTTAACACTTGCAGTCTTTACATTGGTCATTTTGACCCCCCAAAACTGGAAAGTGAGTGAAACAGAGCAGTCCTTCTATTCCCTGCCCTTTGCCATTTTTGTCATAAATGAAACGTAGGCAGGTATAGAAACTCACGTAGACTTGGTTAACCACTTCCTCTGTGAAAATAACTCTAAAAGTATCCTGAGATCAGTTTAGGAATTGTTCTTCATCTGAAGTTAACATAGTAATAGGCCAAGAGAAAGCTTAGGAAAGTGGAGTGTGTATGTCTCTTTCTCTACCTCTCTCACGTGTGCTTACGATACCCAGGATTGCAGATGACTGAGCTCTGCCTTGCTTCATTGTTTCAGTCCTCAACCCCAAGATTTCTGTTGAATGGTTCTCATTTTTGCAAGCGAAGGCACCACCACAGGTTCATTTAAGACAGAGAAGAGTTCCACCTTGCAGATACTTTAACTCTCTGGGGCACAGAGCTTTAGCCCAGAAGATTTGTTGCAGAATTCACTACTTCATCTTCACTGGCTCAGGCACCTTCTGTAGGAGTCTTCATTTCCAGACTCTTTAGGCAGCTCATTGGAATGTTCCTAATAGTGATGAGCTTCAGGAAGGAAACTTTATTTCCCTTTCAAAAACCCAGAGCTTATTTTCTCTGTAATTAATGTAAAAAAGCTATGAGGGTCCCCAGACCTGTCCTGCTGTAGAGGAATGAGGGACGGATCATCACCAAATGTCTTAACCTAGGCCAAAAAGGAAAGCTTCTTGCTTTGTTGAAGAGCTGCTTGGAACCATTTGGCTCACAGCTTTTCAGTCACATTTGGGTTTCTGCAAAGAGCTCTTCCCAGCTAGAAAATTTTAACATCCCTGTAGCTGTCAGTATACCTTCTCCCACTCCTGGGACAAGGCTTTAGTTTTTCATCTTGTGATCCCTGGCTGGAGTTCTGGGGACTCCTGGAACTAGCCACCATCAGTCTCTGTAGATGAGGTTTTCCAAACTTCTGCCCAGCTGCCTTCCTCCCCACAAGCAACTTAACATTGTTGCCAGGAAGCTGCATTATAGGATTTAGGTGGGGAATTCAGGCTTGGCACCACAGCCTCCCAGCAGCTTCTCTTGGCATATTCTCAGGAAAGAAATGACTGCAGGTCCTAATACTCTTGCCCTGTCTCCTTTGAACCAGATTTTTAATGGGTTTAGATTGGGTGTCCCTCCATCTTGCCTCAAGTGGGCAATTCTGGAATGGTCTACCGTGAACTTGAGAGGTCGTTTTTTCTCGGTAGTTCAAATTCTGTGAGGCTGGAAGTCTCAGAGAAGCATTTTGATTGAACACTGCGTGCAGGAATGCAGCTTCATCCCATTAGCATTTTCCTCATGGAAGAGTCCTGCAGTGAAGTTAGCTCTTGAAGGCCAGAGGGAAATTTGCTCCAGAGCAGAGGCAATACTTGCCTGTTAGCCACAAGAAGCTTCCCCTTGCAACAAAGGCAGGCTGGGCAGCCAGGGCAGGTGGTTTCTGGACCCCGCAGATAGAGACCTAGTCTATCCATGCTCCCAGAACCCCTTTCATTTCCTCTAAATTGAGGGTGTGAATGTCTGCAGTCCTCCTCTGCTGACCATCATCTTTGCTGAGCTACAGTTCTCTGATGTGGTAACCGCCTTGGTCCTCTTTTCATCCCCAGCTCAAAACACTAATACTTTCATGGTACACTGGAGCATTAAGAGCCTGAGTTAAGGCTTTTAGCACACAATTAAATGCAGCATGTGGTATTATTGTATTATCTGAGATTTAATCGTAAGCATGAGAGACTCTAAGGGCGCTTTCGTAGCTTTGGTTTCCCATGATGGGGTT